>NC_000015.10:46401874-47026874 GCF_000001405.40 Homo sapiens
GCCACCCAGTGCCAGAAGTGTTAAAGGGAGAATTGGTAGCCATTTTAGTGTTTGCTAATGAAACTATTGTGCTCCCAGTTCCTCTCACTCGTTTGCCCACCTCCATCAAGATATATCATCAGTACATGCCAATAAAAGTGACTGCCAACAATGAGTCCTAAGAAGAGAAGCTGGCTGGGTGCGGTGGCTAGTGCCTGTAATCTCAGCACTTTGGGAGGCCGAGGTGCGTGGATCACGAGGTCAGGAGATCGAGACCGTCCTGGCTAATATGGTGAAACCCCGTCTCTACTAAAAGTACAAAAAATTAGCCGGGCGTGGTGGCAGACCCCTGTAATCCCAGCTACTTGGGAGGCTGAGGCAGGAGAATGGCTTGAACCCGGGAGGCGGAGCTTGCGGTGAGCCGAGATTGCGCCACTGCACTCCAGCCTGGGCGACAGAGCGAGACTCCGCCTCAAAAAAAATCAATAAATAAAAATAAAAATAATTGCCTTTTTTTTCTTTTTTCATTTCTTTTTTTAAAAGAACCTACACGGGTATATTTGATAAAAGATAGATGGAAACATAGTTTCCAGAATCAACCACAGAAGTCATTGGCCAATTTTCTATTGCTAGATTTTTTTAGTAGTCATCTTTTACTGCAATAGTCACAAGTTTGTTTTTCTTTTCCCTCATTACAAGGCTGAAAATTGCAAAAGTTATACACTTACGCTATTAAGGAGGAGTGAGTCCAGTGGTGTGCTTCATAATTATTTAACAATCAGCTTTCTGGAGAAAGAAAAGCTCTAATTTTTAGCCTTTGCTGCTTTCCTCAGTGTAAATATTATCATCAAGTCTGATTTTGAGTTCTCAATGTGACATCACTGAAGGGAGAATTGGGAAGAGATTCACAGCAGTATGCCGTTATATAATACTTCTACCATAGTGATTGGTTAGATGTAAATAACCTAAAGAGCATAGATAATATTAAATTAATTAAGATGTAATGAATTTTTATTACCTTTGTTTATAATATAATTTACTTACTTGTAGGTTTATATAACTGGTTTTAAAATAATGTCAGTCTCTAATAATCGACTCTCAAAATTTAGTGGTTGGCTCTCTTGAGCCAGTATGAACCACCTCCAGCACACAACTGGTTCTGCCTTTCTCTGCTTCTTTGGTTTTACGACTTGATTTTAGAAATGGTTTTAGTTGAAACCTAATAGTTGGGGTTTTCAGAAAAAAATTCTTTTATATATATATGTTTTACTATTTAGTGGAGAAAAATTTTTCTATGGTTGAATTTATATTCATATTTAATCATTGAAGCAGGCAGATTTTATCATAAAGAACAAATTTAAAATTGGGATTCTTTGTTGTTAAAATTTAGTTTATTTTTGTAACATAACTAAAATGCTTTCTTATTCCATTGTGGATTTCGAAAGAAAAATAATATACTATAAAAATGTAAGGCTTATATATCAAACTGTCTTCGATTCAAATCCTGGCTCTGCTATTCACTAGCTGTGTGCATTTGAACAATTCAGTGAATTCTAAGAGACTCAGCTACTTTTCCTTAGAATGGAAATAAAAACACCCATTTCTGAGGTTGGGTAAATAATATCGATTTTATATATATATATATATATATATATATATATATATATACACACACACACACACACACACACACACTCACACACACATATATATTATATATATACACATATATATAAATATATTTATATAAAATAAAGATAAGTTTCTCTCATGTATCAGACCCTTGGTGCACCATCTCTGGAGTTACACCTTCCTATCAAATTCTTCTAGCTGCTTTGTCTCTTCACAGAAATAGTCAATGCACACTTGACATATCTATGTATATTCAGCACCTTGTTTTTTCACATAATAAGTCTTAGAAATGGTTCCATTAAAGTGCATATAGAACTGCCTCATTCTTTTCCCAGCTGCTTACTCATTCTTTTGCCAACATTGATTTGACCTGTCTTCTGTTGACGAAAATTTAGGCCTTCAGTATGCCTTTTTTCCACAAACATTATTACTGTAAACATTTATTTTTATTTTTATTTTTTGAGATGGTGTCTTGCTCTGTCGCCAGGCTGGACTGCAGTGGCATGATCTCTGCTCACTGCAACCTCTGTCTCCCAGGTTCAAGAGATTCTCCTGCCTCAGCCTCCTGAGTAGCTAGGATTACAGGCACGTGCCACCACGCCCGGCTAATATTTGTATTTTTAGAAGAGATGGGGTTTCACCATATTGGCCAGGTTGGTAAACGTCTCTGTACACATATTGTAGTGCATAATATGTGTAGTAATATCAGTATAATAACTTTATAAAAGGGAAATTATTGAGTCAATAATTTCTTCATCAATAATTTCTTAATTTATACCATGCAGAGATACTGTGAGAACTGAATGAGATAACGGAGGCTGTGCATGGTGGCTCATGCCTGTAATCCCAGCATTTTGGGAGGCCAAGGCGGGTGGATCACCTGAGGTCAGGAGTTCGAGACAGCCTGGCCAACATGGAGAAACCCCGTCTCTGCTAAAAATACAAAAATTAGCCGGGCATGGTGGCCCACGTCTGCAGTCGCAGCTACTGGGGAGGCTGAGGCAGGAGAATCGCTTGAAGCCAGGAGGTGGAGGTTGCAGTGAGCCGAGATCCTGCCACTGCACTCCAGCCTGGGCGACAAGAGTGAAACTCTGTCTTAAAAAAAAAAAAAAAAAAAGGATAACAGAGTTAAAGTGCTTAATACTGAGTTCAGCATCTAGTAAGCACTCAGTAAACATTAGGTATTATTAGCAGGGCACCTGTGGCTCTCAACCCAGACAAAGCAGGACCCATAGACTCAGGGTAGCTGTCAAACAAAGGGACACGTGTGCAGGCCATTCAGAGCCTGCACACTCTGGGGGAGGTGTACAGAACAACAACAAAGAGATCTAGGAGAATATGTCATTACACGATTTCATTTCCTTTAAAGAATGACATGGATGTCATTAGAAATAGTCTGACTGGATCTGATTATTAGGTGCTAGGCTTAAATGTCAGATCACTCAGCCAATTGGTTGTTTTCGTTCTGCATGATACAACCAGTATGACTGAAGTTTTTCATTTTTCAGTTGATTACTTTGGCAAGTTTTAGACATTTTTATGTAAGCATTGAAGGCAAAAGAAGTTCAGGCCTTATTACTTAAGTTTATTCACTAATATTTACTGCTGAATTTAGGACATTAAACTACCTCCTCTGATGAGAAAGCCAATAGACTAGAAACTGGCTTATGATCACCAATATCAGGCCTCCATGCCTTTGGCATTAGGGCGGATGTATCAACTCTGCTATCTTGCTCATGCCAAAGCAGGGGCTTCATAAATCCCACTTTTAATTCGATTTTCCCCCCTGTTTGTAACAAACAACGCTTTGTCTCTATATTAGAATAAATGCTTCTTCCCTGCTGAGTGCTTAAAGGCTCAACATTCAAGAAAGGAGACAGATTTATTCTAGCTTTTTATTTTCACATATTGGATTGCTTTCTTAGTATTTACTGAGCATTCAAAATGTGAAAAGTTCTGAAAACTAAGACACCTTGCTTCCTGTCCCTGGAGCTAATCATGAAAGAAAAAGAAACTATTGGGATTAATTAGCTATTTATTTACATTTAAAAGAAAGAACGCTGCATGCTCTTCCTCTTTTTCTTTTTTTTTTTTTTTTTTTTGAGACAGGGTCTCACTCCAACGCCCAGGCTGGAGTGCAACCGGTGCGATCTCAGCTCACTGCAGCCTTGACCTCCCAGGCTCAAGAGATGCTCCCACTTCATCCTCCTGAACAGCTGGGACTGCAGGTGTGCACCATCAGGCCAAGCTAATTTGTTGCATTTTTCTAGAAGCGGGCTTTTGCCATGTTGCCCAGGCTGGTCTCCAACTCCAGTGATCTGCCCACCTCAGCCTCCCAAAATGCTGGGACTACAGGTGTGACCCACAGCACCCAGCCAGTGTTTCTTCCCTGCCCCCCAACCCCCGAGAAAAGATAGTCAAAATATTTAACCTCCTTACCTATCATAATATCCATATTGAAGCTCTACAGTTACCCTGTGGTGAGCCTAGGTTGAAGCCAGGTATCTTTCTGGTTGTTTTGCCATGATGGGCATAAAGTATGTCCATTGTGCTAGCTACTTTCAGGGAGCTTAACCAAATGTCAGAATCCAGATCCCACTGATAGTCCTGGATACTGAGCTGCTTCTGCTACTAGGCTATTTGAAACATTTTGTGAACAGTTTTGTTTTTAATAACCTGGATGCTAGTCAGTAAATGACAATGAAAATGGAAAGAAAGATTATTACCGGAAGGCAAGAGGAGCTTTAGGAAGAGGAGAGAAGGGTGTTTACCTGGGTGGGAGGCACAGCTGAACTGTACTGATATAATCTTTCCTCTCTTCTTACCCTGCCCAAATTTTCTTAAATCACTCTTCACTCTCCCATGGCTCCCATTCCCATAACCATGACCAAGAGTATTTCTTTCATCAAAGCTGATATCATTTATATAAAGAAGTACATGATTCAGAGTCCAAGGACCTTAACCCTTCAAAAGGACATTTGCATTCTCAAAAAAACGTTTGCTAATGCCTTTCCAATGGGTGTATTATGCTAGGGTATTTTAGGCTCAACTCTCTGATGCTTCCTGTCTATTCCACAGACTGTGCTGCTTGTTATTCCTCTTAAATTTTAAGTATTTAGGAGATTAAAAAAAGGAAATATCCACAGCATCACTACATTAAGGCCCTGACTTCCTGACTTCGGTGTGTGTGTGTATATGTGTGTGTGTGTATGTGTGTGTGTGTGTGTGTGTGACAGTGGAATGAGGGGGCAAGGAGAGAGGTCTCATTAAAACCTGAGTTCCCGCCAACTGCCTGCCTAATGCTTCTTCCTCTCTGTTTCTCCTTTGTACTTTCCATTTTTCCACCTCTACTGACCCTTTCTTCTTTGCCTACAAACATGTTCCATGGATCTTCTAAGTAAAGTTTTTGTCCTTGTTTTCCCCCCGGAATTTCTAGAGCAAGTGGTCCCCACACCTTTCTTCCACCTCCTTCTCACCCCACCAACTTGCTCAGTTCTCACCCTTGCTGTCTGGCCTATGTTCTCACCACTCAACTTTCTGGCATAGCTAATAGACCAGTCCCACTGAAGCTCCCTGACCTTTTAGAATCTTCACTGTGGCAACCTACTACATCTTGACCTCTCTCCTCCCTGCCCACAGAAACTGCTCTTGCCTAAGACACTAATGATTCCTTTCCATTATATTCAATACAGGCTTCTCCACTGACCTCTTGGCAATGTTTACTACAGTTAACCCATTGTCCTAGTTGATACATTCCTTCTTTGTATTTTAGAACACAGACTGTCTTCTGGTTTCCCCCTACCTCTCTGGTAAAAGTGTCCCAGCCTTTGTTGTTGTCTCTTCCTTCTCATCCTATCCCTTAAATATGGATATTCTTCAGGGATATATCTTGGCACTTTCCTGTATTTGCCTGGGAATGTGTCTAGTAAGTACATACTCTTCTGAGGTTCCACTTTTCATTTATATGATAATGCCTTCAAAATTTGTAGCCTCAGACTTGACCTCTCTTATACCCATCAAACACATATTCAACTGCCCACTGGACATCTCCCTTTAAATATAATCTCTAATTTAGCATCACAAGACCGGGTCTCTTCCTACAAATCAAATTAAACACACACCCATACACACACACAAACACTATTCCTAGCTACTTTTGTATTCGTTACTTAGTGAATGGTAACACCAACCACCTTGTAGCCAAGAAGAAACTAGATGTTTTTCTTGACCCTTCTCTCCCACTACCCCTACTCCACAAAAGAAATCATGAAGACTTGTACCTCTATCTTTTGAGTCAATTCATATTTCTCAGTCCACATTGATACTATTCAAGACCAGGTCTCCTGAATCTCACTGCCCTGTGTTTTTCCTCCTTCTTTCTATTCCTACATTGTTGCAGAGCAATTTTTACAAAATTAAACTAGGATAACACCAGTCAGCGACTTCCTATGATTCTCTGGATAGAGTCTACATTCCTTAATGTAACCTTAAGGCTCTGAATAATTGGCTTCATCTTTCCAGCCTTCTCTCTTACTATTTTTCATCTTCTATTTTCTGCCCATTTGTACCTTGCTGTCACTCTAAGCTGAGCTTCCACACTGCATGGGGATGCTCTTCCCAATTCACTGCCTCGATCTCCTGCCACTTAGAGGTCACTTGTCTCTGGGATCATTCCCTGACCCCACAGTGTAAGTAACATGTTCTGAAACTCCTCTGGATGCCATAACACCCTGTGTTTATCTCTCTTACCCCAAACAATTATCAGTTTGCAGGAGACTGGTGGGTTCACCTGTCTGCATCACTCAGCAGACTGTAAGTGCTCTTAGATATCAGAAGCCATGAATCTTGTTTACCTTTGTAATCCCAGTACATCATACAATGCCTGGCACATAGTGGATTTTCTAAATAAATGACTTGCTAACAATTTGCTAAGTAAAGGACTCCCAATTCCATATCTTAGCCCTGGCCTATTTCCTGTAATTTAGCTGCCTGCTGAGCATTTCTAATTGTTTCTAGCTAGTACACTCCAAATGCACTCCAAAATAAACTCAACATTTTCCAAGACTCCAGACTTTCTTGTCTCTCCATGACAACATTATTATTCTAATCTCCTGGGCCTGAAATCCAGGCACCATCTCTGACTATTTTCTCCCTCTTGCCAGGCACATCCGACGAGTGGTCAAGTCTGTAGATTCTACTTTCAGAGTTTCTGCAAACTTTTTCTTTTTTTACTATTTCCACTTCTACAATCCTAATATAAGAGATTTGTTACATTTTGATTAGATGACTAGAAAAGTTAGTCTCATGGGTTTCAGCTTCCAATCTCCTTCTAATATATCCCATTATTTCTGAAAAATGCATTTTCAATTATATCACTTCTTATGTTAAAAATCTTCAAAGATTCTTTACTCTCTATTTAGTTAAAAACCAAACACTCAGCCTAACATTTAAGGCTTTTCCTAATATGGCCCCAAGATGACTGTTCATTCTTATCTTTTACTATTTTTCTATAAGAATGGGATGCTTCAGTTAATCCACATTGTTCTACCAGCATGTTCTGCACTTTCCCACATGGACATGTTTGTCCTCCCTCTGCCCGATTAGTGGAATGCCCTTTTTCCATCCCCTTTCTCCATATGTTGAAATCCTCCCCACACATCTAGGTTGAGCATAGAGTCCATGTCTACCATAAAGCCTTTCCTCATTTCACTTGATGAAATATGATCTCCTCCAGGGTTAAACCCCCAGAGCGCTTTGTTTCTCTTACATGGTACTCATCAGTACGAAATTTGTATTTGCCCCTTACTATAGTCATACAACTCTAATACTCTTTTTCTCTTCCTGAAAATCCACTGAAGTTAGGAGTGATAGCTTATTTTTTTATCAACTCACCCCGGCACCAGATATAACTCTGTACATGGATGCACACACACATTACACACACACAACAATGTACAAGGCTCATGTACTCTCTATCATCATGAAGAAAAGAGAAACACCCATTGCTCTGCTCTTTTTTCTGCATCTATCATTCAGGAAACATACACTGAAATACTAATCATGGCTATACTTTTTTTTATTCCTAGGGCATCTAAGATATATCTCATTCCTGCAGCTCATGATCTTTTTAAAACTATTTCAAACCAGAGGTGCTACTGGACCAGCTGCTTGCTGTCCTGCGTATTTGGGAGACTCCCTTTATGGAACTTTACACAGACCAAAGTGGGTCTCTCCCAGGCATCACCTGCATCCCTGTGTTTCCCAAGGTCTTCAGACAGACCTTGCCAACTCCCGGGCAACTTTAGAAAGCGCTGTCCTTCTCAGGTAGGATTCATTTTCACATTTCCAGATTAAATCACCAGTCCGTCTGGAACTTGAGATGAAGGGAGATCATTCTTAGGCTGAACAAAAGGGACTTCGTGCCTGACTTGTTCCCCAGGGTGAACAAACACAGCCATGTTTACCCTCACCAGGGCACATTTGCAAGCTGAAAAAGACTGGGCATATTCATCCCTTTCCTGCTTAGAGTAATGGGGAGCCCAGCTGGGGTGGTTACCAGGTTCACAAAGAAACAGGCAAAATTTTGGCAAGTCACTGGGAGACCTAGCAACAAAATTCACTGCCCCCACCCCCTTTCCCATCCATCTGAAATACAGGTTGCCTCAAAGAAGCATGAAATCCCTGGGAACTTCTTGTGCCTTTTGAACAAATCAGCTCGATGAAGGGAGATGACTCAGTCTCCTTTGCCCCCGAAAGCAAGAGCCAACTCTGGCTACCAGCAGTCTTGGCTCCACAAAAGAACAATTTACCCTGGTTCCATCCCAGACTCCAGTCAGTCTCCCTGCAGCTTCAAGTGGCATCAAAGAGGGTATGTATACTTTGTTTAATTATCACTTGCTCTTCTGGAAATACTTCTTTGATGGCCTGTGTGTAGAAATGTGCTAATTTACAAATGGATGCTTCCATTTGCCAAGTAGAACAGTTCAATGCAAATGAAAGAACTCTTCCTTTACATTTAGGAAACTTTTTTTTTATTTTTTCCAAGTGGGACAGATCACCTCTGCCCAATTATGAACTTGTTCTGCTGACTCTCAGCAATTCAAGACTGTTAATTAAATTGGAAACTGCTTCCTTTCTGTGGTGCAGTGGAAAGGATTTATAAGACATACATGCCTTATATATATCTTATATATGGTGGGTTTTTTTTTTAAAGGAAAATGCGTCTGTTGAATCTTTGTATTGGTGTATAAACCAGTCCTGACTTGGCCTGGAGCAAGACTGCTGATGGCAAATTGAGACCTGGAGACACATCTCATTGCCTGATGGATGGGAGAAGCCACCCAGCCATGTTGCCTCATTTTTCTCAGGAGGAGGGAGGACTAGACTTCTGTTCAGAGGAAATAAAGCACAGGGTCAGAGGTCAGAGGGCATTAGTCTATAAAGTTTTATGACCTGTAGCTGACAGTTATTTCTCTTGGATAAAGGAACAAGAGGAAAAAAAGACAACTTGTACTTGTTCTCTTTCTCATTTCTTATCTCTCTCTGAATTTAATTTCCTTGTTGCATTCGATCCCAAAACATTGCTTTCTCAGCATTTCTATTATTTAGTCTTCACTATCTCATTCATTTTTACTACTGTTTGCTCCAGAATTCTATTTCCCTTTTCTCAGTCGTGTTATTACTGTTTTATTTGTTTCAGCCAGCTTGTCATCCTTCTCCAGGAACTTACTGTTAGCAAAGACTTGCTTACTGACAAATTCCTGCCTCCTTGAAGAAATGCTGAATTAAATTGTTGAGATAAATCCTTTATGTTCTTGTAAATTTTTTTCTATTATTAAGGTTATTTTCTTAATTTTATATTTATTTTTGTATTTTTACATTTTATTTTGGGCGTTGGATGATGGGAAATAGACTGAAGGATAACAAACAATAGCTACACTATCTTTTTAAACATCTATTTTTAATGTTTTGCTCTCTATTTCATTAAAAATTATTGAATATTAGGCTTAATTTTACAGACTTCTCTGCAAGTTTAAAAATAAAATGAACCTCAGTACATGCATCTATGTAATTTATTTGGAAGAAGATATTTCTGAACATTAATGGAAATATGTTCATTTTGGTTGTTTAAACCATACAAAGATTATGAATAAAATAAAGAGTAGATTATAGAATAATAGAACTCTACAGACCTCCTATGAACTTCAAAAGAAAATTAAAATAAAAAAATGAGTCTGGAATAGGAGTAATGGAGATCAGAGGCAGAGAGATTGTTATAGAATGAATTTGAGATGAATCATGTGGCCCTTCATGTCCATCAGAATCATCAATAACTGTCATTTTCTGCGTGATAGCTAGAACGAAAGCTTCTTTAAGGTAGCTCTGTGTCTTGTGTGGAGCTCTATGTCTAGCCTCTAGCATAATTCCTGACACACAAGAAGTACTCATTAAATATGTGCCCTGTGAGTCAATGACTGAACACAATTATCAAAGACTTATGGTAATGGGATTCTGATTGCAGGAACCTCCTGTTCGCATATCTGTCCTCTATCACACTATAGCCCACAGTGTAGTTCTGGTGGTTCTCTATGTGCACTGTGTTTTCTCACTTTAGGTTTCACCACTGTGCTGCCTGACTGGAGCAGACTCCACTCTCTAACCACCTTTACTTCCTTGCTTCTTTCAGCATTACATTTAGATGACCCTCCTCAGGAGCTTGGTGAGGTGCTGCAACACATAACATGCATCCGACTCTACTGGAGTTGCATGTTTGACTTGCTAGACTAAAAGCATCTTGAAGGTAAAAAGAGTGTCTTACACAGCTCTGTACTCTCAATGCCTAGCCCAGAGCATGAGACAAAATAGAAGCTAACATACCTGTTGAATTAATAATGAATGAAGGAGCAACAACAAAAACAGGAAGAAATGGAAAGGAGAGAGTAGCAGATAATGGCAAGAACGGGTTGAAAAGCAGTCCTCTGCCTTTACCTTGAGAATACAAAGCACAGTCTTATACAACAATTAAATTGATTTTGATTCCAGTGCCCTCCTATGTGGACCATCTGGTTAGATATTTGTTGTTCTGAGAGATTAAAGGTAAGGAATAAGTTGGGTAGTGCAGATTGTTCAGTTAAGAGTATAAATGACTGGAAGTGAGAGGTAGCATCATGTGTGGGCATTGTCCCAGCCAAAAAGTGGGGAGGGCACTATGGTGGATTCTCCCACTCTACCTGCTAGAACTTATGCCCCACTATCCCTTAATGCATTCCTTCTCATCTGGTTAAATCTACATGTTTACTGACTCTATAAAAATACCTTATTAATTTCTACTTTACCACCTTTTCTCAGTTTCCCTCTTTTCTGTTGTCTCTTCTCCCTCTTCTCACATACAAAAATATGATCCTTCAAAAATCAGTTCATATTTTTCTGCCCTCAGACTATTCTAAGAAGTGAAAATGAATCTAAGCCTGCTATTTTCAGAACACCTGCAATATTGCCACCTACACTATACAACTGATAGATGACATAACTATGAATAACATTGTATTGCCCACTGCTTTAACCACTCAATTTGTCTCCCAACCAGACTATAAACTCTTTCAGTTCAGGTATTACACTTTGAACTTTTTATAATCCTTTAAAGCACTTGGCCTAATAACATGCTAGTTACCCCATGAATAATTGATTGAGAAATTGGGTTACTAGATAACTTATATATATGTAACATCATCCTCAGACAGCTCTCTGATTATCCTACCCAAATTTTTCTTTTGGAGCATCCTGATTTTATGATTTTATATGGATATATGTATGTAATCATAGAAATGGTTATAGTTACAGATGTAAATATAGAGAAGTAGAAAGAGTCCTTTCATTGTTTTATTGGACACTTCATATTCAAGAAATTCTTATGCTTGCAAGCTTCTTTTCTCTTATGTCTTTCTAAGAGGGCATGATAAACAGTTGTTTACTGCCTTTTGAATAATGGACTGTCACAAATGCTACTTCTGGTTTCCTCCTTTCTTGGCTAAACAACCTTAGCCCCTTTAGACATTTAAATGCCATGAGCAGATGCTCAATAATATTACTTGGTGGTTAGCCATAATTTATAGTGCTTATTTATGGAAGTAGATGAAAACAGAAGTCTTATGTATTTTTAAACTTTTCTTTCACATATGGCGTACTTTACAGAGAGTGAGGATTTGGATGAATGGATAGATGAATGCAGCTAATATTATCATTTTGGTCTCATCTAAAAGCGGGGAAACATAGGAAACATTAGAAAGAAAGCTAAAATGCACAAGATGCTATTTTACTATTAACTCAGACTTTTCTTATGCCAGATGGTGTTGGAGGAAAGCTTTTGTTTTCTTGATGATAGGCATCTTCTTTTAATTTTGCCAACCAGACACAGTTCCTCTCTTTTCAGCATGCAGAGACACAGCAGCCATCTTTTATACACCTCTTAGATACAGTAACTGGTTTGGCATTTCCTGGTGACTGTGAGTCTGACAATTGCTCAGAATTTCATCACTGCTTCAGTCATGTGTAGAAGATGCTCCCAGAGATAAGCATAAGACCCCCATCAGTAGAGTTATTTTAGGCTCAGCTTTACTTAAACAGCATCAAATTCTAATTGGGCCTACCAGACTTAATTTAAGGAGCTAGAGTGGATGAACAACGATGTACTGTGACATCCAAAATATCAACACAACGTTATATGTAATCACAAGTATGTATCTGTGTGTGTGTGTGCATGTGATGTATATGGTAGAGGGGAGGGCGATGTGGGTGCAGGTTGGTGGGCTGAAGACATCTTTAACCTTGCTTTTGTACTATATCAGATAGGTCTTGGTACTGCCCCTGAAGAAAGACCTGAGTATAAAAGGGAAGGGTAACTAAATAAGCAAAAGAGAAAGAGGTCGCCATGCTAGTAAAACTAGATCTTGAGATGTTAGGAAACTGAGAGGTCAGTTAACACAACTTCTTACTTGATGGGGAATGCCATTTCATTGTCATCAGTGAATATCAACTATCCTTGAAAGTCTATATTAAAAGATTATTATTTATTTTGCAAACACAAAGACAGAGAAAGAAGAATTGAAACTATTAATTTTCAGTTAACAGTTGGGAAGGCTAAAGATAGGGTAAGCATGGATTTAGTCACCTATTAGCAGAAAGTCAGGCTTAAAGGCACTTCTTGAAGCTGAGAGGTGGGTTTGTGCTTGTGGCATTTAGCTTGGCAGGATAGAATGTAAATTACACCTCTTGTCCTAAGAGCTGGATTCTAGCACAGTCTCCATCATTAGCTAGCTATGTAGCACTGAGCTATACACATGACTTCTTACCTGTAAAATGATCGGGTAGGATTAAATGATGATTCCTAAGTTCTTTTCCAGCAAGAAATTATGTGATCCTAAAGCAAATATTTACTTCTAACAGTAGATCAACTGTAGTACTGACATGAATCTCAAGTTTTCTATCACATTCTCCTCTACTGAAAATTATATCATCATTGTGTCTGCCTCATAGGCTTGCTCCATATCTTTTTTCTCTGAGCCCTACATTTTTCTTTATAAGATTATCTTGCTTCCAGTTTCCTCCCACAGACTCAGTGTTGGATTAGAGAGGTATTAGTGATCACGAGGATGATTCTAAGGCTATTATGTATCTTATCCAGATTGTATACTGCACAAGGGTACCCAACTGAAGGAGCAAGTGGGAGCTGCAAGCAGGGTGCCTTGGGTAGATGCATCCACCTGAAGGCAGGCATGCTATTGCTAATCCCACTCTAGGGTATTGGCTTAGGGTATTCTGAAAAGTGAGATTCACCCATTTGTTCTATGATCTGAAAAGGTCTGAAATATACCAACACTATTAGCATTGATTCTCCAATGCTGAACATATATCACAAAACCAATTACAAGAGACTCTGCGATTAAAAAAGAGATGTTACATATCAGTTCCTCTTAAGGGGCAAAACATTCCAAGACAGCTGAGATTAAACTTTTGCATCACCTATCTTGTTGGAATAACAGTACATTATCATGGGAGAACACATTTTTAAATGAAATGTATTGGACAAAACATCCTCCAGGCTAACTTGCACTGAATCCCTGCTGAATGATCTCAAATGAATAAAACAAATTATATACACTGCATTAGGCCTTAGCACGCATAGTACCATCACAAGGAGATTCAAACACTCTGTAGGTGCCCTGCCTGGCAGGGGAAGGCAAATCTCATTGAAGCACTTGTTGGTAATCCTTCTTTCTCATGAAGAATTCGGTAGACTTTTCTGCAGATATTCAGCAAACTATTTGGTGTCTGGAGTGAAAATGTGGTGTATAAGGCTGCCCTAAAATTTCATGGAAAATGTAAATTGCCTGAGTTTTCTTCCAAATCAAATCAGACTGAAAATGGCTCCCACAGCTTCTTCCTTCAACCATAAGATGTTCCCATTAGTGCCAATTAATGCTGAGACCCTAGCAATCTGTGTGCATGATTCATTAATGAGGAGCCTCATTTATAGTTGAAAAAGTAATGCAATGGAGCAACTGCAATAATGTCCTGCTTTTTCCGCACTGACCTGTGCTCTGCCAACTGCTGACCTCTCCCCACAGAGAAGATTTCCTCCAGCTGATCAATGGCAGCATATGCACAGGGGCAGTGGACATGGCAACAATGAAGGTAAGATTTCACCTTCATAGTACCATTCCAACCTCCATGCTTACTTGAGACCAAACATGAGACTGAGATTCTCTTTCTTCTTAAATGAAAGTTCTAATTTAATTAAGGAAGGAACAGAGAAGCCAAGACTCTATTACTCTGCAGCACGTTGCTTTTCTACAAGGTCTCCACTTCATCAACATTCTCTAAATCTGTAGAATATCCTGCTATCCTCATTACTAACATGATACCAAAAAACAAACTGGCTCAATTAATTTGTAATGCTGCTCTGTGTGCGAGATGCTGGTTTTTACAATATAAATATATATGTACATCTTTTTAATTTTGCCTGAGTATTTCACTGCAATCACTGCAGATATGATAGTTATTTATTTGGCTGTAACAGTCAAGTCAACGTTTCCCTCTGTCTTGCTGCATCCTTCCTATTCTCCAACCTAAACAGGGATACAAACAAGAAGGGACTGGAATTCTGGACACCAGCCAGTGTCCCAAATCTGCTGTAGCCACAGAGTAGGGAGAATGCAGCCTCAAGTCTAGAAAGCCAGGAAACACTAATCCTCTTCAAAATGAGAAAGTGGCTCTCTCTGCCTTGGAGGGGAAAACACACCAGGCCCAGCAATCTCTTTTCTCCATGAACTTGGCAAGCATTTTTCTCCCCACTCCCACTCTTCCTGCTCATAGAAGAAAGCATGACACACTTATTAGCAGAGTCATTTTAAATACTGTTTTGCTTAAAACAGCATCAAATTCTAAACAAAAATCTGTGGGTTTTAATTTTAATTTTTAGTTTATTTCTGGTGGCAGCTGGGCTAAAATATAATTTTATACTTTCTACAAACAACAGTGTAAGTAACATTGAAGAGGAAATATTTATGCTGCTGATACGGTTTGGCTGTATGTCCCCACCTAATTCTCATCTGAAACTATAATCCGCGTGTGTTGAGGGAGGGACCTGGGGGGGAGGCGATGGAATCATGGGGGTGGTTCCCCCACACTGTTCTCATGATAGTGAGTTTGAATTCTCATGAGACATGTTGGTGTTTTTTTTTGTTTTTTTTTTTGAGACAGAGTTTCTCTCGTCACCCAGGCTGGAGTGCAATAGCGCGATCTCGGCTCACAGCAACCTCTGCCTCCCAGGTTCAAGCGATTCTCCCACCTCAGCCTCCTGAGTAGCTGGCATTACAGGCACCCACCACCACGCCTGGCTAATTTTTGTATTTTTAGTAGAGACGGGGTTTCACCATGTTGGCCAGGCTGGTCTCGAACTCCTGACCTCAGGTGATCTGGCGGTCTTATAAGTGGCAGCTTCCTTGCTCTCTCTCTCTCCTGCTGCCGTGGGAAGATGTGACTTGCTTCCCCTTCCCATTCTGCCATGATTGTAAGTTTCCTGAGGCCTCCCCAGCCATGTAGAACCAACCGTGAGTCAATTAAACCTCTTTTCTTTATAAATTACTCAGTCTCTGGCAGTATATTTATAGCAGTATAAGAACAAACTAATACAGCTCCTAAGCAGAATCAGCTGTTTTCCACATCTTTTAGCAATAGTACATTTGATCAATATCCCTCCTGAGCCATTAATAAGCATGTGACCTTGAACGAGTCTCTAAACCTCTACAGGCCTCAGTCTGCTCATCTGTAAAATGAGAGGACTGGATTAGATTTTTCTCTATGGATCCTTATAGCTATAAGAGGTTATGATCCTGTACATGAATTGCAAGTGACTCTTACGTAGGTGATAAAAACCAGTGGCCCAACACACTATTGAAATGGAGGCTGTTTCTAGCTTTTTCTCTCCTGGATGAAGATGGAAATAGCAATCATTATTTGCGGCCTTGGGGGCTACTTGCTTGTACTCAGGCTTTCTGGAAAGTTGAAATGCATTAATTGGCTATCTTCTGGGTCTAAGTCTTCTTCAAAATTGATTAGGGATTTTGTATTTCTCCGTGAGATTCAGCAGTGGCTAGGTACTCAAAAGAAGTTATTGTTAAACAAGGAAGCATAGTCCTGCTCTCTGGAGGGATCAAACTAAAACCAACTTCATTCCTACTTAAGCCTCTGGTAATTTTCTAGAGGATGAAGAGACCAAAAATTACCCAGGCAATTAGACATTTCTGATATGTTTAACTAAACTGAAGCACCATTTTATGTATCTCATAGAGTTAGGATGATGCCAGATAAACTGTATTAACTGTACTATCCAACCCAGCTAAGTTTACTCATGAGGCTATATATTCTTTAGGTTTATAACTTGTCATTTATTTAAAAATATTAATATCTGCAAGGATTCACTGGCTACAATGCCTTTTATTTTGTATAAGGCTGTGTAGTCAGATTAAGCAAAGGGTAATAGCATCAGTTTGTTCTTTTCAGAGAAAAGAAAAAGCCTTTGGACTTACGGACAGAAATTACACAGGGTTAACTGTAACCTTACAAACCTCTATGGAAAGGGATGATAGGACTTTGGCTTCATTCCCTCAATTGCTATATCAATAGAAGAAGTGCTATAATTTCATTTCTTGGGCAAACTATTCAGATAACCCTTCACACAGAATTATAGCTTCTATTAAAAATGTGTATCCTTTCCCAAAGCCTTTTTGCTCTCTTGTTTTAATATGGAACAATTGAGAGTTACAACAGTACATTGGGAAAGAATTATTATCCTTGTCAACATCCTTAGGGGACTTGATTAATATAAGAACTTCTTCCTCCTAACTAATGATACTACAGGCTGCAGGAGCATTCCCCAAACAATTGTGTAATTCAAGTCCTTTGTGTCTGGTGTGTATCTGACAGACTGGTCAATAGCTTCGCTGAAGGGAAGTATTCCTCTCAATTTCAATCACAAAGCAACCTCTAAGGAAATTCTCAAGTCTCATAAATAGGCTGGACTTAGAATATCAGGCTCACCTGTAACACCCCTGCCTCAATAGAGATGTTGAATTCCAAAGAGGAGGCTGTACAAGGAAATCTGGAGGATGAATGACAGAGAAAGGTCAGGTACTGTGGTACAGAGAAAGACAGTCAGGTAAATGGTAAAAATCTTAAAATATTTTTATATGATACCAGGAATAATAAGCTATTGTATATGGAACACTTACTTTCTGCCAGCTGATTTTCTAAGTGTTCTACATGTATTAACTCATTTAATCCTCACCTCAATCCTATAAGGTAATGTATAGGACTACGATATGTAAATAGTTTTCTCTACTACTATTTTACTTAGTGTTGTTTTGTTTGAATTTTCCTGTATCATTTCTTTCCATTTGATATGTAAAAGCTGTTGGCTTTCATCATTTACGTGATCTATGACTTCATTCACTCATCACAAACTTGGCTTGGAAGTTTCCTCTTTGCCAAGAAAGGCCAGAGAAGATTCAGAAGATATAATAGGGGATGAGTAAAGGATGAGCATAGATTTTATTGTAGTTTCTTAATGGAGTCAATTGAGTTGTGTACCTTTTCTTTGATAGAGCAGTAGTTACGTTTTCGACTGTGCCAAAATGGCTAATGATAGATTTGGTGCCTGGTATGGACTGAACTGTGTCCCCCAGCCCCCCAAAATGTATATGTTCAAGTCCTAATCTTCAGTACCCCAGAATATGACTATATTTAGAGATAGGGCTTTTACAAGATTAAGGTTAAAGGAGGTCATATAGGTGGACCCTAACCCATGAGACTGTATTTAGAGATAGGGCTCTCAAAGACGTGATTAAATTTAAACAAAGCCGTTAGGGCAGGCCCCTAAGCCAATCTGACTGGTGTGCTTATAAGAGGAAATTCGGTTCTGAGGGAGACACTGGAGCCACACACAGAGGGATGACTATGTGAAGAGGCAGCAAGAATGACGCTATCTGCAAGCTAAAGGCCTCAGAGGTAATCATACCCTGCCAGCATCTTCACCTTGGACTTCCAGCCTCCAGACTTACGAGGAAGTAAATTTCTGTTGTGAAAGCCATCCAATCTGTGGTATTTTGTTATGGCAGCCCTAGCAAACTAACACAGTATAGAGCAAAATGCAGGCTTTAGCTGTTTTTCATTTAACCATTTCCCCTTTAATTCGCTAAAATAAACTTGTATTAAGGAAAAAGCAAGTCTTGATAAGCCTTTAGAACACATGTCAAAAATGGCCAGTCAGACTTAGACCACATGTACATAAGTAATTTAACCCTGGTGATTTAGTATATACTACTGAGAGCCTATGGGAAGTGTCTAGCAGAGGAATGGTGATATTTACAGATCTGACTAAGCAGCATTTTGTGTTCCTCAATCCTAGGAACTACTGGAAATTGTAGCATCCCATGACCATGGGCATCTGTAGTTCCATCCACAGTGCAGCACAGAGCAGTAACAGCACAGAGCAGTAACAGCACAGAGAAATATCTTTTAATTGCCCTGCCTTTCCATGGCATAGTTGGGTCTTGAAATTAGTTATCTTGATGCCAAGTCTTTACTTTTCCAGCATATAGGCTTAAAAATGTTTAGAACATACTGGCATTCAAGTATTTATTAAATTCTAATTATATGTTATATATTTATACTGTGCTTTGGGGAGTGGAAGTAGATCTGAGAGATTATTGATACCCTTTTTCTTGAGGAAATCTGGGGGTCCAAAATTCTAAATAACTGAGATGTGTCATCTAGTCACGTTATTATGCTGAGTGCTCCTTATGCATCTTGGAAAATAAGGCCCATTTGAAAATAATATCTTTAAAAATTTTGGCACAAGTTTTTATGACAGTGTTGATTAAAAACTCAAAAAAGATAAAAGCATATGCTGTCATTTTAAAGCACAGATGTCTCCCTTCAGAGAAATAACATTCTCTCTCTCTCTCTCCTCTCTCTTTCAGACAGTGCCTTTGGTTATACACTGAGGAATGTAATCATTTCCAACACTGAGAAGTATTTTCTTACATAGATGATGTTAATCTCTAATGTAGCAGTTTGTCTATTTCTTCTTTTTAGGTCTTCAGCAAAAAGAACAGCTGGTCTCAATCTTTTCTATGTCAGTTTTTCACATGCTTGGGGACTTAAAATGGTGAGCTAGGTCATGCCTGTCAATTACAATAGCAGACTTGAATTCATATAACCTTGTTTCTTTTAGTTCTCTATGCCTGAGAAACAGAGGGTGGGGAATAACTGGTGTTTGGCAGGGTTTAATACGTTGCCATAATCTTATTTCCAAACAAAGTGTGTCCTCATCAGATTTGTCCTAATTCTTTAGCAAAATGCCTCAGGAAAAGTACACAGGATAACCAAGAAAATTTCTTCTGTGCATGGTTGAAGAAAATTCACACACAAAAAAAGGCAAACAAGTCCCTCTGACTCTTCCTGTGTTATTCGTGTTTTGTAAAATGTGTTAAATGCTTGTTAAACACATTTTGTTAAACCCTGTGACCCTTACGATCCTGAATTGCTAGCCTTTAGGTTCAAAAATAAAGGTTTTAGGGTTTTGGCCTCTATGGATTAGCTTGATCATGTCAACCCTCCCATAAGTAACAATAATTAAACCTAAACAAAAACAGTAGCAAACAAACAACTATTTGAAGGTATTGCAGTGACCAAAAACAAGCAGAAACTAGAGAAGACTGCTTTTGAAAGATAAGCTGCAATAGGTGAAACATACCATTTTGTGGCTATTTGCCTAAAAAAAAAAAATACAGTAGAAAGACACAAAACTCTATATGCTTGAGGTCTCACAGAATATAGTTCTGGGTTGTCAGAGGGGTCAGAATGCTTGGGAAGGAAATCTGGAAAGTGAAGGGACTAAGGAGATGATCCCTAAAACAAGCGTCCAAAATTTACCCAGACTCTTGGCTAACCAGTAAACTATATATTTACAGGGAAGATCCTTGGGGGCCAGAATAAAAGCAGCAGGTGGAGGCTAAAATTACTGCGTAGAGAGTCAGCTAATACCAGTGTAAGAGACAGAGTTTGACTATCAAATTAACTGCCTACTAGAATATTTTTTTAAAATCATTCCCCCCCAGATAAACACAGCAAAATCCAGAATCTTTAAAATGCATCATTCGTAATGTCCTAGATCCAAATAAAAATCATTAGCTATGTAAAAATAAAGGAAAATGTGACCCTCACTCATGAAACAATTAATAGAAACAAACCTCCAGGTAAACCAGGTGTTGCAGTGAGCAGACAAATACTTCAAACAGCTCTTACAAATATGTTTAAGTTCTTAAAGGGAAATATGTGTGTAATAGATGAACAGATGGGGAATCTCAGCACAGAAATAAAAACTATAAAAAAAGAGCAAAGTGGGAATTATAGACCCCCAAAATACAGTAATTGAAATGAAAAATTCACTGGAGGGGCTTAAAACAAATTTCAGATAGCAGAAGAAGGAATTGGTAAACTTGAAGATATATCAGTAGAAATTATCTAATCAAAAGAACAAAGAAATGAAAAATGGAAGAAACTTGAACAGAGCTTCAGAGATCTGTGGGACAATAACAAGAAGTTTAATGTACATGTAATTTGAGTTCCAGAAGTCAAGACAAGAGAGAATGGAGCAGAACAACAACAACTTGAGGAAATGATGGCTGGAAACTTCTCAAAGGTGCTGAAAAACATCAATTATACTTTGGAAGATATAATTTTTAAAAATATTCATTTTCACCAAATTAACATTAAATTTTAATCTCAATCATATTCCAACAGCCATTTTTATAGAAACCGATAAGCTTGTATTAAAATGTACATGAATATGCAAAGAACCTAGTATTTGCAAAACAATCTTAGAGAAAACAAAAAGGAAAAAACCTGCAAGGCTTGCACTATTTGACTCTAAGAATTACTCTAGGTTAATTTAATCAAGACAACATAGCACCATCACAAAGATAAACAAATAAATCAACAAAACAGAATGGAGTGTCCAAATGAACCCATGTTTAATGGCAAATTCAGTCTCAATAAAGATGTCAATTTAGTTCAATAAGAAAATGACAGTCTTGTCAATAAATGGTGCTGGATCAAAGGAATATCCATATAAAAACAAAAATGTTCAGCTCCTAGTCACATCATGCACAAAAATTAATTTGTGATAGCTCAGAAGCCTAAACAGAAAGTCCAAATCTATAATGCCCTTAGACAATAGCATATAAGAATATTTTTATTAATATTACAAACATTAAACAAATAAATAGGCAAGCCAGAGTGTAAGAAATATTCAAAAATATGTATTTATAAAACATATATTTGACAAAGGACTTGTTTCCAGAATAGATTCATAATTCCCACAGTTCAAAATATGGGCAGAAGACATGAACAGACAAGTCACAAATTAAGTTATATACATGGCCAATAAACACATGAAAAATTACTCAGCAAATTAAAATGATATATCACTGAATTCCTATAAAATGGCTAGAATGCCAAGGACTAACAACAGTGATATTGCAAAGATGTGAACAACTGGAACGGTCACACTGTAAGAATGTAGGATTGCATGTAACCATATTCACAAAAGAGTTTGACAATTTCTCTTAAATTGCCTATCCTTTGACCCAGTTTTATTTTCCTAGGTATATATATATAAGAAAAATGAAAAGATATGTCTACACAAATACTTAGAGCAGAATATTCACAGCAGCTTTAACAATTACAGCCCCAAACTGGAAACAATTCAAATGCACATCTACAGAAAAATGGATAAACAAGCTATTGTATAGTCATAAAACAGAATACTACCCAACAATGACTGACCTGTTGAATCACTCCACAACCTGGATTATTCTCACAAATAATGTGTAGGGGGAAAGAAAGACAAGAAGAGTACATGCTGAATGATTTCATTTTTGTAAAGTTTTACAACAAGAAAACCTTATCCAAGGCAAAAAGAAAATCAGAATACTGGTTATCTGGTTTGGGATAAGGGGGTACGAGTGGAATGGAATACAACAAAGCTTTCAGGAGAGGCAAGAAGGCCCTAGGTTATGATGAGGTGTGGATTGTGGGTTACTCAGTTCTATTCAGTTTTTTGAAGTGTACATTTCATGTTTGCATATTTTATTATAGGTGAATTTTACCTTAATAAAAAAATTAAAGTCACTAATACTACTAATGATATTCAAACTGTAGATACAAAATAGTGGAAAGCATAGGAAAAACACAAATGGCAGAATGTTGATATTTGTAAAATCTGAATGATAGGTCCGTGGGGTTTCCGTGTACTATTTTACTTACTTTTTATGCCTTTATTTTAGAAAATTTATAACAAAAAGTTAAAAATAATTTGGTGTGTCAGCTGGGCGCGGTGGCTCACACCTGTAATCCCAGCACTTTGGGAGGCTGAGGCAGGCGGATCCAGTTTGAGACCAGCCTGGCCAACATGATGAAACCCATCTCTGCTAAAAATACAAAAATTAGCCAGGCGTGGTGGCGGGTGCCTGTAATCCCAGCTACTCAGGAGGCTGAGGCAGGAGAATCGCTTGAAATTGGAAGGCGGAGGTTGCAGTGAGCCAAGATCATGCCACTGCACCCCAGCCTGGGCAACAAGAGCAAAACTTCATCTCAAAAAACAAAATAAAACAAAATAATAATAATTTGATTTGCAATACAAATAGTAACATGACAATTATTGGAAAATGGCATTATTCAGTAGTTATTTAAAACTCAAATTTGTATTAGATTTTATCTAAAACAATTAAATCTAATTGCTCACACACATAAATAACTTTTGTAACTTAAAAATCAAATGGAACAAACAACCCAATTAAATATTTATGAGAAATTTAAGAGGAGGTTCCAAGACGGCCGAATAGAAATAGCTCCAGTCTATAGCTCCCAGTGTGAGCGATGGAGAAGACAGGTGATTTCTGCATTTCCAACTGAGGTACTGAGTTCATCTCACTGGGGCCTGTCGGAGAATAGGTGCAGGACAGTGGGTGCAGCCCACGGAGCATGAACCGAAGCAGGGCAAGGCATCACCTCACCTGGGGAGCACAAGGGGTCAGGGAATTCCCTTTCCTAGCCAAGGGAAGCCATGACAGATGGCACCTGGAAAATCGGGTCACTCCCACCCTAATACTGTACTTTTCCAATGGTCTTAGCAAATGGCACACCAGGAGATTATATCCTGTGCCTGGCTGAGAGAGTCCCATGCCCACTGAGCTTGCTCACTGCTGGCACAGCAGTCTGAGATAGACCTGCAAGGCGGCAGCGAGGCTAGGGGAGGGGCGCCTGCCATTGCTGAGGCTTGAGTAGGTAAATAAAGCAGCCAGGAAGCTCGAACTGGGTGGAGCCCATTGCAGCTCAAGGAGGCCTGCCTGCCTCTGTAGACGCCACCTCTAGGGGCAGGGTATAGCTGAACAAAAGGCAGCAGAAACTTCTGCAGACTTAAACGTCCCTGACTGACAGATTTGAAGAAAGTAGTGGGTCTCCCAGCATGGAGTTTGATATCTGAGAACAGACAGACTGACTCCTCAAGTGGGTCCCTGACCCCCGAGTAGCCTAGCTGGGAGGCACCTCCCAGTAGGGGCCAACTGACACCTCCTACAGCCAGGTGCCCCGCTGAGACAAAGCTTCCAGAGGAACGATTAGACAGCAACATTTGCCATTCTGCAATATTTGCTGTTCTGCAGCCTCCGCTGGTGATACCCAGGCAAACAGGGTGGACCTCCAGCAAACTCCAACAGACCTGCAGCTGAGGGTCCTGACTGTTAGAAGGAAAACTAACAAACAGAAAGGACATCCACACCAAAACCCCATCTGTACGTCACCATCATCAATGATCAAAAGTAGATAAAACCACAAAGATGGGGAGAAAACAGAGCAGAAAAGCTGAAAATTCTAAAAATCAGAGTGCCTCTTCTCCTCCAGAGGAATGCAGCTCCTCGCCAGCAATGGAACAAAGCTGGACAGAGAATGACTTTGACGAATTGAGAGAAGAAGTCTTCAGACAATCAATAATAACAAATTTCTCTGAGCTAAAAGAGGAAGTTCGAACCCATCACAAAGAAGCTAAAAGCCTTGAAAAAAGATTAAGACGAATGGCTAACTAGAATAAACAGTATAGAGAAGACCTTAAATGACCTGATGGAGCTGAAAACCATGGCAAGAGAACTATGTGACACATGCACAAGCTTCAGTAGCCGATTCAATCAACTGGAAGAAAGGGTATCAGTGACTGAAGATCAAATGAATGAAATGAAGTGAGAAGGAAAGTTTAGAGAAAAAAGAGTAAAGAGAAATGAATAAAGCCTCCAAGAAATATGGGACTATGTGAAACGACCAAATCTACGTCTGATTGGTGTACCTGAAAGTGATGGGGAGAATGGAACCAAGTTGGAAAACACTCTGCAGGATATTATCCAGGAGAACTTCCCCAACCTAGCAAGGCAGGCCAACACTGAAATTAATTCAGGAAATACAGAGAACACCACAAAGATACACCTCAAGAAGAGCAACTCCAAGACACATAATTGTCAGATTCACCAAAGTTGAAATAAAGGAAAAAATGTTAAGGGCAGCCACAGAGAAAGGTCAGCTTACCCACAAAGGGAAGCCCATCAGAGTAATAGCAGATCTCACGGCAGAAACGCTACAAGCCAGAAGAGAGTGGGGGCCGATAAGCAACATTCTTAAAGAAAAGAATTTTCAACCCAGAATTTCATATCCAGCCAAACTAAGCTTCATAAGTGAAGGAGAAATAAAATCCTTTACAGACAAGCAAATGCTGAGAGATTTTGTCACCACCAGGCCTGCCTTACAAGAGCTCCTGAAGCAAGCACTAAACATGGAAAGGAACAACTGGTACCAGCCACTGCAAAAACATGCCGACTTGTAAAGACCATTGAGGCTAGGAAGAAACTGCATCAACTAACGAGCAAAATAACCAGCTAACATCATAATGACAGGATCAAATTCATACATAACAATATTAACCTTAAATGTAAATGGGCTAAGTGCTCCAATTAAAAGACACAGACTGGCAAATTGGATAATGAGTCAAGACCCATTAGTGTGCTGTATTCAGGAGACCCATCTCACGTGCAGAGACACACATAAGCTCAAAATAAAGAGATGGAGGAAGATCTACCAAGCAAATGAAAACAAAAAAATGCAGGGGTCTCAATCCTAGTCTCTGATAAAGCAGACTTTAAACCAACAAAGATCAGAAGAGACAAAGAAGGCCATTACATAATGGTAAAGGGATCAATTCAAGAAGAAGAGCTAACTATTCCAAATATATATGCACCCAATACAGGAGCACCCAGATTCATAAAGCAAGTCCTTAGAGACCTACAAAGAGGGTTAGACTCCCACACAATAATAATGGGAGACTTTAACATCCCACTGTCAACATTAGATCAATGAGACAGGAAGTTAACAAGGATATCCATGGAATTTAACTCAGCTCTGCACCAAGCGGACCTAATAGATATCTACAGAACTCTCCACCCCAAATCAACAGATTATACATTCTTCTCAGCACCACATCACACTTTTTCCAAAATTGACCATATAGTTGGAAGTAAAGCACTCCTCAGCAAATGTAAAAGAACAGAGATTATAATAAACTGTCTCTCAGACCACAATGCAATCAAACTAGAACTCAGGATTAAGAAACTCACTCAAAACCACTCAACTACATGGAAACTGAACAACCTGCTCCTGAATGACTACTGGGTACATAATGAAATGAAGGCAGACATAAAGATGTTCTTTGAAACCAATGAGAACAAAGACATGACATACAGAATCTCTGGGACACATTTAAAGCAGTTTGTAGAGGGAAATATATAGCACTAAATGCCCACAAGAGAAAGCAGGAAAGATCTAAAACTGACACTCTAACATCACAATTAAAAGAACTAGAGAAGCAAGAGCGAACACATTCCAAAGCTAGCAGAAGGCAAGAAATAACTAAGATCAGAGCAGAACTGAAGGAGATAGAGACTCAAAATCCCTTAAAAAAATCAACGAATCCAGGAGCTGGTTTTTGAAAAGATCAACAAAATTGATAGACCGCTAGCAAGACTAATAAGAAAAGAGAGAAAAATCAAATAGACGCAATACAAAATGATAAAGGGGATATCCCCATCGATCCCCCAGAAATACAAACTACCTTCAGAGAATACTATACACACCTCTAATCAAATAAACTAGAAAATCTAGAAGAAATGGATAAATTCCTTGACACATACATCCTCCCAAGACTAAACCACGAAGAAGCTGAATCCCTGACTAGACCAATAACAGGCTCTGAAATTGAGACAATAATTAATAGCCTACCAACAAAAAAAAGTCCAGGACCAGACAGACTCACAGCCAAATTCTACCAGAGGTACACAGAGGAGCTGGTACCATTCTTTCTGAAACTATTCCAATCAACAGAAAAAGAGAGAATCCTCCCTAACTCATTTTATGAGGCCAGCATCATCCTGATACCAAAGCCTGGCAGAGACATGACAAAAAAGGAGAATTTTAGACCAATATCCCTGATGAACATCAATGCAAAAATCTTCAATAAAATGCTGGCAAACCGAATCCAGCAGCACATCAAAAAGTTTATCCACCACGATCAAGTGGGCTTCATCCCTGGGATGCAAGACTGGTTCAACATACGCTAATCAATAAACGTAATCCAGCATATAAAAGAACCAAATCAAACACCACATGATTATCTCAATAGATTTAGAAAAGGCCTTTGACAAAATTCAACAGTCCTTCATGCTAAAAACTCTCAATAAATTAGGTATTGATAGGACATATCTCAAAATAATAAGAGCTATTTATGACCAACCCACAGCCAATATCATACTGAATGGGCAAAAACTGGAAGCATTCCCTTTGAAAACTGGCACAAGACAGTGATGCCCTCTCTCACCACTCCTATTCAACATAGTGTTGGAAGTTCTGGCCAGGGCAATCAGGCAGGAGAAAGACATAAAGGGTATTCAATTAGGAAAAGAGGAAGTCAAATTGTCCCTTTTTGCAGATGACATGATTGTATATTTAGAAAACCCATCATCTCAGCCCAAAATCTCCTTAAGCTGATAAGCAATTCAGCAAAGTCTCAGGATACAAAATGAATGTACAAAAATCACAAGCATTCCTATACACCAAAAACAGAAACAGAGAGCCAAACCATGAGTGAACTCCCATTCCCAATTGCTTCAAAGAGAATAAAATACCTAGGAATCCAAATTACAAGGGATGTGAAGGACTCCTTCAAGAAGAACTACAAACCACTGCTCAACAAAATAAAAGAGGACACAAACAAATGGAAGAACATTCCGTGCTCATGGATAGGAAGAATCAATATTGTGAAAATGGCCATACTGCCCAAGGTAATTTATAGACTCAATGCTATCCCCATCAAGATACCAATGACTTTCTTCACAGAATTGGAAAAAACTACTTTAAAGTTCATATGGAACCAAAAAAGAGCCCGCATCGCCAAGTCAAACCTAAGCCAAAAGAACAAAGCTGGAGGCATCACGCTACCTGACTTCAAACTATACTACAAGGCTACAGTAACCAAAACAGCAGGGTACTGGTACCAAAACAGAGATATAGACCAATGGAACAGAACAGAGCCCTCAGAAATAATACCACACATCTACAACCATCTGATCTTTGACAAACCTGACAAACACAAGAAATGGGGTAAGGATTCACTATTTAATAAATAGTGCTGGGAAAACTGGCTAGCCATATGTAGAAAGCTGAAACTGGATCCCTTCCTTACACCTTATACAAAAATTAATTCAAGATGGATTAAAGACTTAAATGTTGGACCTAAAACCATAAAAATCCTAGTAGAAAACCTAGGCAATACCATTCAGGACATAGGCATGGGCAAGGACTTCATGTCTAAAACACCAAAAGCAATGGCAACAAAATCCAAAATTGACAAATGGGATCTAATTAAACTAAAGAGCCTCTGCACAGCAAAAGAAACTACCATTGGAGTGAACAGGCAACCTATAGAATGGGAAAAAATTTTTGCAATCTACCCATCTGACAAAGGGCTAATATCCAGAATCTACAAAGAGCTTAAACAAATTTACAAGAAAAAATCAAACAACCCCATCAAAAAGTGGGTGAAGGATATGAGCAGCCACTTCTCAAAAGAAGACATTGATGCAGCCAACAGACACATGAAAAAATGCTCATCATCACTGGCCATCAGAGAAATACAAATCAAAACCACAATGAGATACCATCTCACACCAGTTAGAATGGCGATCATTAAAAAGTCAGGAAACAACCTGTGCTGGAGAGGATGTGGAGAAATAGGAACACTTTTACACTGTTGGTGGGACTGTAAACTAGTTCAACCATTGTGGAAGATAGTCTGGAGATTCTTCAAGGATCTAGAACTAGAAGTACCATTTGACCCAGCCATCCCATTACTAGGTATATACTCAAAGGGTTATAAATCATGCTGCTATAAAGGCACATGCACACGTATGTTTACTGCGGCACTATTCACAATAGCAAAGACATGGAACCAACCCAAATGTCCATCAGTGATAGACTGGATTAAGAAAATGTGGCACATATACACCATGGAATACTATGCAGCCATAAAACAGGGTGACTTCATGTCCTTTGTAGGGACATGGATGAAGCTGGAAGCCATCATTCTGAGCAAACTGTCACAAGGACAGAAAACCAAACACCACATGTTCTCACTCAGGTCGAATTGAACAATGAGAACACTTGGACGCAGGATGGGGAACATCACACACCAGGGTCTGTTGCCAGGTGGGGGTAAGCGGGAGGGATAGCATTAGGAGATATACCTAACATAAATGACGAGTTCATGTGTGCAGCACACCAACATGGCACATGTATACATATGTAACAAACCTGCTTGTTGTACACATGTACCCTAGAACTTAAAGTATAAAAAAAGAAAAAAAGAAATAGACATTTTACTAAAAGATACAGATGGAAAATAAGCATATGAAAAGCTGCTTAGCATCATTTGTCACTAGAAAAATAAAAATTCAAACCACAATAAAATGTCACTATATATTCACTACAATAGCTAAAATAAAAGAGATTGACAATTCTAAGTGTTGGCAACGATGCAGAACAACTAGTGTGAATACAAAATTCAACACACTTACCAAATTACCTAGAAATTTCACACAAAGATTTGTGAAGGAACGTTCACAGATAGCAGTTTTAGTCATAATAATAAAAAACTGGAAACAATCCACGTGTTGACCAACTTCAGAAGAGACAAATTTTGGATTACATATACTACAGAATTCAATTCAGCAATAAAAAGGAACAAACTCTTTATATTCACATCATGATTGAAACTCAAAAGCATCGTATAAAGCATAAAATAAGCCAGTAACAAAATGTTACATATTCTATAATTTTGCTTATATGAAATGCTAGCAAAGGGGAAAAGAAATCAGTGGTTGCCAGGGTTCCATGGGTGGAAGGAGGCAACTGACTGCAAAGCGGCATGTGAGAACTTTCTGGGATGATGGAAATATTTCCTATCATGATTGTAGCAGAAGTAACATCACTGTGTACATTTGACAAAACCCATGGAATTGAACAAGTTAAAAGGGCAGATTTTGCCATTTAAAAAGTGGATTGGAACATGCTTCTACATACACAGAATCTATCTTCCATGAGAAGTTTAATTTTTTTTCCTGGTACTGTTTCTGAAAGAACAGCCAGTATGATCGCAGAAAATCACATGAAACATGAAGATGCAGAATGGAAACCAGGCTTACACTTTAGCACAGGCACTAAAAGGCTCAGGAAACACTATGCTCTACTTAGACTCAGTCTTATGACTCAGTCATAGTAAAAAGCTATCCCTCTGAAATGCTAACGAACTGTGTGATTTTAAATACATCGTCTTCAAATCAGTTCTAAGTAAAGGCCAACTTTTTATGTGCTATCCTACTTGCTGGCTATGCCTTATGGTCACCAAGTGCTTCTCTGAGAAGTTGTTGCGTAGTGTTATTTCACAGTCTTCTGTCCTTCTTCTGAGCCAGAGAAGGAGAGCTCAGTTGAGAATTAAAGGGGGAAAAATGAAACACAGAAAATAACTTTGTCTATATTGGGAGACAAATGGAGCTAAAAAGGCAATCATTTGAGACTAGTGGTGGTATCAGCCCATCCACAAAGATTTTTGTTGTGGTGGTTTGCGATTGTCTTAAGGATGAAAAATTCACAATGTATCTAAGTAACATTCCTAGTAACTCAGAATGTGAATAACCTTCCTGATACCGTCTTTTGCATTTTTGTATCGTTTTTATTTGTCAGATGAAAATCATATATATTTATGGTGTAAAATGTGATGTTTCGATATATGCATACATTGTGGAATGGCTAAATCAATCTATTTAGCATATGCATTACCTTGCATGCTTTTCTTTTTGTAGTGAGAACACTTAAAACCTACTTTCAGCAATTTTCAAGCATAAGTATATTGTGATAATAATTACAATGATGTACGCTCCATCTGTTGAACTTATTCCTCCCGTCCAGCCAGAATTTTATATCCTTTGGCCGACAATTCCCTTGTTTAAGTTTCTAGTTGCCTTTTTTGGTACCATAAGTCATAGAATGCAGAAATGCAGAAGGGACAATGGGCATCACTTGGTTTTAGTAAACCAAGTAATGATTTTTATAAAGTCTCACTTATAGAAAGCTGCCAATTCCGAGGCTGCCAACAGTTTCCTAACTGTGTTTACACCCATTAGAAAGGTTTGTCAACATCACAGGAAAAAGCTGACAGAGAAGATCTAGAGTGTGCCTGCTGCTAAACTCAATGCCAAAACTCACCATTCTTGGACTTCTTATCAGGGCTGTGTCCCAGGAACAGCTATTCCTAGAAACCAAAATATGTATGTGTGTGTGGTGGGGGTGGGGGTGGGGGTGGGGTGGGGGGAGTGGTGGTAGTGGTGTTGAATGTAGGAAAAGAGACATTGGAGAGATGTTGTCTTCATGTTTTCCATACCATATTCGGCTGGGTATGTCAACCACATTTAGGAAGTCTGACTCTTAGTCACACATCAGAATTTTGGTGGGAGACCTCTCATTTTCTCCTCTTCAATCCCAGTGCTCTCCACAATGCACCATTCTGCCTCCAGTTGAGTAGATGTTACCATAGGCATGAATTGGCAAGGGAAAGGATAAACCAAAAGCAAGAAGGCTTCTTGGCTGTTGCAATAAACAAGGATAAACAAAGTAAGCAGTAATTATGAACGTGTGAGAAAGTTGAAGATACAGGAGACATTTAGGAGGAAAAATTGGAAGGTCTTGCAGACCTGATGAGGTGTAGAAATTAAGCAGGGGCAACTGGGTGGAGGGCAACACCATTCTCGGAGCTAATGAAACAGAAAATGTTGCTAGCTGAATTTGGGGAAATTGGAGAGCATAGGCATGTAAAGGATACATGTGAAAATTCACCAAGAATCTTAAACTGTGGAGTGAATCTTGTGGCTTTATTGTTTGCTTGTTTAATATTTGATATAACTGTCTATACTCTTTCATGCCCACTTACTTTGCTCTCTCAATCTTCTAGCACATTTATACTTAGTTTCTTTCAGTTCCTTGAATACTCTTTGCTTTATCTTTCTTTTGTGACTTCCGCATGTGAGTTTCTAGGCCTCTTGCCTTCACTCATTGCCATTCACCCTTCAGGTTTCCATTGAGCCTCCCTTCCCCTAGAAACCTTACTGGCACCATTTCCAACCTCTCAGGGCCCAAGTTAGGTAATTCTCTAATATACTTTGACTTCCCTTATTGGAGGAATTATCACCAATACGAATACTGGACTTTTAATTGTCTCTCTTCATCTCAATATCGTAAGCTCTAATAAGACAAAAAAATTTGCCTTGTCAATAATTAAGCCCAAAGATCACAATAAAAGTTAAATACGTGTTAATGGAAGTGAATATTTTAAAAATTATATATTAAACTTAAAAAAAATTAAAACATACAAAGATATCCCAATTCTGACTCTTTGTATTCATTATAATGTATGTCTTAATTTACATAAATTATAATTCATAAGTGATATATGAAATGCATATATTCATAGGAATATAATTACATATTATATAGCCATATATGTATGCACATGTATGTATATGTACTCATGTACTGTATTAGTCCATTCTGCATTCCTATAAAGGAATACCTAAAACTGGGTAATTTATAAGAAAAGAGGTTTATTTGGCTCACACTTCTGCTAACTGTACAAGAAGCATGGTGCCAGCATCTGCTTCAGGTTGGGACCTCAGGAAGCTTTTCCTCATGTTCCGCAGGTGTGCCACATAAGAGAGAGAATAAGAGAAAGAAGTGAAGAAATGCCAGGCTCTTCAATCAGCTATCTTGTGAACTAATAGAGCAAAACTCACTCATTACTGTGGGGAAGGAACCAAGCTATTCATGAGGGGTCCACCCACAGACCCAAACACTTCCACAGGGTCCCACCTCCAACACTGGGATGGGAGATTTTAACATGAGATTTGGAAGGGACAAACATCCAAACTATATCATGTACACATATATATACAAACACATAAACACACATACAATAATTAATTCAATGTATTGCCTTTTGCTTTATAGCACCTTGAAGATATTGTGTGTTTTTTTTTAATATAAATTGAAAGTTTGTGGCAACCCTGCATCAAGCAAGTCTGTTGGTACCATTTTCCCAACAGCATGTGCTCACTTTGTGTCTCTGTCACAGTTTGGTAATTCTCACAATATTGCTAACATTTTTATTATTATTATATCTGCTATGGTGATCTGTGATCAGTGATTTCTGATGTTACCATTGCAATTGTTTTGGGGTGCTGTAACAATGAACTTACTTGATAAATGTCATGTGTGTCTGACTGCTCCACTTTCCTTCTCTCTCTCTCTCTCTCTCTACTTCAGACTGCCTATTTCCTGAGAACAGCATTATTGAAATTAGGCCAACTAATAAACCTACAATGACCTGTAAGTGTTCAAGTGAAAGGTAGAGTTGCTCATTTCTGATTTGAAGTAAAAAGCTAGAAACGATGAAGCTTAGTGAAGAAGGCATGTCAAAAGCTGAGATAGGCCAAAACTAGGCCTCTTGTGTCAAACATTTAGTCACGTTGTGAATGTAAAGGTAAAATTCTTGAAGAAAATTGAAAGTGCTACTCCAGTGAACACACAACTAATAAGAAAATGAACAGTCTTATTACTGATAGGGAAAAAGTTTTATTGGTCTGGAAAGAAAATCAAATCAGCTACAACATTATCTTCCTAAAGTCAAAGCCTAATCCAGAGCAAGCCATAATTCTCCTCAATTCAGTGTAGGCTGAGAGAGGTGAGGAAGCTTCAGAAGAAAAGTTTGAAGCTAGCAGAGGTTGGTTTATAAGGTTTAAGGAAATAAGTAATCTCCATAACATAAAAGGGCAAGGTAAAGCAGCCAAGTGCTGATGTAGAAGCTATAGCGTTATTCAGAAAATCTAGTTAAAATAACTGATAAAGGTGGCTACAGTGAAACAATAGATTTTCAATGTAGATGAAACAGCCTTCTATTGGAAGAAGATGATATCTAAGACTTTTGTAGCTAGAGAGGACAACTCAATGCCTTTCTTCAAAGCTTCAAAGGACAGACTGACTCTCTCATTAAGGACTAATTCAACTGGTGACTTTGAGTTAAGCCAATGCTTATTTACCATTTTGAAAATCCCAGGGTCCTTAAGAATTATGCTAAATGTACTCTGCCTGTGCTATATCAATGGAATCACAAAGTGTGGATGACAGCAAATCTGTTTACTGAGTAGTTTACTGAATAATTTAAGCCCACTGTTGAGCCCTAGTTCTCAGACCAAAGGATTCCTTTCAAAATATTGCTGCTTGGTGACAATGCACCTAGTCACCCAAGAGTTCTGATGGAGATGTACGAGGAGATGAATGCTGTTTTCATGCCTGCTTCCACAGCATCCCTTCTGCAGCCCATGGATCAAGGAGTAATTTGACTTTCAACTTTGACTATTTAAGAAATACATTTCATCGTATATGTGCCATGGTAGTGATTTATCCAATGGATCTGGGCAAAGTAAACTAAAAACCTTTTGGGAAGGATTCAGCATTCTAGATGCCATTAAGAACATTTGTGATTCATGGCAGAAGGTCAGAAGATCTATATAAACAGGAGTTTGGAAGGAGTTCCAACTCTCATTGATAACTTTGAGGGGTTCAAGATGTTGTCACTAGAGGAAGTAACTACAGATGTGGTAGAAATATTAATAGAAAGCAAACTAGAATTAGAAATGGAGCCTGAAGATGTGACTGAATTGCTGCAATCTCATGATAAACCTTGAAAAGATGAGGAGTTGCTTCTTATGGATGAGCAAAGAATGTGATTTCTTAAGATGAAGTCTACTCCTGGTGCAGATGCTGTGAACATTGTTGAAATGACAACAAAGGATTTTAAATTGTGCATAAACGTAGCTGATAAAGCAGCAACGGGGTTTGAGAAGGTTGACCCCAATTTCAAAGAAGTTCTACTGTGGGTAAAATGCTACCAAACAGCATCACATGCTACAGAGAAATTTTTTATGTGTGTGAAAGGAAGAGTCAATTGCTGCAGCATACTTTATTGTTGTCCTATTTTAAGAAATTGCCACAGCCATCCCAAACTTCAGCAGTCTCCACTGTGATCGTCAGCTGCCATCAACAATGAAGCAAGACTCTTTACCAGCAGAAAGATTATCACGTTCTGAAGGCTCAGATAATCCTTAGCTTATTTTAGCCATAAACTATTTTAAAATTAAGGTATGTACATTATTTTTAGACACATGCTATTGCACACTTAGTAGACTACAGGATAGCACAAACTTTTATATGCATTGGGAAGCTAAAGAAGTTTGTGTGACTTGCTCTATTGAGATACTCTCACTTCATTGTAGTGGTCTGGAGCTGAACTCACAATATCTCATAGGTATGCCTGCATGAGAGAGAAAAAAGTAAGAGACAGAGAAATGGGAAAGGGGGATAGTTAAGAACCAGGAAACAGAGTTTTAAATAAAATTCTGTCCTTAAAAAGCAGAATGTGGCTTTATATGTAGCACTTAAATACTTGATTTAAATTTTATCATTTTTATGAAGAAGATATAAGATGAAGAAAGTTTTATGCTCCTTAGTATTTATGTGAATCTATGAAAATAAGCAACCAAGAGGCTTATTAATTGCCAAGTGTAAACAGAGATTTTTCAAAAGCAAGGTAAGAACTAGGGTAATGTCCAATGATATGTCAGTAGAAATGGATTTTATATTTTTTTCAAAAATAAATATTATGGCATGAGTTTTTTTTTTTAAAGAACAATTTTATTCCTGGATTCTTCAGGTTTTATTTTTATTATTATTTATTTTTATTATACTTTAAGTTCTATGGTACATGTGCACAACGTGCAGGTTTGTTACATGTGTATACATGTGCCATGTTGGTGTGCTGCACCGATTAACTTGTCATTTACATTAGGTATATCTCCTAATGCTATCCCTCCCCTCTTCCCTCACCCCACGACAGGCCCCGGTGTGTGATGTTCCCCGCCCTGTGTCCAAGTGTTCTCATTGTTCGATTCCCACCTATGAGTGAGAACATGTGGTGTTTGGTTTTCTGTCCTTGTGATAGTTTGCTCAGAATGATACAAGTTTTATTTTATATATTATAAATATTTAATTAAGCCTAGCAATAGACTTACTCAAGATGTGTGATGCCCACTATAATACAGAATAAGTCAAGTGCAGCTAGTTAACACTGATAAACACCTTCTCCTAACATTCAACATTAATGAGAGGCAACATAGAGGCTATAGGCACAAATCAAGTACATGCAAAAATAAATGGCTAATATGGTAGTACATCATTTCCAAATAAATATAAGATGTGTAAACAATAGCAGAGAAAGTGGAAATCTTTTCACCTGTTCTAAAACAAAAGAATAACAAATTGGGAAAAGTCCTTAGACATCATGTAATCCTACCCAACTGGAGACTTTTACCTTTTTGAAATGCCCCAGTTAAGTGCTGTCCCAGTTACCCTTGAAAATCTCTGCAGAGGCAGTCTCATTGAAGTAACTCATTTCACCTTTGGACAGCTCTGTTCGTAGTAGAGTGTTTTCTTTTATTATGATCCCTGAAGCTTCCATTTATTGTTTTTAGTTCTGCCACTGCGATCCAGCAAAAATACAAATACTCTTTTTTTTTTCAAATACTTCTTTCACATGATAGCCTTGAATTACTATTACAAATCTAGAATGAATCCCTCATTTTGTATTTCTATGCAACAGAAAATGTAATATGACAATCAAAACCTTTTGGAGCTAGACATGAATAGAAGTTTAATTTCTTTTTTATTCACTAAATTACAGAAATTATAGTTTAGCTTAAATTCTGATTCATGTTGTTTTTAAACTAGAGCTTCCCTCTTTTAAAAGTATCATCTTCTTGCCTCTTTTTTCAGTCTGACATCAATCACCATAATCTAATTGTTCTGGTTCTTGCTTCTTGATACATAGAGGTGGGTGGTCAGTTTGATGACATCTGGCATTTAATGCTTGCTGAGTTCTCTCTTTTATAGAAATAATTTGATGTATTGAAGCAGGCTGCCAGCTTAGGTATGCTGGGGAGTGGGGTGGTTGTGAGGACGGTGAGGGCTGAAGCCACTTCTGCTTTCAGATAAAAGTGTTTCGTAGTAAAGGGTTAAGAAAATAACATCAATAAAACAAAGAATTCTTTGGAATAAGACCAGACCTAATTTTGTAACTTGGCTTAGAAAGTTACTATCTACATAACCTTCATTAAATGAGCTCATTTCACTCAGCTGTAGGGTCCTCATCTATAAAATGGGAATAATATTGACTTTGCAGGCCTGTTGTGATAATTAAATGAGACTGGCACACTTCTTCTAGTACAGTGTCTGGCTTCTCCTCTTCCAAAGCTAGTGTAGAGTTAGAAACTTCAGCTCTTAGTTATTGGTAGCTTCCCTAGCACACCTGCTCCCAATCATCTAAACAGTATTGTTGTTTAGGACAGTCCCCCACCCCACAGTCAGGACAGGTGGCATTTTCTGCTCTGGGCTTTCATCTTCTCCAGTTAGATTATTCTAAAATGGGAGCTCCTCAGCAGTGGTTAAGGCATCAGTTTTCTAATTTCCCAGAATAATAAAGCTGCTGGCAATGCAAAGACTGAAGAGAAGTTGAATGTTTCCAGGACTCAGTTTGGTATGTCCCTGAGTGACTGAGGCTGCTATGCTTCTGAAGGTCTTCTTGGTGGTATTGGTATGGCTTTGCATGGGAGAGACCTGCTGCTGTTGCCCAGTGAACCAATGAAGAAGAAACATATATAGAATATTGAATTAGTGCCAAGAACTCTGCCAGATCTGTGCCTCAAAAAAACTCATTAAGATATTCATGCATTCATTTATGCACTCATTAATTCATTCATCAAAAGGGTTGAAAGTTCCCTTTGGGTCAAATTGTGTGTAACAATCCCAGTAAAGAAGTTATAATATAGTATAAAAAGTACAGTAAAATATGTAAAATGTATAGAAATGATACAGAGAAAAGGATCCCCTACTCCTTGGGGTGGAAGAGAAAGTTTCCAGGAAGAAATGACATAAAGTGAGGTTTGTAAGAGAATAGGCTTTCAGAGAAAGGATAATTCAGGCAGGCATAGGAACACACATGTGAAAACAGAGGAGGCTTGACCTAGTATAGCTTATTATGGAAATGTCCATATGTTGATATTATAGAAGCTTAACATGCCAAAGGGGGTTGTGAAAACAGCTTAAGTTAGAAGGAGAGTGTTGTGGAAAAAAGACCAAAACCAAAACCTTAACATTTAATCTAAAACCATACTGCTTACCAAGAAAGGAAAGGTAGAATTCTCACTAGTTAGTTGTGTCTGTGTTGCTGTCACATTTCAATTCCTTTGCATATCAAAATCTTAGGCTTCCTGACATATAAGGGTACAACTTAAAACCCATTTGAGAATCAAATTTTGTTGGTAATGGAGTGGAGATTTTATGATCACAGGTGATGAGGGTATACCTTGTGAAAACTAAGGGAGGAGAACTCGGGGTAAAAATAGAGGAGAGATATCTTACAAAACACCATTTTCAGAAGGCTGTTTGTGAAGAGTAGTGACAACTTAGGCTTGAAAGAGGCAGAAGCTTTTTCTGGTAAACATTAAGGTGTTCTTATTTTGTAGAGACCTTATATTCTTCTCTCTAGCAGGAAGTTACGTGAGATGAAGTTCTAACTGATATGGGAGGGTTGGCTTTTTTTTCCTCAGGAACCTGGACTTGTGTGTTATATACATCTTGCAAGGCTAATAAGAAATTGTAAGCATGTAGAGTCATGATCAGATTTGCATTTCATAAATATTACCTTGATCACAATGCAGGAGACGAATGTGTGGGGTATGAGGCTGGAGGCAGACAAATTAGTTAGGAGACTATTGCAATATTCCCAGGGAGAGATAACGAGGGATTAAACTAAGAAGAGCCATTGGGAATAGCAAGGAGATGATGAGGTTATCTAATAAAAACCCACAGAAAGTAACAAACATAATGGGGAAAGATTAGATGCATTCTGTTTAAAGTTGGAACAAGGCATGGGTGCCTGCTATGAGGTATACTTTTCGATATAGCACAGGAATTCTGTCCAATTCAGAAAATTTTGAAGAATAAATAAGGTGTATACAGATTGGAAGCAATAATAAATATGTGATTGTTTGCAGATATGATGAGATACAGGAACACACACGCAAACACACACACACGTAAAAATCTATAGACAAACTATTAAAATTCAAACCAAATCTATCAATATGCTGGATACAAGATTATATTACAAATCAACACACAAAAGATCCACAAATTGAACCAAAAAGAAATTGTGCCAAAGACCAAATTTCCACTCAGGGAATGTCCTCACACAACTGTCTCCCTTTTTCTCCTTCACATCTAAGGGTGGCAAACCTCCCTGCCCACTTCAAGGGTGCCCTTACAACCAGAAAACTCTACTATCTCTTGTGGTTTTCCTATACTTAAACTGTACTTATGTAAAACATCATTTATTAAACTCTCCGACTAGGACGGTGACAAATATAATTCCTTCTCAAGATGGGCAGTATTAGCCACCGTAGAAGCTCCATTCTTCTTGTCTGTCATTGGTTCAATAAATATTTGTTGTCATGTGATTCCATTCTGGCCATTAAATGAGGTTAGAATTCTGTTGACTAGCTTCTGAAGAAATGTGTATTGACTCATAAAAAAATTACAAGAAAAAAACAGTTTCTTTTCTCCTCTGGACATTGTCCTGTCTGAATGTGGAACCTGGAATTTCTGAATCATCTTCCTATCAGCTTGTGGATGAAGTCATTCCAAAGTGTTCCTTCAGCATTGACAGATGGAAGTGAATGGGTGGAGAGGAAGAAGGCAAAGGGCTGGACTCTAGAGAACTTCAACACCTGGTAGGTGGCGTGAAAAGAGGAATTTCAGAAAAGAGAAATATCAATCAAAGAGACAGAAGATGAACCAGAATAATAGAGAAATTAAAAAAGAAAGAACTTCAAGAAAAATGTCATGGCCAATATCATTCTGCTGTTGAAGGGGCTTGTTAGGTAAGGTCTGAGCAGAGACTAGACAGTCTGAAGCAAAAGCAGTTGCAGTGGAATAATGGTGCTGAAACCCGAGAGCTAAGGCTTGAGAGATAGGAGAGGCATTAGACTGTGTAAGGAGACCGTAGGAGAAGCTAAGTACATTTTCAGAGAGTTTTCCAGTGGAGCAGAGGAAGAAAAGTAGCTAAGTAAAGTTGTTATTCCTTTTCTTTGTTTTTTGTATAGGGAATAATTCAGGGTGAGAAAAACCTATGGGTAGAAGTGATGAAGTCACGAAAGAAGAGAGATTATAGAACTGTAACCAACTTGAACAGCTAGGCCATTTTAAACAGCCGGGTAATTTTAATTGAATTTACCTCACATATTTGAACATTCAGACCATCCCTATAAACTGAAGTGGTGTAGAATCTGGGTTCCTACCTATGCTCTCTTCTTTCTCTCCTGTGTAGTATTAATACTGTCTGTCTCTCTGTGTAGTATTAATACTAGCACTGCAACCTCTGAGTGCCGAGAGCGTGTCACTTTCCTTTAGGATTTATGTGCTCTGACTCAGCCTGATCTCCATCAGAAATGCCTGTGGCTCTGGCCACCGCTTGAGTTGTTGGTACGTGACACTTTACTGAAATAAGTGCTGCGGAAAACTTAGGAGTGCTGATCTGAGCCAGAGCACTTGAGCAGGATGTGCCTACCTCTGATGGCATTTTTGGCTGGGAGCCATTTCTCTAACTCCTGAAATCTAGGTCTTGCCTCAGGTCAGGAGGTTTGGAGCTTGGAGACAGACAGATTGGAACAGGGAATATGTGTTCAGATGAAGATCTAGAAAATTTAGCCTTCAAAGGCAGAGCAGCAACTAGTTCATCTTTTCCTTTTCTCTCATTCTTCTCTTTCTCTCTCTTTTTAAATTACCAAAGCCTTTATAATAACTAACCATAGTCAGAAAATAATCTAAGCTTTTTAAATGTGTTTTATACTTCTTGGAATTCATTTCCTCCCTCATGCTCCCCTCCTGTATCTCCTTCCTATTTAATATTAATGTGATTCCAATCCTGCTTCTCCTCTACTCTGCCTGCTTTCTTTTTCAACTTCAGTGATGAGTCCCTGGCACTCAGGTTAATTTTCCCTTTATTTTAATTATTTCTGCTTTCTCATCTTGACCTTTCCTTCATTTCTAGTTGATGCCCTCAGACTGCTGTGAGAAAATTAAGTCACGTCCATCCATTTCAGAGGACCAAAGTGTGTATTGCTCAGTCACAAATTCTCCATCTCATTTTCTCCTGTAACAGAGGCCCATAGAGATTAGTCAAAAGGAGCAAGAAATGGGTGACCTATTTGTCCCTGGTAGTTAAAAATTTAACATACAGCAACAGCACATTTACCTCATTTCCTGAGGGTATGGGGTGTTCCATGGAAGTGATTTTTAGAAATAACAGGAACTCAGTAGATATTTCTTTTGAATATCAGGCTCCAATATTCAAAAGAAATAACTTTTTCTTAAATGGAAGTCTTTGTGAAGACTGATCACTGTGGAATGCACTTTCTAAACAGCAACCTCAATACATAATGCCACTGGAAAAGGGAGGCAGTGTGGTGAGCATTCTGGCTATCTGAATTTATCTGAGTTTAGCTCTGCCAAACTCTCCAGGGACAAGCTAGGAAGGTTTGGGAAGTTACTTCACTTCTCTGAGACTAAGTAGCTTCATGTGAAAAATGAGAGCTTTAGCTCCATGATGCATTTCTAAGATCTCTTCCAGCCTTGCTAGTCTGTGATTCAATTTTAACTTTTCTGTTTAAATTGTTCATGGTTATTATGAACATCAGTTATTATTATAGTGATACATTCAGGCCTAGGGTTTATGAAATAAAACTTTTCAATAAAGAAATAAATAGATACATGACCCTCCATAAATGAAACCAATATGCTACCGTATGTAAAATACTTGTATCAATCTTGGCAATTTTTTAACCTTCTTATTCAGCAATTATTTACATCTTTATATGACTCTCAGCTCACTTTTTATAGCTTTTTTCTGTTTGCCAGTTTAAGGTTTCTAACCTTCTACGTGTTGGAAAGTAAAAATCACTGTACTTGCTATAAATGCGCACAAACTGTCAATGAGTTCTAGATAATGAAATGACTTAGTGTGTTATGAATAGCATGCTTTTGTATTGTACATTTAGTACCATTTCTGCTAATTTGTACTAAAAATATTTCAGATAAATGAAGTTGTCAAGTGAGTAGATTCTTGTATTAAAATATTATAACACTCCCACATTTAAGAAGACTAATACCTCCTGACAAGCTTTATTGTTTCATTTAAAATAGCAGAAGTTAGAACCAATTCTAAAAATAGAGTCAAAGAATGTGTACAACATTTATTGAAAAATAAGCATCATAGTCACAAAATACCATGTCTAAAATTCAATTCTAACCCCCTTGTGGTAGAATGAGAAGAACATGGGCTCAGGAATCCAGCAAGAATATGTTGAATCCAGATATATGTTTGCAAAGGGGATTTATCCTAGGCAACTACTGAAGGACTCTGGATTCCCAGCCTTGCCCATGGGGTGGGGATGACAGCACCACCTCCCAGGTGGTGGGTGAATTACCTCACTTATTAACACATACAATTTATCAAAAATATAGTAGTTTCTTCTCATTGTCACTTATTATTCATCAAAGACATTTTGATTACCTTGAAATTGCTTGCAGAAAGCAATTTAATGTTTTTTTTCTGTATCAACTTTTATTTGCAAATCAGGGGATGCATGTGCAGGTTTGTTAAAAAGGGATATTGCATGATGCTGAGATTTGGGGTATGACTGAATCCGTCACCCAGATAGTGAGCATAATACCCATAGGTAGTTTTTTAGCCCTTCCCCCACCTCCCTTTCTCATCCCTCTAGTAGTACCCAGTGTCTATTATTTCCATCTTTATGTCCATGTTTACTCAATGCTTAGCTCCTACTTGGGAGAACATGTAGTATTTTGCCTTATCTTTCTGTATTATTTCCCTTAGGACAATAGCCTCCAGCTACATCTATGTTGCTGCACAGGGCAAGATTTCATTCTTTTTTATGGCTGCATAATATTTCATGGTGTATATGTACCACATTTTCTTTATCCAATCCACTGTTGATGGGCACTTGGGTTGATTCCATGTTTTTGCTATTGTGAATAGTACTATGATGAACATATGGGTGCATGTGTCCTTTAGGTACAACAATTTATTTTCCTTTGGGTATATACCCAGTAATGGGATTGCTGAGTCAAACTGTAGTTCAACTCTTAGTTCTTTGAGAAATTTCCAAACTTCTCTTTACAGTGGCTAGACTAATTTACATTCCTACCAACTGTGTATAATTGTCTCTTTTTTTTCTGTAGCCTTACCAACATCTGTTATTTTTTTACTTTAAAAGAAGCCATTCTGACTAGTGTGAGATGGTGTCTCATTGTGGTTTTGATTTGCATTTCACTGATGACTAGAGATAATGAGCATTTTTTTCATATGTTTATGGGATACTTGTATGTCTTCTTTTGAGAAGTGTCTGTTCTAAAATTCATATGGAACCAAAGAAGTGCGCAATAGCCAATGCAATCCTAAGCAAAAGAACAAAGCCAGAGGCATCACATTAGCCAACTTCAAACTATGTTACAAAGCTGTGGTAACCAAAACAGCATGATACTGGTACAAAAACAGACACATAGACAAATAGGACAAAATAGAGAATCCAGAAATAAAGCCACACATCTACAACCACCTGATCTTTGACAAATTCAACAAAAATAAGCAGTGGAGAGAAGACTGTCTATTCAATAAACGGTGCTGGGATAACTGGCTATTCATATGCAGAAAGAATGAACTACCTATCACCACATAAAATAAACTCAAGATGGGTTAAAGACTTAAATGTAATACCTCAAACTATAAAAATCCTAGAAGTAAACCTAAGAAATATTCTTCTGAATATTGGCCTTGGCAAATAATTTATAGCTAGGTTCTCAAAAGCAACTGCAACAAAAACCAAACTTGACAAGGGGGACCTAATTAAACTAAAGATGTTCTGCAAAGCAACAGAAACTATCAAGAGAGTAAACAGACAACTTACAGAATGGGAGAAAATATTCACAAACTATGCATCTGACAAACGTCTAATATCCAGAGTCTATTAGAAACTTAAATCGGCAAGCAAAGAGAAAATAACCCCATTAAAAAGTGGGCAAAAGACATGAATTTAAAATATTTTTCAGGTCATAAGGAAGTTTATGAAAATGAACATGCTACTAATTATGGATAATCCATTAATACCGAGTTGAAAATGAGTAGGTTAACCAATGTGAATGTAATCAACCCATCAGAAAATCTAAACAAGCTCAGAATCCAAAGTTACCTCAGCCACCAAGAAAGCAGTACAGTGCTTTGAGAGAAACTCAGATGTGGACTAAGAGACATGGATTTGAATTCCAGCCAGACAACACTTTACTAATTGTGTCACTTGGAACAAGTCTCTTGATCTTTTGTGACTTAGTTTTCTCATTTACCAAGTAGAGATATTAAGATATTAATATTTTTTATCTAGGCTTCACTAGCCTATTGTAAGGGAGAAATCAGATGAAATAAGTCATAGGTTTCAGAAACTAAAAGGTGCTCTGAAAATGCGGAAGCCATTATTACCACAATTACATTCTACCTTAGTTGACAAGTATCAGTATATTTTCTGAATATTTAGTCTTAAGAGTAAATATTGCCCTACTTTTACAACACTCTGAATAACTTACAAAAATAATTCACACACACACACACATATATATATATATATATTTTTTTTTTTTTTTTTTTTTTTAAAGTTTTCAAACCTTTTTCCTTTTTTTTCTTTCTTTTTCAAGCTGGCTTTTATTTCATTTATTATTATTATACTTTAAGTTTTAGGGTACATGGGCACAATGTGCAGGTTAGTTACATATGAATACATGTGCCATGCTGGTGCGCTGCACCCACTAACTCGTCATCTAGCATTAGGTATATCTCCCAATGCTATCCCTCCCCACTCCCCCCACCCCACAACAGTCCCCAGAGTGTGATGTTCCCCTTCCTGTGTCCATGTGTTCTCATTGTTCAATTCCCACCTATGAGTGAGAATATGCAGTGTTTGGTTTTTTGTTCTTGCTATAGTTTACTGAGAATGATGATTTCCAATTTCATCCATGTCACTAAAAAGGACATGAACTCATCATTTTTTACGGCTGCATAGTATTCCATGGTGTATATGTGCCACATTTTCTTAATCCAGTCTATCATTGTTGGACATTTGGGTTGGTTCCAAGTCTTTGCTATTGTGAATAGTGCCGCAATAAACATACGTGTGCATGTGTCTTTATAGCAGCATGATTTATAGTCCTTTGGGTATATACCCAGTAATGGGATGGCTGGGTCAAATGGTATTTCTAGTTCTAGATCCCTGAGGAATCGCCACACTGACTTCCACAAGGGTTGAACTAGTTTACAGTCCCACCAACAGTGTAACAGTGTTCCTGTTTCTCCACATCCTCTCCAGCACCTGTTGTTTCCTGACTTTTTAATGATTGCCATTCTAACTGGTGTGAGATGGTGTCTCATTGTGGTTTTGATTTGCATTTCTCTGATGGCCAGTGATGGTGAGCATTTTTTCATGTGTTTTTTGGCTGCATAAATGTCTTCTTTTGAGAAGTGTCTGTTCATGTCCTTTGCCCACTTTTTGATGGGCACATATATATTTTTTAAGTTTCTGTGGCTTCTCTTTAATGTCTAGTTCTGTATTATACAGAGTGGATGATTCAAAATAATACAGGATACAGATTTAAAACATAGATGGGAAAATAAAAATAAACAGAAACAGAATAAAGGTTAGTCCCACATTTTGAATTTATGGTCTTCATCCTCATTTCACACCAAGAAAAATAGCTCTGTTGGGTTGAAGAACATATGAAACTCTAAATTATATACAACTTAGGTTTCTAAAATATACTCACTCTTTTCTAATAGATACTCATTCTTTTTTCTCATTCTCTGTGGACAATAGAGTAGGCCCAGACACCTGAAAACTTTCTTCTTAAGGATTGCCCACCTTCTGGAAACCCGTCATCAGTTGAGGCAAAGAGGAAATTCGGTCACACACAGTGAATGGCTTAGGTCAGTTCTCCTCTTAGGGGTTAGCACAGCAGAGTGGTTGCAAAAGCACAGCTGTACAACCAGAGAGGCCTATGTTTTACTGCCTATATGTGAAATCTTGAATAAATGCCTTAACAGCTCTTAGCGTTGGCTTCCTAAGTGAAGATAAGTTTACGTGTACATCTCACTAGATGAGTGAGTATTAAATTAGAAAATCATGAAAATCTCTTGATTGGCACACTCTAAGCATTCAATAATGACAGCTGTTAATAACTGCTAAGCTTTAGAGAAATGGACTCTCCATTTTTTAACTGTAAAATAAATAAAATATGAAGATACTAAACAGGACTTGGTTAGGCCCAATGAAAAAGGAAGCCTAGCCTAAATAAATACAGTCAGTCTCTTTTCTAGGTCTTAAGCTAAAAAAGCTTAGACTCTTAGAGGTTCATACACTGTGTAGTCCAGAGTCCAGTTGCAAATAATTTTATACATAATTTTTATTTCTACCAGAGCATTTTTGGATATACTCCCTAATAGATAGTTACTATTTTTGCTTTAAGGAATCAATTATTTTTTCAAGAAATAAAAATATTAATTTTTACCTCCAGAAATTATTTTTATATCTTCAATTTCTTTCTTTTTTAATTTAATGTTGTCTTCTATATTATTAAACTTGTGAGTCATATTTAGAGTCTCCATTTCAATATTCTTTTCTACTAACTCCATCACTTCTACCGTTTGGAGACATTTTTCTATTGATTGATATTTTTTCCTGCTTTTGGTTCTTTTATTCTGCTTTTTTGGTCTGCCTTGTAATTTTTTATTGAATAGCATATATTTTGAATTTTGCATTGTTGGGTGATAGATTTTGATGTATTCCTTTAAGTAGTATTTGTCTGTATTCTGGCACACAACTACTTGAAATCACTTGGGTCATTCATACATTTGCTTTTAAGTTATATTAGCGAAGTTGCAATGCCATCTTTCTTTTCAGGTTAATTTAGTCTCACTAGTAGGGTGATACCTCTGTGGAGACTCTACCTGAAGCCGCTTATATTATGGGATCTTTTTCTGTTGACTGGTCAGAACATGATTTATTTCCAGCCTCCTGAGAATTTCAAGAATTGTTTAGTCTGCTGCTTTTTGCTGTTTCTTTCCAAGACCTAATGTATGTGCGTATCAGTACTCAAAGAGGACTGAAGGGCCATTTCTACAGATTCTCTGTAGCTTGCCGCTTTCTATGAAGCAACCTCCTCTCCATTGCCCCTCAATTTGAGCCTCCTTGGCCTCCACAAACTCTAATCTGTATCTTTTCAAATCACAAATACTACCAAGCTCTTCTTGGGGCCACTTCTCCCCGCGCTGTAGCCTAGAAACTGCCTCCAAGCAGAAAGTGGGGCAGTTGTCAGGCTCCTCTCATTTGCTTTCCTTCTTTAGTACTAAGGATCCTAGTCATGTGCTGCTTCTTGTGAAATGTCTGGAGACCATTATTTTATGTATTTTTTTCTAGCTCTGTTGTTGTTTAAGTCAGGAAGGTTAAGGCATTCCTCGTTACATCATCATGGCTGGGAGCAAACATCTACAACTCTGTCTTTAGTCTTGAGTGATTGATTGTTTTCTTTAATAATTTTTGCATGTATTATTTTATGAACTTACTGCCATTGTGAAATTTACTGTCAGTGCATTTGTCATTTATTCATAGGTAATATGCCTCTCTCTTTTTTTCCAACCCAAAGCAAGAGGGCAAGGGAGCTCATTCATATAGTTCATACAGGTAGGAAAAGAAAGCATCCAAGTTTGCCTGAGACTGCTCTAGTCTTTGCAATGAAAGTCCTGTGTCCAGGATAGTTGGTCATCCTACAGTATAGGTCAGCATCTCAGGGTAAAAAACAGGGTGAAGAAGGGTGTAAAGTGGATTGAGAGGGACAGATAGAAGGTATTTAACACACATGGTCTTGACAATGTTTTCATATCCATTTTCCTAATTCTTAATTTTTAAAAATATCACTAATTCTCTAATTAGTAAAATTTTAAAATTTTACTTCTCCCTTTAGTTGTGTATGGCATGTCATTTAACCTTTCCTTTGATTTTTTTTGTGCCCTATTTTTCTTTTATACGATTTCTGTTTCATGATTTTTCAAATTGGCTAATGTATGTTTGTTTATTCTTTTTTTTTTTTAATGGTTCCATGGTATCTCAGATTGGGTTCTCCAAGAAGCAGACTCTCGGAATTAGATGAGCAAGCAGGACATTTGCTAAGTAGTGGTTGGGACCAACATCTGCAAAAGGGAGAGATACAAAACAGAGTTTGAAAAGAGTGAGAAGATGAACTACATGACAGTCCCAACGAAAGCTTAGCTGATGCCACGGGGAGCTCTGGAGATGGAATGGCTTTTCAGATTTATACTGAATTGGACCAGGGGGTTAGGTTATCATCTGTCTGATAAATCACTGGAAGTAGGGCACCCCTAGAAGGTGGTGTGACCTTGAGTGACGCAGTTTTATTTATTTGAGGCAACCTACAAAGAGGACTCATAGCTCAAAGTCCTACTCTGGAAGCCCTCATAGCAGCTGGGGAAATATAAGTATGTTACTTCCAAAGGAGAATCTGAGTAGTCCCTCGCAGCAACCACCACACGTTATTTTTTCTTCTCTTTCTTGCATGCCTTTATTTATTTTGATCATAAATGGTTAATAAGCTTTATCTTATAGCTTAGCTACCTAATTTTTTGAATGTCTGATTGTGTGGTTTATTGTGTCTACTGACTTCGGCTGATGTGAATGACACAAGAACTGCTTTTCCTGGTGTATTTTGTAAGTGTGCATGAGTAATTCTTTCCTGTGGGAATTTAACTGTGGAAGTTCTCTGTAGCTTATATTTACTTTCTAGAAAATTACTTTCTAGAAAATTATAAACACTTTCTAGAGTGTTTATCATTTTCTCTGCTCTAGGTTTTCATAGGTTTTTCTTTCATGTTAAATTTTAACTGGGATATTCCTGTACCACATGGTTACATTTTAACTCCAAACCCATGTGAGATTCAGGCCCAGGATATCAAAGTTTAGAGAAAGCCTTTGATGTTTTTGTCATTATTCCTCCAGCCACAGCTCAGGTGGAGAACAAAAAGCTTCATTATTGTCGCCTTGTGATGAATTTTTGTGAATCTCTACCTTTTCTAGATTATATGAACATTATTCAGGGGTTATAGCTTGGCATCACTTTCTCACAAAGGCTCAGAGTCTCAATTCCTATTTTTGTGGGATAATTAAATTGCAAATTTAGGTAACCTTATCTTTTAGTAATTAATGCCAGCTGATGTAACAAATTACCCCAATATCTTACAGGCTTAACACAACATAAGTTGATTGTTCACATATCATTCAATAAAGATTGAGCATCTCTTTTGGATACTTTTCTCTAAGTAGCAATTGGGGGTTTAGATGCCTTCCAAGACATAGCTTCCCTATTTTCATTTGTTTCCAGAAACATGGATGAAGGAGAGAGCGTGTAGAAGTGTGAATAGGCTATATTTAGGGATAATCCCTCCTACCCACCATCCATTGGCCAGAACTCACTCGCATGGTCAACCTAACTGCAAGGGAGGCTGAGAAATATACAAAAACACGTGACTATGGATAAACACTAATAGTTTCTGCCATATTTTGACAGAAAAACCACAGTATAATTCTTGTATTACACATAAGCTCAATGCTCTGGTTTTCCATTCCCTCTTTTTTGTCCTTGTGAGCTCAGCTAAGTATTTAATGGGTGTTAGCCTGTACTTCTAGGTATTTTGTTCTCGGAAAGCTTTGAGGTTGTCTGGTTCTCCATATTGCAGAGAACAGAAGTTCAAATTCGCCAGTCTAAATGCAGCTGTCCTAAATATGCTATTCAGACAAGATATTGTCTGAACAATAATTGAAATTTTCCAGAATCTAACACAGTGCCTGACACATAGGAGGTGATTAGTAAATGTTGGTTAAATTGTAAAATTATAAAATGTAGCACTCTACAGAAGTCTCTGTGCAAAATATCAAGAATCCATGAGTTGCAAAATCCAACAAGGGAGTGCTCCTGAGCTGTCATTGGAATTGCTTGCATGTATGGCAAATGGAGATACCCTCTTTCTCATTCTATGAAAATTAGGCCTCTGCTCTCATAATGCCATCAGTGCTAGACAGATCTTAACTTTCTTTAATGCTCATAGCTTCCTAACATAATTTTGAGTGAGGGAGTTTTGCCTTATTCATCTTGCCTAGCACCATGTAACTAAAGTGGTTTTAGTGCTTGTGGGTTTTCCATTCTCCTTGTTTTTTATTTGAGGGTTAAAGCACATACAGCGTGGTGCTCTATGTCTGGATGTAAAGACCTAGGAGTTCCCTCATCATCTACCATTATCTTTTTCAGCAAGTAAATGCCATATTTTCACCTTAGCCTGCATTTTACTGCATCTAGAGATTTATAAAGGGTTCAAGGTTGAGGATCTGTAAGAGAAAGGCAATAGAGGCCTACTCTGCAACTCTGCACAACTGTTTGCATTCACAGATTGTGCAGTCAGCATTTACGTGCCTTGGAAAACCAGGCTGGATGACAGCACCTAGAGAACAGCTTTGTCTTTCATTTTAGTTTCATTTCCTGGTGTCATGGAAGATGGGTGCATGTTTCCTTTGCTGTTGACAGGTGTCATACCCAAATTCAACTGCATTTTCCCTGTAATTTACTTCTTCCATTCTTCTTGAAGTAAATGTCACTCATAGTTTCTTGTAGCTGCCATTGGCCTAATGTGTATAAAATGCAACCCTCAGTCCTGAACTGATAGCTGATGTGTGGATGTTACAAAAACCAGATCAGTAAGATCATGCCATGGAACTGAGGGCAAACCTTGGGAATAACTGTGGACAAGTCCGTTAACCTGTTTTGGCCTCAGCTTCTTTATCGGTAGAGTGCACATGTTAATCTGTATCATCCTTTCCACTATGACATCTTGGGATTCTAGCTCTTGTTGATGTTTTTTATTAATGGTTAGTTTCTGCATTTCTTAGTGAATTGTTTAAAACATTTTCTTACATGTACACTTAATTATTGGTCTAGGCTATTAATTGCATTTTGTGAATCTATGTATTAAATATTAAATATGGATGCATTGCTGTGAGAGCAATTTCAGATGGTGTTGCACTGAGGAAAACAGAGATTACAAGTAACTCAAATGTTTTCTTGAAATCCTTAAGACTAAAAAATTTCTCCAAATAGTGCACAGAAATATTTTTTTAACATCCCTTGTTCTTTCTACACCTCTCTATCTTCATAAACTCTGCAGACTCTCCCTCCTCCAAGTGCAGAAGAACCTTTTAATCCCTCACTTCCTCTCTTCCTCCTATCAATTTCTCTTAATTATTTCATTTCCTACAGAGATTCATGTGCTGCCTTTCTTAGTCCTCAGGGAATTATAGTTTATCTTCTGTCCTCAGTCTATTCTTACCCTTCTCTTCATCATCTGTCTCCATCCACTTCTTGGGCAAAGGATAAAAGGCAGGGAAGCAGACAATGAATGTTCTCCTTTTTGCCATATTCATCTCTAAGTGATGATTTTTTTTGCAAATGGTTATGAAAGGGCAGGAATGATAATTCAAGGAAATCATGATGAGAAACATGAGAAGGGTGTATTTCAGCTCCTTACCTGTGGTGTAGGAGAGACATGAAGAAAAAAAAGAATAAAATTCCCAGTGATAATCCCTTCTCTTTTCTTCTCTTCCATTGAGTTTATTAAAATGCAGGGGGTCATGAGTCCTTGAAATATTAAGCTGGGCACACTGCCTAATATTACCTTTCCTCCCCAATACTAGGAAACTGTGGGATCTTTGTGGGCTAGTTCCAAAATTATATAATATTCAAGTGCCCACTTCGGGCAATAATTACCTCCAAAAGCCCATTCTAAGACAAGTGAATTATGGGATAGAAAAGTAGACAGGTAATTCACTTTTAATTTTTTAAAATTCAGACTTTCTTGAGATGATTTTGAGTTGGTCAGTTTCTGATGAAGTTTACTCTTATCTAATCTAAATGTCCACAAATGGGTGTAAATTATTGAATATCTGGACTGGCCTCCCAACTGTTGACCCTTTAAGAGAAGGTATCTTATATGATTTAGAAACCATTGACTGCTAACATTAAATAATAAAGGGTGTTTCTATATACAAAATGTCTCAAGGGATGCAGCTGATTGCACTATATTGGTGACCTATGACATCAGAGCTGGCATCTCTGTGATTAATCTGGCCATCATTTTATCTTTCCACATCATGACCACAAGATGACTTCTGTAGACTTAGCTTTATGTCTGCACTCAAGCAGAAAGAAGGGGAAGAGAGAAAAAATTATACCTGGAACTTTTCCCCCCTTTAATTAGGAAACTATAAGCAAGCACTTTCCCCAAACAACCCTACCCCACCCCTACCCACTGTCATCCCAGCAGACATGTCATTTGATAGAACTAGATCTTGTGGCCATTCCTTACTGTAATGGAGGCTAGAAAAGAAGAGAAGGAGACTGATGCATGAGCCACTGCCCAGGGCCATGAATACCGTGGCTCTGAAGTAATTGGGGTGCTTCTCTCAAGGAAAATGGGGCAAGGGCTCTGACAGAGCCAGTCCTCACTTGTTCCAAGATACCTCTCAAATAAGTGAACATCATCTTTTAGAGACCTTCTTTAAAAGAAAAGAGCTAGTAAGTTTTTGTAGAAGTTTACTAGTAAGTGTTGATGAAATAATCTTCAATATATGGAGACTTGTTCCAGTATACCTCTAAAAGAAGTAGAGCATCATCTTTTAGATAACTTTACCTTAAAAAAAGAGTAGTAAGCTTTTGCAGAAGTTTTCTAGTACATATTGACAAAATATTCTTCAATATATGGAAGCAGGAAAGAGAAAGAGGAAAGGGAAAAGAAAGCAAGAATATCCATGGGGAAAGTCATGGAACTGAGGCATTTTTCCTGGTGAACCTAGGGTGTAAATTTATAGTTCTCTGTAGAATTCATCATCCATTCTACCTTGTATTTTGCTTATATGAAATTATTCCTCCACCCCACCTTGGTGCTTCTAGATATTCTACTTTAATCTGAGTTCCTCAGCACTAGCATGACTGAGAGTGGCACCAAGAGACTATGGGTGTATCCCCTTCCTTTAGTTTTGTAACGATAAATGAAAAGCCGAATGTATAACTCCCTGAGAACTTGGCAAGCACAGTGGTATTGCAGAAATCACACAGTCAACATGTGCACGTGGGAGAGTTTTTCCTCTCTTGGGGAAATAGAGTTTCCCCAGTGCTGAAGAACTGGAGGCATAGGTATATTCAGAAATACTTGCACACTGAATCTGTGTTCACACCTCAGCTCTAGATAAAGCCTTGCTGCCTTTGGATGTGTTCAAAGAAATGTAAGAATCCAATGTTTAAAAACATTTCTTTAGATGTAGTGAATAAATGTATTTCATAATTTCTTCTGGATGGAGATGCAAACCTCAAGTATAAAAGACTGGGGAATCAAGAGCAGAGCATTTCAGGTCTGGTAAGATACTACTTTGTGTGTGCAATGCCACTGCAGCCTTGTGGCCCCTGAATTTGAAATCCCTTAGGACTCTGAGGTTGAAGAACACTTTGCTGAAATATGTTTTTCAGTTCCAGCCCTATGTGCCGTCTCACATCCATTAAAATATTTTACTGTGAGGACTTAAATGACAAAGTAAATCTCACCTTATGGTAGATCTATGCATGTGGTTCTTTCCCTCTTGCTAGCCTCCAGGAATGCAGGTTTCACAAGTAAGACTGAAGACATGGAAGACTGTGGTCCTGGTTGCTCTTCCCAGTGCTGGGTTTTCCTGCCACACTACAACAGGGCTGTCTGGGGAAAGACTGCACTAATGTGGAACAGGTTGCTATTATTGGAAATATATCAGAGAGAATCTTGTTGACTAAAATTACCTGTTACACCAGCCTCAGCTAGTGTGTTAAATGAGTTCCAAGGAAAAAGAAAACTGAAAAAATTTAGGAGGCACCTGACAAGGCACTGATAGCACATTTATTCCTATCAATTACCAAAATCCTAATAAGAATTGGTAGTCTGCTCACCTTATTGAAGCACTGGGAGAAATCTGGGAAACATTACACCAAGTACATGTCTGCAGAGGTATACTCCTGAACCCCCAAAGGCAGGCCTATGCAGAGAAGTAATTTCTGAATTCGAAGGTTGCAGTGTAGGTGGGTGATATATGGAGAGAATGGTTATTGAATCCCAGCAAAGCCACCCCGTTCTTCCAGTGTTGTTTCCTCCTGATAATAAAGGAGCAGCCTGTCTCTATATGAGTGACTTCGCACCCACTTAGCTGTGAATTTGGAGCAGAAATAACTTGGAAGAATCCAAGAAATGTGGGCTTTAACCATGAGATGCCAAAAACCTGTGGGAATAACACAAGATCAGGAACCTAACCAAGCAAAAAGCTACAATTTTTATTATAAAGCAAGTAGCAGCCGCAAATTGAAAGGCATGAGCTATATCAACCAGTTATAGATACAGCAGAAAAAGAAGCCACACAGAAGGATGCCATGTGGAAAATGTTCTGTGAGCTTCTTAAGGAAACACAGAGCAGAGAGCATGGTGCGGAACTAACATCCCACAGGCTAATTCTTGCTGTCAGGTTACAATGCCTTGATTTGCAGTGATTGTCAAAAACATGAGTTGCTAGAGTTCATCCCCACCCCCACACTTCAATACAGATTTCCTAGTAACTTCACTGACAGTAACTATAGCAATAGCTGCCATAACCTAAGTCCACTGAACTGGGAGAAGGCACTGCTCCCAGCCACTGAGGGTCTGAGGCTTTGCTGTTCAACATGGTGACTTACAAGATTTCCTTTGCTCTTCTCTCTTTTGCAATAGCATATGCTTAAGCACAAGCAAGCATAGAGCATCTGGGAGAGGAGCACTAAGGAAAGCCTTTAATTACTCCATACGTTTGCCTGTGGCCAATGTTATAGTCATGGAGAAGAGCAGAATAGGTTATTTGGCTAAATATTTTATTTTGGTGTCAAGAACAAAACAAAGACTCTAGACATTGGACTACTGACTAACTGTGCTTTTTCCTAAAGAAATGATATCTGAGAACAAACAGCCCTAAATACAATTAGCGATTTACAAATCACTCTAGGCCTTGGTTTGAATGACTCTGCTCTGCCTGGCTATAGTCAAATCGAGTTCCAATTACATGTAAATACCATGGGGCAGTGCCGCTGCTACATAGAAGACTAGCACTGTTCTGTACAGAGTGGATTTCTGGCTAGATTAAAATTCTTTTCTCAACTGAAATGTTATTAGAAACCCAAATATATAATACATAAAAAAGCTGAGTTTTTAAAACTTACTATTTTAAAATCATTATAGACTCATAGAAATTTGTAAAAATAGTACAGATAGGTCTCATATATCCTGCACTTAGCTTCCCTCAAAGCTACTATCTAACATAAACCTCTAGTATGACATCAAATATCAAAACAGACCTTCTCCATTATTACATTGTCATGAGACTTTGTAAATACTAGCTTGAGTAAAGAAAAAAAAATCTCAAAACATAATTGCATGTATTACATTCTGGCTGCTTGGCTTTTAAATGTTTTGATTCCTAATGCCTGGATACTACCCCTTAGTTAATCAGCCAATAGAAAATATGCTCTTAAACAAGGTTCTTCATTTATAATAATAATTATAAATCTATCTTTTAAAGGATCTCACTGATAATTTTGTGTTTTTAGGCTGCCATCTTATGCAATCTGATAACAATTTTTTTTAAAAAATGAGATCTAACAGCTTTCTTAGAATAAATTTTTGCTATCTATCCATCTGACAAAGGGCTAATATGCAGAATCTACAAGGAACCCAAACAAATTTACAAGAAAAAAACAACCCCATCAAAAAGTGGGCAAAGGATATGAAGAGATACTTCTCAAAAGAAGACATTTATGTGGCCAACAAATGTATGAAAACAAGCTCATCATCACTAGTCATTAGAGAAATGCAAATCAAAACCACAATGAGATACTATCTCATGCTAGTTAGAATGTCGATCATTAAAAAGTCAGGAAACAACAGGTGCTGGAGAGCATGTGGAAAAATAGGAACGCTTTTACACTGTTGGTGGGAGTGTAATTAGTTCAACCATTGTGGAAGACAGTGTGGAGATTCCTCAAGGATCCAGAACTAGAAATACCATTTGACCCAGCAATCCCATTACTGCATATATACCCAAAGGATTATAAATCATTCTACCTTAAAGACATATGCACACGTATGTTTATTGTGGCACTATTCACCATAGCAAAGACTTGGAGCCAACCCAAATGCCCATCAATGATAGACTGGATAAAGAAAATGTGGCACATATACACTATGGAATACTATGTGTCCATAAAAAAAGGATGAATTCATGTTCTTTGCAGGGACATGGATGAAGCTGGAAACCATTATTCTCAGCAAACTAACACAGGAACAGAAAACCAAACACCGCATGTTCTCACTCATAAGTGGAAGCTGAACAAGGAGAACACATGGACACAGGGAGGGGAATATCATACACTGGGGCTTTTTGTGGGGTGGGGGCCTAGGGGAGGGACAGCATTAGGAGAAATACATAATGTAAATGACGGGTTACTGGGTGCAGCAAACCACCATGGCATATGTATACCTATGTAACGAAACTGCACGTTCTGAACATGTTCCTCAAAACTTAAAGTATAATAATAAAAAAAAAAAAGAATTATAAGTCATCTCAGTGCTCTCCTTTTAGTGTTTTACTTGAGTGCGTGCATCGTTAGTATCATCTTCAACAGTGAGGGACTTTCAGAATCCAAGAGGGTAGATTTCTGGAGCACTGCTGTGTGTGGCATGCTACCTAGTGTACTCAGTCATGAACCAGAATGGTCACTACAAGTAATTTTCTCCACACTGTACAGTTTTCTCTTATTCTAAATACCTGGAAGTTTGCTTCTATCTTTGGGTTTTACAAAACATTAAAAAAATTGTTAATACAAATTAATTCTTTACATTGTGGTGTGTACTAAGTACAGATTACATAAAGCCAATATAAGCATAAATATTTTCAGTGAGTGACAGAGGCCACACAGAAACAGCTCTATTGTTAGAAAGCCTTAAACATGCCATCATAAACATTCCTTAGGGATATTCCATGTGTCATACATTATCTCATTTAGTCTTCTTAACCTTTCACTGGGGTAGGTGTTATGACTTTTTGTTATAACTGTAACTTTTCAGATGAGAAAATTGAGGCTTTAAGAAATTAAGTTGTGCTGTATCACAAAGCTAAGTGGAAGATCCAAGATCTGAACTTCAGTCGAATACTAAACCAGTGCTTTTAAGTGCTACATAATGTGTCCTCATAGGACATTGTGGAAAACCTTATTCTGGAGGGACAAATGATCTCTCTAAGGCCCACACAGGATCTTGCTGATCAGGGAACATCTAGGTGCTGATACCGTCAGACTAATCATAGAAGTTCTCAAGCTCTCTTTTGACAATTGTTATTGTTCAAAAGTCAGACTTTAATTTCAGCCCCTTCTTCCCCAGCTATTCAGAACTCACCTGCATTTTTTATTCTGTTCCCAAATGCTATTGCGTGTAACAACAGCTGACAGGGATTTTAGGAAATATGAACCATTTCATGTTTCCTTCAATCTGGAATGCCCCCAGTAAATACTGTCTACCTAGAAATGCTTATTTTTTCAGCTTTGTGGGATTTACCATCTTCCTAGTAAGGCACTATAGGCATTAACTCGTCTGAAAGGAAGACATTCTCCCGTACACTAAAGTGGGCTCTTCTTCCTGTTATTTCCAATATTCTAGTTACAAGCAGCTTGGGGGAAAGTGTGGGTGTTTTACTCTTTCATGACCATTCTCTGCTACATGAGGCTATATCCAGCTTTTGTGGGGCTAAAAACTCATACAACTTGGCAATCCCTTTTTAAGAAATGTAATACAGAAATACCTTCCATTTTTAAAACAGGTACACATTGCTAAGGCCCCTTCCAGATCTTAGGAAGAGGCCCATGCAGGCACCCCTGGGAAACTTAAACTCCAATAGCTTCATGATGCAGATAATCTCAGCCTCCGTGGGGTAATGCTAGTCCTTCATAGAAGAAAGGCATCATGACACAGGTATACTAATATCTGTTTCAGAACCAGAGAGAACTTGAGACATCCTCAGAGTGCTGGGAGGGAGGTGGGTAAAGGGAAGGGCATACGAATCTCCAGGAGAAGGCAATACTCAGGCTCTATCATATACCTGGCATCTGGCAGCAAATGTTATGTGTTTATTGACTAAGAAAACGAGCACAGAGGATTTCCTTGACAGGTCTCACAGGTAGATTTTTCTGATCTAATGAGCCAATGAATTGGTTCTTCTTTAGTAACATTTGGATATTTTAAATTAAACTATTTTTTAAAACTCTGTATTTATTTTAAATATGAGGCTAGGACTTTGACTTTGTGATCATTCTCGGTATCCAGCCTGCCAGATCAGTTTTCCTCGCCACTCTAGAGCAATCGAGCTCATGATAGAGATGTGAAAATCCATGTCCACATATGGTCAGACAAGCCTGGTACGCAGAAGGACATGGCGAATTAAGAAGTGCATCTGTCCCAGGCAAAATGCGTGCCCGGAAAAAGTGGATTATGTCCGAGCTTTAAGACACTGTGGTGTCCAATTTATTTATAATGTGTTTTCAAGGCAAAAATCCAAGGATGTGTAAATGTAAGGAAGGGAAGGAATAAAAGCAACATTTGAAACTCAACGAGCTCCAGATCATTTTCATCAAACTTATTTCCAGTCACTGTCACTCCCCCGAGCAGACATTTTTGTCACGAGGCACCAGGCCAATGCAGTCAGGTTCCTGACAGATTTCTTCATCAATCCAGGAAATATATAGTGGGCTATTTGTGCCATCTGCCACCCAGGTGTCAGTCATTGAAAGGCAGAACAGAACCCGGGAATGGCATTTGGAAGATTGCTGAATGCTGCACTGGGAAAGAGACTGGGAGCACATCAAGCATGATAATGAAAAGGACCACATCAGAAGAGCACAAAGGAGACAAAGACTTATGTTGAAGCTCTGACAAATGAGAGGAAATTCTACTGTCTCTCGGCCAATTGGATAAGAGTCTTGCTTTAGAAATCATAAAAACTTCAATATTTCTCAGGCATTTTGTAGTGGTTATTACACTCTTTATGTGTATAAGTATCTCCCTTGTAATAATATTTGCACACCCTTCTTTTTTGGAGAGAACACGAGGGAAGAAATTTCTGTTTGAGACATCCTAATCCTGACCTCATCTCAGCCTGTAATAAAAAAGCTTCACTGTATTTACCATCCTGAAATAATTATGATTTTCACTTAGAAATGTATTAAAGTCACAACAGTAGTCCTCCCTTATCCATGAGGGATATGTTTCCATACCCCCAATAGAGGCCTAAAGCCACACATAGTATCAAACTCTAGAGATACCATGGCTTTTTAAAAAAAAATCTGATAGCCAAGATGGTTACTAAATGACTAACAGGCAGGAAGGAAGCAAATGCCGTGTGGATCCACTAGACAATGGGAGGATTCACATCCCTGGAGGGACAGAGTGGGGCAGCGGGAGATTTCATCACACTACTCAGTACAGTGTGAAATGTGAAGCTTATGAATTGTTTATTTCTAGAATTTTCCATTTGATATTTTCAGATCAGGGTTGCCCATGTGTAACTGAAACCACAGATACAGGGAGGTGCCATTGTACTGCAACTCTTGCACAGTTGGTGTTTTAAGCACTGGAGTCTTGGGTTCTAAGAGGCATCCATTTTACTTGCCTCAAGATGAGACTGTCTTACTTCTCAGTTTGGAAGGCTTAATACAGGCCACTGAGTTTTCACACAAGGTGGGCCTATAATGGAACTGCACCCAATGTCATAGAAGAGGTCATTGTTTTGTCTGTCTTTGTATACTGCTCAAGTATCTGTGTGACTGGTGCCGTTGTGGGTCTCAGCTATACTTACCCTGTCTTTAGCACTGGATCACGACAAAGGAGTGTAGTTGGTAAAATTTCCCATTGGTATCATTCTACCTTTTTAGTGCTGCTTCTGCTTTTGAAGGGGCTCTGTGTTTCCTTCCCTCCCTAACCCCTACCTGTCTCTTGCCTTCCACTCAAGTTGCTACCTGTTGCTTGATTCCAACAAAACCTAACCTGGGGCTTAGGAGCATTCATAAGGACTTGAGTTGTGTTTCTCAAACTTGAGTAATATGTGTTTCCTTTTAAAGAGTAAAACAAAATACTTCCAGATCTTGAAAATTAACTGTAATGATTTTTGCTACTTAAGTATGTATGAGCATAAAGCTAGGTATAATCTTCATCTGTTTATAACTGTTATACAAAAATACGACCAAAAAAATTTATATATTAAATACAAAGAAAAGCTATAAAATCAATAAAAGTCAAATTAACAACATTAATTTAATGTGATGGAAAAATCTGTTTTGCTAAAATCCAATCGACTGTCATGTTATGAATACTCTGTGCTATAGCTCAGGTTCTTGAGTTTGACCTACATATAAGTATTATATGTCCTGTGGTGACTATATAGCTGTGCAGGACAATTGTCATTTTGACATCAGGACAGGCCAGTATAAGGACATTCCCATACATTAGAAGAATTACAAGATTCTACTATATTTAAATGTCTTCTTTAATTTTATAAATAATCTTGGAATTTTTAAGAATTCCATTCAAAACAATGACTATATTGGTGGTTACTTATAACAGATTTTCCTATTGTGTACTATTATTATTACTATTAAATAAAAAATCTCTTGTTGAGAATTTATATGCCCTAGTTTGAGTTTCTTTTGTATCTAAATTTTTTCATGTATTTAATTATCGAAATAGAATGCAACAAATGCCAAATCGGAGACTTGTTAGAAACATCTGCATTTTTTTGCAACTCTATAGGAAACCTTACTCACTGCATAATTTATTGCATTTTTTTCCTTCAAACCTTCAGCAGTATTTTGTCTGTGTCTTCTCAACATCTTTGCTGATAGAGCAACACATTTGAGTTTATTTCCATATTGCTTTTCATGTTTTATTTCAGTCATTTTTACTATAAAGAGAAAAACAGCTATTTACTCCAATGGTATATGGCTTCTTGTTTTGTTTTTTGTTTTTTTTTGCCATTAAGTAAGAAAACTTAAAGTCAGCTTTCATATATACATAAATCACAAATATTACATATATACACATATATAAATCACATTATACATACACATATATAAATCATACATATTATATATACACACCTATATATTCATATTTTTATATATATACACATATATATCAACCATTAGAAAATTAGTATTGAAATAATTATAGACTCACAGGCATTTACAAAAATAGTCTAAAGACGTTCCAGGTACCTTTCACCCAGCTTCCCTCAGAGGTAACATCTAACATAACTCTAGTATAACGTAAAATATCAAAACTGGGAAATTGGCATCAGTACAACCTACAGGCCTTATTCCTTATGAAATGTTAGTAAAACTTTGTAAATACTGGCTTGAGTATAAATGACTTCTGTTACCAAGAAAACAAGTATAATGTGTCCCATGATCCAGGTGCGTAGTTAGTAAATGTTTTGGTGCCTATCAGGATGTTTTCATAGTATCCATGAGCTAATCCAGTGAGGGAAAACAGGCAGTTGGGACGAGGCTCTTCACGTATAATAATGTAAATCCATGTTTCAAATCCTTTTGAGGGAGGAGAATAGGGTCCGGAGGCAGGGAACCTAAGGCTGTTTCATGCTGACTTCCTAGAACTAAATTGAAAGGAAAAACCTAACTCTGCATTCCTAAGTAACAAAAAGATCAGGGGCTTTCAAGTCCATTTGACCTTTTCTGCGTTGCAGATGGGAAATTGGCTGTCCGCAAAAAATCATACTGAGTGCGGGTGGAGTCTTCGTTTGCAACTTTGTAACTTTACTCCAGCCTCTGAATGGTTGTTGTCCACAACCAATCAGACTGATTGACCACAGAGTCTTCATTTGCATATAAGTATAAATTTGTAACTTCACTTCAGCCTCTGGTTGGCTGCTTTCTGCAACCAATCAGACTGATTGCCGGCTACCACTTCATTTACATGAGGTGAGCATGAAGTGGCCAATGGAAAACTTCTTGGGGATATTTGGACCCAAGAAGATTCTGTATCTGGGCTCTTGAGCTGCTGCTGGGGTCCACTCCACACTGTGGAGTGTACTTTCATTTTCAATAAATCCCTGCTTTCGTTCCTGTGTTGCTTCATTCTTTCTTTGCTTTGCTGGGCGTTTTGTCCAATTCTTTGTTCCAAATGCCAAGAACCTGGACAGCTTGCAGTCATGAACCTCTACCAGTGACACTTTTATTGATAATTTTTGTTTCTAGGCCCTATTTTGTGCAAGCTGATTAGAATATGCTTTTTCAATTTGATATATGGCTGACAGTTTTTTTAGAAATAGAAAATGTGTCAGTTCTCTCCTTTTACTGTTTCATACAAGTACATGCATGATTAGTATTATCTTCAACCTAGTTTCTCTGCAGGAATCTTCTTTCTAATCACTTCATTTTTTAAGTATTTCACTACTATCAGATATTTATGTAGTAAATCTACGTAACTAGGTACATGTAAGTTACATAATCACTTAAGATAAAAGAATGACTGAGGCTTCAATTCCTCTTGCCCTCTCTTTATGTTCAGGAGCATTGTCTCTTCATTCAGGGTTAAATACTTCAAGTGACAGCTGACCTATGACTTCCTTGTGAATAGATATTTAGAAAACATGACTTGAAGTTTAAACACTCAACTGATCCTTGTATCCCCTATTAGAGATTATAAACTCCATTTAAAATAAACTGACCTACAGGATATAAATCCTTCTGGTTCCTTCCTTTCTAGACTCAGCTTTGAGTTTACATGTTCACAATACCAAACTACTGATAACTCACCACATACATCTTGATATTTCACAGATCCTCTCCTGTATAAATGCTTTTCCATCCATCTGGAGTTTTCTTTCTTCTTTTACTGATTGAGAGGTCTTCTCTTCCTTGAAAGCCCAGTTCAGGTGTCCTTTCTTCCATTAAGATTTTCTACACTTTGGGAAGCTGAGGTGGGTGGATCACTTGAGGTCAAGAGATTGAAACCATCCTGGCCAACATGATGAAATCCCATCTCTACTAAAAATACAAAAATTAGCTGGGTGTGGTGGCACACACCTGTAGTCCCAGCTACTCGGGAAGCTGAGGCAGGAGAATCGCTTGAACCCAGGAGGTGGAGGTTGCCGTGAGCTGAGATGGCTCCACTGCACTCCACCTTGGCGACAGGGCAAGTCTCCATCTCAAAAAAAAAAAAAAAGATTTTCCTCTTTCCTTCTCTGTATTTCATGCCTGTTCCATTTCCATGTGAATCAAACTGTGTCCTAATATCTCATTAGGCTACAATCTATTTCATTATATCTCTACTTTTTGAAGACTAAGAGTCAAGGTGTATTCTTCTTCTCAGTGTTTAGTATTTTGGACTACATTTATTTTAGACTGGGTCTTTCCCCCACCCCACCCCCCAAAAACAATGGCTTGTCTTTATCATGTCTTGATCATTTGGATCACAGGGAACCACTAGAAGAATCACAATGATGATGAGGGTCGGCGTATTTGCCAATACAATTTTTAACTATGATTTTCAGAACTGATGCAACTGGAGAAAAGAATTACCTATAAAATAAATAACAAATTTTTCTAGGATGGGTTCAGTTTTCTGACTATTGTGAAAGAATTTGGAGGACAATACACATTATTTCCCTGTAATATTCAGGATTATTATTTCCATTGTGAATTAACAACCTATTATTTTCTTATTCATAAAGGTACAGTGAATATTCCCTGGGTACTTTGTGACCCTGCCTCCACAATCCCTCAGAGATTCTAACCTTTATTGCAGCCTGCAGGTCTGTAAATTATATTGTGTGGGGTAAGGGGAGGGAGGTGTCTCAAACTAGACTTTAAAAGCCAGTCTCTACGGTCCCATGACCTTTGGGAAATGAACCACAGCTTATACATTTCTATTTCTGTCCCTTCAGGAGGGTGCCAAGCTCTTGTTCAGGCAAAGGGGAGAGAAGATGCTTTGGGCTCTGCTTTTCTTCTCTGAGACTTGCTTCATAAAGGAACTATTAACGGGCTGAAGCTAAAATTTCTCTATTGCATTAGCCTGAGTATATAATAGCCACCCATTGTACCCTCTATCAAGTGCAAAATCAGATGCCAAGTTTTATGGTTGTTATCTTTTCATTGGTTGGGATTTATAAAGTGTTTGTCTCTGGTGCTCATGGGGGAGACAATATCTCAGATATCCCAGTGATCAAAAGAGTATAGTCAGAGGCAATGGGGAGTTAGAAGAAGAAACGAAGGCAGGACTTAGCATATCAGATACATGAGGAGTTAGAAGACAGGAAGGCAGGAGTTAGCATATCAGATACATGAGGAGTTATGGTAGATGAAGCCTTGATTTGTTTTTCCTCATATAACCTGGTCCATACTTGGAGAAAAAAAAAAAAAAACAGGAAGTAAGATAAAACAGGAAAGCCCAAACCAGAATTGTATTGTATTGTATTGTACTATATGGTATTGTATTGCAGAACCAAAAAAGATAAGACCACAGATGGGAATAGGCCCCAAAGAGCTGGAGTTGGCAGTTTGCTCTTGTCAGGTTGTGAGAAACAGCATTACATATCTGTTCCCATCTCTCCTTCAGAAAGTTATTTTGGTAAATTGAAACTCACCATAGTAGGAATATTACACCGCTGCATGTGGGAACTGTTACAAATCAGGGCTTTTTTTTTTTTTTTTTTTTTTTTTTCTCCTTAAGAGCTGATTGTGGACCATTTGCCAGGTCACCCCTGGGAGTAGATTAAATTCAGATAACTATAAAGATATATATGGGATCAACAGGTCTATAAGAAGGACTTTCTCTTTTAGGTTGCTGTGCCTAGTATACATACAATTGCTTACTACTTGCATCATAATTCCACACTTCCTATCAGCATCAGCTAGAGTCCTGGCCAAAACAAAAAAATAGTGTATTCAAAAACTATTGAGTGAACTATGGGTATTCTGATCAAGGTTTAGGGCATGCTGAATAAAAACCAAAAGGATTAGTACAAATAACAATGAGGATCTCTTACTAGTTTTTAGCCTGAAGAAGGGAGAACAAGGAGCCATTATCAGAATCTGGGGACACAGCAGCTATGTACAGAAGTGTACTTGATAGGACTTGTGACCTTTGGAAGAAAGATGTAATTAGCCTAAGGGAACCCCTGGGAGGGAGTCAGGGGAATATTACGATGTCACTCTTCTCCCTAAGAAATCTTGTCACCTTCACCATTGGCCCAACCCAATGGTAAGCCAGAGAGCAACGGAGCCTGTTGGTGGAGTTCACACAGGTCTGAATCATAGGGAAAGAAGAGAGGTAGAGTGACTCTGGAGATATACATGGAAGATATCCGGTATAATACCCATGGATGTTGGTTTTACATCTCTTTCTGGTGTGTGGGTTTGCAACATGAAAGATGCTAGGTTTTCGAGAACTGCTTTTGCTGATTCATTACAAAGAGGCAGCTAGCAGTAAACTGTACGTTGCCCTGTCAAGGATTGAACCAGACTTTGGTTGTACAGCTGCTCTGGGTCCAAGAACTCATGTCACTTGTGTTGCTGTTTTCTCTAATTTGCAGGATAAGTGGCTACAACGGGATAAAGTGAATACTAGATATAGATGTTTTCCTCCTGAAGGAACTATCCACAGTAAATGGTTGATGGGAAGAACTGGTGCACTTTTCTAACTGGGGCTTCTCTGTGCTCAGTCTCTATTTCATGGTGGTCTCTGCTCAGTGGTGTGCTAAAGCAAGTTTCTACCAACTTTGTGAGAGACAAATGCTTATATGTCTTCCTAACTTCAGTTCAGTGACATCACGATGATAGCTTGAGATCTGCCATGATGTGACAGTTTATACCATGGAAATCAGCAAACAGTATAAGTAATTTTATTTTCTTCTCCACAAAGTTTCTTTTTAAAAATTGAGCAGCATACCGCTGCCTGTGTATATGGAAATTCTGTATAATAAGTTACTGAGTAGAGTTCTATGAAATAATTTTTTGCTTAGGTCTCAGATCTGAGTTTCTGCCATTCTTGTTTTATTATTCTTCTCTCAAAATTTGATTTTTAGTTCCCCCCAAAATTTGAATTTTTTCCCCATGCAGAAGTACCAGCCCACTAGAGTATCAGGAAATTTATGGAGTGAAAAACCGTAACATATGAATAATTGTTCCTTTTTAAATATTTACTCTAAAATATGAAGGATTGTTGAGGCAAAGGCAATTAAGAAGCAAGTACAAAAAAGGTCCCCATTCTCCTTCTATTTTTCTGAAAGCAGGACATAGATTTAAAAATAAAAAAGGTATCCTGTCCCTTCACCTCAATCCCTACCAAGAAGAATAAAGGTTAACCACTGAAGACAACTTTAGGCCCTTATCATCCTAGTGATGGTACCAGAGGAATCTATATTAGCAAGCTTTGCTAAATAGCCTCTACCTGCCATTGATTTGCCTTCTCACAAGTTGCTGCCCCAAGATACTTAGGGCATGACTTCTTTTCTTTTGTTTATTGCATCCAAATTTCATGGCCATGCTCTTCATTGTTGCTCTCAAATAAAACTGTTATTCCACATACCCCGTTAAGAGTAGTAATTTCTTCTATTTTGGGAGTATTGCTGCAGTTGAAAATAATTATGTGAGTATACTCACATAATTATTTAAAGCATTTGGAAATATCACTATGGTTATAAATATCTCTAATATTTTCAGAATATGGAAAGGCTACCAACAAATCTGGCAGAGTACAGTCTGTTAACAGCCCAAAGACTAGCACTTTCACATCTGTTAAATGCTCACAATTTTTAAACTAATATATTCATTCCAGAAACAGCAGAACAAAAAGATATCCTGCTAGGAGATTTATTTTCATATCAATATTTAAAATGCTTTCAATATTCACCACTTCACACTCACTAAATCTCCAGTGGCTTTTTGCTTCCAAGAAATCCATCAATTACAAACCAAAGAGAACATCTAAAAAGACCTATAAAATGGAATACACATTGGCAGACAGGAAGTCCAATGCTCACCAGAGAATGCAATTAGCAAAATTTTTTCCTAATTAATGCAACTGAATGTGTCACCATCTTGAAAATCCATATTTATTATTACCTCAAAGAGAGTCATTCAATATGTAATTTTAGAATCTAGCCTTCAGAGGAAAGTACTCCTCATAATTAAATGATGAAGACACCAAGGAACATAAATAAAAAATTCACATGAAATATCCAAAATATAAACAAATTAAAAAATAAAATTATGAAAAAATATTGGCCTTATTAATAAAATTACGTAAAGTAAAAACAATATTTTTTTTGTCTTTCACATTAATAGAAACATTTTAGTGGATAATATTGATGAATGCTATGGAAAAATAATACTGTGTTTTGGTGAAAATCACAGTCTATGGAAGTCACACTGCCTGGGGACTTACATCCCAACTTTATTTCTAATTGTGGAATCTTGGACTTAATCTGGTTAAGCCATAGCTTCTTAACCTGTAAAACAGGAATGATTAGAATATGCCTTACAGTGTTGTTGAGAAGATTTAAAAATATAATGCCTATAGAGCAGTTAGAATAGGGCCTGCCACAGGGTAAGTCCCTAGTGGTTGTCAATAATTATTATTACAGCTATGATGAATGAAGATGAGCTGTGGTGTGGAGGACAGTGAGTTAGGGAAAAAACACTTGCTTATTCAGTAATGAGAGAATTGGCATACATTTTCTGGAGAGAGGTTTACCTGTATGCATATAATTTATTTTCAAGAATATTTATTTTAGCATTCTTTATAGAAAATCATGAGAAATGATGTATAAAAATGTTAATATCAAAATCATTCAATGGGGTATTATGTAATCAATTGTACTTTTGAGTACTATTTAATATCTAAGTATATAATATATAAAAAAGCAGAATATAAAATGTGTTTCTGCAGCTGAATTCCTTAATGTTTGTTTAAAATATAAATTTTATAAATTATATGCACAAAAATTATATATGTATGCACAGGAAAATATCAATGTTAATTCATCACACTTGTTGATTTTGAATACTGTTATTATGGTTGATTTTTGTTGACTTCTTTATATTTTTGTGTTTTCTAAGATTTTTATTATGAGCATTAATTAGTTTCAGGATTAGAGAAAAAAATCTAGCGAAAGTCTCAATTGCTTTATATGTAATTAACAGATGTTCAAGTTAGAGCAGTTCTTGATAGTCTCCTACTCATCTTTCTTTCCTGACAGATGCGTGCTCAATTAGATGCATATATAACTTCATGCACAACTGATGGCCTTTGTCATAAGCCTGACTGTAATTACCTGGCCGATAATCCCAACACCAATTTAGCAGCCAAACATGGACATAAGTTATCTCCATTTTCAAGGCTCTTAATAACTAGCATTTACTGAGAATATACTTTAGGCTAGACATTGTTAATTATTTTGCATGCATTAGCTACTTTAATCTTTGTAACTATCCCATGAATTAGGTACACTCTTTTTCTATTTAACAGAACAGAGATTTGAGGCCCACCTAGATTAACTTGCCCACAGTTGTGAAAGTCCTATGACTGGAATTTGACGACAAATCAGTCTGACTTCAAGAGATTAAGCTCTTAACCCCTATGTATGCTAGCTCTCAATAAAATACCTCATACTTAGCTTCTTTTCTTTGCTTTCACTATTGAGCAGAAAGAAAAAAATACAACTTATTACAAAGTATAACCTAAGAGTTCCTGAGGTCAGTAAAGTTAGTATAAAATAACTTGGAATTTAACAATTGTAACTAATAAACAAACCAGGCAAGCACACTAAAGATTCGTTGTACACATTTTGCCAAGATAATACACTTAAAAAACATAAAAAGTTCTTAACCATACATAGGAAATGCACAACATAGTATTCTTTTTTCAAGAAAACAAGTTTTTAAAAGTCTGCTGAATAGGAATTAATCTCTTAAGAATGAAAATATTTCCTGTTTTGTTTTGTCTTCAGGTTGATAGTTATGGTGGATGAAAAACAAAGGCAAGGCAAATGATATGGTTTTCATAGAGAAGTACTGAGCTGATGTAGAAACTGATACTGTTTCCGGTTCTATCACAATTTGCTACAAGTGCCTACCCAGAGAGGATAAGGGTCAGACAGCATTTCCTTAATTGTGTAATGAAAGAGTATTTTATTATCTCAAACACACCTTTTGACTATATTATTCATTCTGTTTCTTGTAGTGTCAGAACATCATAGATATACAATAAATATTTATCAAATGAATACATATTTTTAAGTTACTACCTAATTCTATGTACAAGGCCTAGTTAAAGCTTCACCTCATTAATGAAGTCTCTGTTAATTGTTCAAACTGCCTCAACTCATATATAGTTTGTGCAGTAATTACACGTTATTTTTAAACATGGCTTAACGATTTCACGTGTAAAAGTCCGTTTCTTAAAATAAGTTGTAAATCAATTTGGCAAAGACAGATTTTTGATACATAATTTTAGGTACTCCTTGCATTCTATCACAGTGCTCCTTGGGTCTCACCAGTTGATGCCTTGCAAAGTCTTGTTGAATGAATTCAGAGTAAATTTGAATCAGCAACTAGATTCAGAATTTTCGATGTCAGGACATTTATTTCATCAAAATGAGGTTCCTCCAATTGCAGTCCAGGTTTTCTTTATGCCTTTTGTGGTTTTATCATCATAACCATCATCATCTTCATGATAAAGAAACATTTATTCAGTCCTTCTGCAGTGAATGGCAGCAGCCCAAGCTCTATCCTCCAGTGAGATGGGAAGCAACTGGCCATCATTCTCTTTGTAATAATCTTTCATATGTTTGAAGACTATTTCCAGAGTCCAACATCATTAACTTTAAAAGAGCTTTGAATATTGGACAAGGTCAATTGCTACAAAAGAAGGAATCAGAGGAATGATGGGGAACATGTTATGGGGAGAGGAGGCATCGTGTGTGTTACCAGCTTGCTAGCCAGCTCTTCAGTGTAGTGCAGCCGGCAAGCATGGGAGAAGATGAGCTGTCAGTCTCTTGGTGCACATCATTTGTCATGAGTCCTCTTATGTCTGCAGAGGCAGGGACAACCCTGTTAGTATGCAGAGCTTGTCATGGGACTAGGAGTATCTATGCACACTGAGTGCACTTTTGTTCTTGCCACTTAATGTAGCTGAGAATGGTTGTACTGCAGGACTGCAATTTTGCAAGTGCTCTTGGTAGTTGAAATTAAAATCAAATTCCTGAATATATAATTTAAAAAAGATAGATGGCTGTCCTCATTCTCTAAAGAGGTAAGGAATAGATTTACAGCACTCTTTTGGCAGTTATTGTTTACATTTAACAACTCTCCTAAAGTCCAGAGTATGGCCTTGGTGTGGGACTACATTTTTACATGGGAATTGGACAAAGATTAGCGATCAGCCTGAAGAATATACATGTGACTTCCACACTGAACTGCATAATTCTAAGGCTAAACATTTTGAGTCCTCACTCACACATCACTTCACAAAGCAGTAGTTATCTAGGGAAGATAGCATAGAAAATCTAAAAGACAATTTCAATAAAAATCCAAATTTGGCCAGGATCCTCCTCTGAATGGAAGGAAAACCATGTAACTTCGGCTTGCAATATCTCTTTTATTTTCTAGTTTATTTGCCCAAAGTCTAAGCTATATACTTCTTACTGTATCTCATCTTTAGTTCTTTCTATGTCCTGTTTTCATTTGACTCAGGAAAACAACTTTATTTGTGAAATCTTCTTAGAATTTTGCTTTTTACCTCAGGGAATTCAGTTAAATTAATCTGAAATATGAAAAGCTGAGGGCCATAAGGAAGGGCACCAATACATACCAAAAATAATGAGAAAGATGTAAAAATATTCTGATTTGGGGAATGGGGGGTATAATTGTACTAAGAGGTTTTAATTATTATTTTTTTCCTTGGCAGTCATTCCTTTTATTTTTCTAACCCCTTCACTCAGGCACTGATAAACATTCTTTGGCCAGAATGCTGATGCTGAGCCAAGCAGGCAGAATTCTCCATCCTCAATTCTTTGTTTTAATAACACCTCACTGCTCCTTCAGTTGGAATTGGTATCATTAAGCAGTGTTCGTGAGGGCTAGATTTCCTGGGAAAATACCAATGTCAAAGAGTGTTTCTTTGTCTCTCATAAACTTATCCATGCAATTTACAGCATGTAAACTGATTCAGGGATTAAAAAAAACAAAGTCACTTTTTGTGGTGTCAGTTATTATATATACATGTGTGTGTGGTTGGACACACACACACACACAATATATGTACATTTATACATGTATATGAATATGTGTCATACGTGTGTGTATGTAAAGTCAATTATAAATCTTTGTATATATGCATACAGTTGATTCTCATTATTCATATTACTTTGGTTCTATAAAATTGTCACAAACACTGAATTAGCAAACATTGAATCACTGCTCCTAGAGGAAATACAGGGTTAGGTTCCTATAAGCCTCTTGAAACCACTGCTCAAGGAAATAAGAGAGGACACAAACAAATCAAAAAACATTCCATGCCCATGGATAGGAAGAATCAATAGTGAAAATGGCCACATTGCCGAAAGTAATTTAGAGATTCAATGCTATCCCCATCAAGCTACCATGGACTTTCTTCACAGAATTGGAAAAAACTAATTTAAACTTCATATGGAACCAAAAAGAGCCCGCATAGCCAAGTCAATCCTAAGCAGAAAGAACAAAGCTGGAGGCATTATGCTACCTTACTTCAAACTATACTACAAGGCTACAGTAACCAAAACAGCATGGTACTGGTACCAAAACAGATATATAGACCAATGGAACAGAACAGAGGCCTCAGAAATACCACCACACATCTACAACCATCTGATCTTTGACAAACCTGACAAAAACAAGCAATGGGGAAAAGATTTCCTATTTAATAAATGGTGTTGGGAAAACTGGCTAGCCATATTCAGAAAACTGAAACTGGACCCCTTTCTTATACTTGATACAAAAATCAACTCAAGATGGTTCAGAGACTTAAACGTAAAACCCAGGACCATAAAAATCCTAGAAGAAAACCTGGGGAATATAATTCAAGACATAGGCATGGGCAAAGACTTCATGTCCAAAACACCAAAAGCAATGGCAACAAAAGCCAAAATTGACAAATGGGATCTAATTAAACTAAAGAGCTTCTGCACAGCAAAAGAAACTACCATCAGAGTGAACAGGCAACCTACAGAATGGGAGAAAATGTTCGCAATCTATCCATCTGACAAAGGGCTAATATCCAGAATCTACAAAGAACTTAAACAAATTTACAAGAAAAAAAGAAACAACCCCATAGAAAAGTGGGCAAAGGATATGAACAGACACTTCTCAAAAGAAGACATTTATGCAGCCAACAAACATGTGGTAAAAAGCTCATCATCACTGGTAATTAGAGAAATGCAAATCAAAACCACAATGAGATACCATCTCATGCTAGTTAGAATGGCGATCATTAAAAAGTCAGGAAACAACAGATGCTGGAGAGGATGTGGAGAAATCGGAACACTTTTACACTGTTGGTGGGAGTGTAAATTAGTTCAACCATTATGGAAGATAGTGTGGAGATTCCTCAAGGATCTAGAACTAGAAATACCATTTGACCCAGCAATCTCATTACTGGGTATATGCCCAAAGGATTATAAATCATTCTACTATAAAAACACATGCACACGTATGTTTATTGTGGCACTATTCATAATTGCAAAGACTTGGAACCAACCTAAATGTCCATCTATGATAGACTAGATAAAGAAAATGTGGCACATATACACCATGAAATACTATGCAGTCATAATAAAGGATGGGTTCATGTCCTTTGCAGGGACATGGATGAAACTAGAAATCATCCTCAGCAAACTACCACAGGAACAGAAAACCAAACACCGCATGTTCTCACTCAAAAGTGGGTGTTCAACAAGGAGAACACATGGACACAGGGAGGGGAGCATCACACACCAGGCTTGTTGGGGTTGGGGGGCTAGGGGAGGGATAGCATTAGGAGAAATACCTAATGTAGGTGACGGGTTGTTGGGTGCAGCAAACCACCATGGCACGTGTATACCTATGTAACAAACCTGCACGTTCTGAACATGTACTCCAGGACTTAAAGTATAATTAAAAAAAAAAAAAAACAGAAGTATGACAGAAACTTTCAGCCCCCAATAACATGAAGTTGTAATCCTCCTACAGGATTTTCTTGCCCACTCAATAGTGTTAAAGTTCTGGCTTTGAGATTACAAACAAAGAGATCTGATCATCACCACATCTCCTGCCTCTCCCACTGCCATGTTGACATTTAGTATACTTCTATCTACCATGTTACAAGTTGGAGAAATAACACAGTTGTACAATTATATTTTAAGTATACAACTATGTAAGTATAATTAAAATAATGTCAACAATATACAAATAAAATAAGCACAAAATGATAACATATTATCAAAAACAGCAGCCATTAACACAAATAAACCCCAGAATTCAGGCCAAAAAAAAAAGATCTTCACCAAAGCAAGAGTTTATTGGACCTTTTTGAAATGTACAGCTACATAACTAGAAATGACGCCTCTGTCTGATACAATCATCCTCAGTATAACCTTCTAGCAAATCCTTCATAATAGTTTTTAAGCCATTTTATTGATGTATAATTAATGTGCAATAAACTGAACATGTTTAGAGTATACAGTCTGATAAGTTCTGACACACACATACAACTGTGAAACCATCACCAAAATCAAGATCATGAACACATTCCAATCATTTCCTTGTGACCCTACGGTGCCTCCCTTTCACCACTTCATATCCACATTCATCCTAAGACAAACACTGTGTTGCTTTCTGTCACTATAGGCAGTTTGAATTTCTAGAATTTGTATTAGTGGAATCATACAGCAGGTATTTTTTCTCTGGCTTCTTTCACTAAGAATAATTATTCTGAAATACATCCAAGTTATTACATACAGCAATAGCTTATGCCTTTTAGTTGCAGGATATTATTTTATATTATGGATATCCACTTACATTCCTTATCCATTCACATGCTGATGGACATTTGAGTTGTTTTAAGTGTGTGGATATTGCAAATAAAGCTGCTATGGAAATTTGGGTACTGGTCATTTGCGGTCATATCCTTTTATTTCTCTTGGATAAACACCTAGGAGTGAAATGATCAGGTCATATAGTAGATGTATGTTTAGCTTTTTAAGAAGCTGCCAAATTGTCTTCCAAAGTAGTCATACCATTTTGTATTTCCACCAACAGTGTCTATGAGTTCTAGTTTCTTCATATTCTCTCCAATACTTAATATGATTTGTCTTTTAAATTTTAGACATTCTAATAATATGCACTGGTATTATATTATGGTCTCAATTAGCATTTCCCAAATGCTAAATTATGCTGAGCATCTTGTCATATGCTTATCTGAAGCTGGGTATATTTCTTTTCTGACATACAATATTTTTTTCCAATTTATTGTATTATAATTTGTACAGTCTATTGAGTTTTAAGAGTTTTTAAATATATAATTTATGTAATATACTATAAGTTACATAGTGTATAATATACTGTAAGTTATATAGTGTATTATGTAGTGTATTATACACTATGTATAGGATATGTATATAAAAAAGGTTTTATATATATATATATATATATATATATATCCTCCATCAGATAAGTGATCAGCAAATATTTTCTCCAAGTCTGTGAATAGCCTTTTCATTTTTTTTTCAAAGAGCAGAAGTTCACAATTTTGATGAAGTTCAATTTATTATCTTTTTTTACTTTTTACAGAGTGCTTTTGTTGGTGTATGTAAGAAATCACTGTTTATCACAAGGTCAAAAATATTTTTTCTTATGTGTTACTACTGCACATTTTATAACTTTAGTTTTTACATTTAGAAATATAATCCATTTTTAGTTAATTTTTCTATATGGCAACAAAGATGCTCTCTTGACCAAACTTTATTCAGGATCTCTAGGCCTTGACCTTGGTGTACATCTATTGGGCCGAAATCCAAATCACCCAGTTTTAGTAAGAATCCTGCCAAGTCAGGTTAGTGAAAATCCCCCACTCTCAATTTCTGATCACCCTTGATAAGTGACTAAATTCCTCATCCCCAACCATCCCCTAGTAATTTTCCCTTAGTAATTTTCCATCCACTGAGCCACACCCTGACTCCTTGGCTCCATTTGTCAATGTTGTATTCAGAATTGAACTCAGTTCTACATCGAGGTCTCTTTTTCTCTATGGCAATATAGTAAATCCTCACTTACATTGTTAATAGGTTCTTGGAAACTGCACCTTTAAGCAAAAGGACCTATGGACATATTATGAAACCAGATTTTTCTCTCATCAACTTGAAAAAAATGACATTTGAGGAGCTGCTCTATGTTGTTTCATTTAAAATCACAGTTTCCAAGAACCTATCAATAAAGTTAAGTGAGGACCTACTATAGTTCTTGAATAAAAGCTGTTTATCCCTTTAGTTTCCAGCTTTGGTTTTCTTTGACAATGGTGTGAGGTGTGGATCCAAGTTAATTTTTGTGCATATTGATATCTAATTTTTCCATTATCATTTATTGGAACAAGTATCCTTTCTCTACTAAATTACCTGTGAGTCTTTGTGGAAAATTACTTGATAATATATTCATAGGTTTATTCCTGGATTATTATTCTATTATATTGGTCTATTTGTCTTTATATCAGGATCAAACTGCCTTGATACTCTAACTATATCATAAATAATAAAAGTGTCACAAATTTCTTATTTTTAAAGTTTTGGTAATTCTAAATTCTTTGCATTTCTTTTGCATTTTAGAATTAGCTTGTCAACTTTAAAAAAATACCTGCTGGAATTTTAATTTTCATTGCTTTGACTCTATATATCAATATGGTAGAAGTGATGTATTAATAATATTAAGTTTTCCAACCCATGAACACGTCTCTTAATTTGTTTAGATTTTCAGTTGCTTTCATAAATGTTTTTTAGCTTATATCAGTCAGTTCTTTCACATCATCTATCAAATTTCTTCCTAGATATTTTACATTTTTGATATTTTTTAAGTGGCATTTTTTTCACTTCAATATCAAATTTTTGGTCACTGATAAAAAATGGGATTTAATTTTTCCCAGTTATATTGAGTATAATTGAAAATAAAAATTATATATTTGATTAGGATGCATTCATTTAGGTTTACAATGTGATGTTTTGATGTACATAAACATTGTGAAATGATTATCACAATAAGCTAATTAACACATCACTTCATATAGTTACCTTTTTTGTGTGTGACGAGAATGCTTAAGGTCTACTTGGTTACCAAATTTCAAGCATGCATTGTTTTTTAAATAAAAATTGTATTTTAAATTGTATAACATATTTTAATATATATATACTCACTGAAATGATTACAACAGCCAAATAAATTAACATACTCATCTCCTCACAGTTACCTTTGTGTGTGTTTGCATGTGTGTGTGTGTGCATGCATGCATGTAGGGTGAGAACACGTGAAATCTCTTAGTAAATTTCTGGTATACAACACAATATTATTAACTATAGTCATCATGCTGTACATTATTAACTCCCAGCAGTCTTATTTATTCTATATAACTGCAACTCTGTACCCTTTGACTCATATCATCCTATTTACCCCACCTTCCCACCCTTGGTAACCATTGTTCTATTCTCTATTTCTATGCATTTCACTTTTATAGGTTCCATATATAAGTGAGATTATTCAGTGCTTTTTTTCTGTGTCTTGCTTATTTCACTTAGCATAATGTCCTTTAAGTTCATCTATATTGTCACAAATGGCAGAATATCCTGTTTTAAGGCTGAATAACATATATACATATACTATATATATTATATATATATGTTGTGTATATATACACACGCGCAGGCACACACACACACACACACACACACACATACATACAGGCATACCTTGAAGATATTGCAGGTTCAGCTCTTTAAATTTTTACAATTTTTTGATGCTATTGTACAATTTTTACAATTTCCTTTCATGTAGAACACTGTTGATGTAAAGAAATGCAACTTATTTTTGTTTGTTGACTTTGTATTTTGCAACTTTATTGAGCTTGTTTATGAGTTCTAACAGTTTGTGTACTTGTGTCTCTGTGTGTGTATATGTGGATTCTTTAAAGTCTTCTATATACGGGATTATATCATTTACAAATGAAAATATTACTTTATTTTCTTCCTTTTTGAGTTGAATGCCTTTACTTTCTTTCTCTTTTCTGATTGTTTTTGCTAGTACTTCCAGTATTAAGTTGGGTAGAAATGGTGACAGAGGTCATCTTTGCCGCATTCCGAATCTAGAAGAAAAGTTTTTAGTTTTTTTCCATTGACTATAGTGTTAGCTGTGGGATTTTCATAAATGGCCTTTATTGTGTTGAGGAAATTTCTTTCTATACGTATTTTGTTGAATTTTTATAATAACTGTTGAACTTTCTCAAATGCTTTTTATGTATGTATTAAAATGATTATGTGGTTTTCATCTTTCATTCTGTTAATATGGTGTATTATATTTATTTATTGGCATATGTTAAACCAACCTTGCATCACAGAGATAAATCTCACTTGGTTGTAATGTATAATCTTTTGATGTGTTGTTGAATTACATTTCCTTGTATTTTATTGAGAATTTTTGCATCTATATTTATCACAGAAATTGGCCTGTAGTTTTCTTTTCTTGTAGTGTATTTGTCTGGTTTTGGTAGTAGGGTGATGCTGGCTTCATAAAATGAGTTTGGAATTAAATGTTCGGTAGAATTCAGCTATGAAGCCATCTGGTCTTGGGCTTTTCTCTGTTGGGTTGTTTTTGACTACTACTACAATCTTGTTTGTTACTGGTCTGTTCAAACTTTCTTTTTGATTGTCTTGGTAGCTTGCATGTTTCTAGAAATGTTTTCATTTCTTTGAGAGTATTTAATTTGTTGTCATTTAATTTTTCATAACAGTCCCTTATGATCCTGAGGCATCTGTTGTAATATCGCCTCTTTTGCTTTGGATTTTAGGTATTTGAGTTCTCTCTCTTTATTCCTTAGTTTGTCTAGCTAAAAGTTTGCCAATTTTGTCATTAAACATACTCAGTTTTATTTTTATGTTTTCTATTGTTCTATTCTCTACTTGATTTATATTGATTTTTTTGTTTTAATAAACGTTTTATTTTAGAATAGTGTTAGATTTACATAGGGTTACAAAGATAGTACAGAGAGATCTTGAATATCCCTTACCCAGTTTCCCCATTGTTAACATCTCACATAACTGTGGTACACATGGTCACAATGAAGAAATCAACACTGGTCCATTACTGTTAACTTCACCAGTCTGTTTTCTGATGATCTATCAGCTATTAACTCAATTAAGCATTTCTTCAGTTTTGTTGAAAGCACAGGATTATACTGATTTATATTGACATTGTATCAATATAAATTTTCTAATTTACTTATTGGTTCTAGTAACATTTTTGTAGATTCTGTGAGTTTCTTTTCATAGATAATTATGTCATATGTAAAGAAAGTTTTAGTTATTTTTTTCCAATATGGATGATTTTATTTTTTATTTTTTGCCTTGTTTTGCTGGCTAGAACCTTCACTACTATCTTAAATAGAAGTAGTAATAGCAGACATCCTTGACATCCAGACATCCAAGCATTACCGAGTACTTAAAAAACAACTATGCAGTTTTGTGGGGGAATCATTATTATGTTCCCTTTTACACTTTGTTCAATTGATATCTTTAAAATTTAAATATACATTGTGTGTATATGCAACAGTTTGCTCATCTATTTACCAGGAGATGGAGATTTGAACTGTTTCTACTTTTTGGCTATTATGAATAATGGTGCTACAAAATTTTGTGTACAACTCTTTATGTAAACATATGCTTACAATTCTCTTGATCATATATTTAGGAGTGAAACTGCTGGGTCATAAGAAAATTCTATGTTTAAAGTTTTGAGGAACTGCCTGTTTTTCACGGTGCCTGTGCCACTTGAAATTCCCATCAACAACCCATGAGGGTTCCAATTTTTCCCTCTTTTTTCTAACACTTCTTATTGCATGTATTTTTTTTTATTTTAAGCATGCTAATGGTTATAAAGTGGCATCTCATTATAGTTTTGATTTACATTTTGCTAACAACTGATGATGTTGAACATCTTTTCATGTGTTTACTGGATATTTGTATATAGTTTTGGAGAACTGTGTATTCAGGTCTTTTGCTCATTTTGAAATTGCAATTGTCTTTTTATGGTTAATTTGTAAGAATTCTTTCTATATGCTGTGTATGTCTCTTGTCAGATATATTATTTACAGATATTTTCTTCACTTTTGTAGATTGTCTTCATTTTCTTGATGGTGTTAATTGAAGCACCAAAGTTTTCCATTTTTATGTGTTATTTATCTACTTTTTTTTTCTCGTTTGCTTGTGTTTTGGGTATTCCTATGCGTTGAATGTTTGTCCCCTCCAACACTCACATCAAAATTTGGTTGCCACTGTGGCAGTGTTAGAAGGTGGGGGCCTTGGAAGGTGATTGGCCATGAGGGGTTCTCACTCATGGGCGAGACTAATGTCATTATAAAAATGGCCCTCTTTTACCTTTTTGATTTTTGTTCTTCTGCCATGTGAGGACACAAAGATTGTCCCTGCATCCCCTTCCACCTTCCACCATGTGATGATACAGCAAGAAGGCCCTTGTCAGATACCACAGCCTTGATCTTTGACTTCCCAGCCTCCAGAACCATAAGCCAACAAACTTCTGTTCATTATAAATTACCCTATCCTAGGCATTCTGTTCTAGCAGCACAAATGGACTAAAACGGGTATCATAACTAAGAAATCATTGCTTAATCAAGGTCAAAGATTTACACCTATGTTTTCTTCAAATAATTATAACATTTTGCCTTTTACATTTAGGTCTTTGATCCATTTAATTTTTATATGACATGAGGTAGAGGGCCCAAATTTATTCTTTCACATCTGGGTATACATTTGTCCCTGAGTAATCTTTTTTATATGCTTCTGGAATCAATTTGCTAGTATTTGTTGAGGATTGTTGCAGCTGTGTTCATAAGGTATATAGTGCTCTACGGTTTTCTTTTTTAAATGTCTTTGTCTAGTAAGTACTATGGCAATAATAACAATAAGAGTTGGGAAGTACTCTTTTCTCTTTTATATTTTGCAGGAGTTGTTTACATATTTGTTTAATTCTTAAATATTTGCTAGAATTTATCATTGAAGCCCATCTGGGCCTGGGCTTTTTGGAGAAAGGTTTCTAAATTACTAATTCATTCTTTTGTTATATGCATTCTGATTTTCTATTTTTATTTAAGCCAATTTTGGAGTTTGTGTCTTTCTAGAAATTGTAAAGTTTCATCTACATAAATTGATATGTTGCCATACAACGCAAGTAATTTCTTAGAATTCTTTTTTACTTTATAAAGTTGGTAGTGATATTCCCTCTTTCATTCCTCAGGTTAGTATTTGGGTCTCTTCCCTTTTTTCATGCTTATTTTAGCTAAAGATGCTACCATTTTGTTATTCTTTTCAAAGAACCAACTTTTGGCTTCATTGATTTTATTTTTGTTTCTATTCTCTATTGCATATATTTTCTGGTTTTTATGATGCCTAAAAGGCTTTCCATTTTCTTATTCCAAACAGTCCTTATTTCATTTATTAAAAATATATATTTTAATCTTCAACTGAGCACTAGGAGCTGTACTAGGCTCTGCATATATTATGGTGAGCAAAAACAGATATGGTGTCCAATCTACAGATATTATAGTCTAGATAAAAGATAATCACATTATGAGACCAACAAATGCTTAACTTAAGACCAACAATATTCTTAAGAAAAACAGCATGCTTTTAAGAGAAGATATAAAAAAGATACTGGACTTAGAGAAAGGACAAAGATTATGCTCTAGTGGAAGAAAAGAGAAGAAGAAGTTAAGATCAGATCTGAGCAGGTAGAGAAATAACATCATAAACAGAAGATGCAGTATTTGCAAAAGCTTTGATTGTGCAAGGATCTGGAAGGAGAAAAATGAGGCTGGAATATGGAGAAGGTAAGGAGTCTTTGAGAGGTAGTCTAATATCTAAGATACCACACTACTGCTATCATAATGGAATGTCTATCAGGGTGAGGATTTATGAGAGAGAAGAGAGGATCAAAAATATCTGGTGCAATTCATTGAACTAGGAGCATGTGGAATGTTTATTGGGAAATTTCATAAATTCAGCCAGTATATGTTGCCTCGAGTTTAATCCACCTGACAATAGAAATGTAGAGTAAGCAACTGTATATAATCATAATAGTAGTCTTAACAACAAGTAACACAATGTAGCACTTATTTTTTCTGGGTAATGTTCTGAAAGCTTCATGTAACAATTCATTTAATTCTTCCAAGAAAGCTAGGAAGAACTATTATTATTTCCATTGTACCAATAAGACAGAAAAAGGTGTGTTTGTGCATGTGGGTGTGTGTGTGCATGCATGCGTTTATATGGTGTGCAGAGGGAAGATGGTAGAGAATTGAGACAGCAAGAGATCAGAGAACTGGGTAGGATTGCCAAACAGCTTTGATGGCTCCTTTGAGGCCACTGAACTAAAATTTCTAATAATATCAATAGGCTGCATTGTGGGGCACTTGATCACTTGAGTAGAAAGAGAGAGAAAGCAAAGAGTGGGCTGCATGAGGGATGCAGTTTTGCCTTACAAAGTGTGATGAAGTATGATGAAAAGACAAACAACAGTGTTTATGGTGTGGCTAAGAATATTATTGAAATAATGCAAAAGAGGAAACTTGGGAAAGAGTGGAGCTAGAAATTGGCAGAAAATTGAGGAATCAGTGAATTTCCTTTTAGCCAATTTTCAGCCCCCACAGCATCCTTGAAAATCCAGAAATATGATCTTTTTATGTGATGCTAGCCTATGAATTACCTTGGCTTAACCCTCATAAGAATACTGTCAGTGTTCTCAAAATCTAGAACATTGTGCTTATTTTCCCTGAGTTAATCCCGACCCAGCGTTTTTCTTAAAGCGCCAAGAATAATCCCAATGGCATCTAATCTGTAGAGTTCTGTGCCTTTAAAATTCAATAAATCTGAACACAATAAATCTATCCACAGTAAGATAATTTTTCACATTTATTAGACTTTCACTTTAGAGGTTTATTTCTGATTTTTTTTAAGTTGAAGTTGAAACTACAGATCTAAACCTTAGAGAACAAACTTTTTCTGTAGGCTCATATGTTGGAAAAATTATTGCTGAGGTAGCTTGGGGGTAGCTTAAATAATAAATATTTACTATTAACAAATAATTTTGGACAACACAATCTTGGGGCATATATTTTAAGCATCAGTGGTCCTTCACTATTGAGACATCTAGAAAAATGTTTGGGGATGAAGGGATAATGAGATACATTGGAACCTTCAGGCAGAATGATACTGAATGAAAAAATATCTCACAATTTTGTGACTGCTCTGTTATTTGGATTTTCTTGGGCTCACCAAATCAATGTGAGGAATTACATTACTGTGTAATCCAAGTTATTTGCTTGCACATTTTTGGGACTGTAAATGATTCTGACCTTTCCGGAAGTATTATGAGCAGAAAGGACAACTGTCCCTTTAAAACTTGCCTCTTGATGTTAATAAATTAGCGACCTCTCACAGCTCCATGCCAGACTCCATTTGTTGTAATGTTGAATTGAAGTCTCCAGGTGAAATGAACAACTGCCAAGCTAGCCTTTCAAGAAGTTGCCTTTGGGAACATAATACTTTATTATCTGTGTTGTGCCATTCTATGCTGAGTAGTAGTTAAAATAATGAGAGGTCTGACTAAGTGATCTATTTCAAGGTCTATTTTCTCCTTGGCCAGTGAACACCTTTAGACTCTTCCATCTATCTGTTCTTCCTCAGGGCATAAGAAGTAAGCCAGTTGGCTGGAACTAAAGTCTTTCACCTGTTTTTCAAAAATCTAAATGTGTAAACTGAATTCAGTCACTAATACGTTTTTCTAAAGCTAAGCTTTTGACTTCCCTAAAATTAGCATAGTTTTTCACTAGTTTTTTTTTTTTAAATGTTTTTTCCTTTGAGTTTAAAAGACCCTGCAAGTTCCTATAGCCAGTAATCAAGGGCAGTTATTTTTTAATTATCTTTAACCCCTCAATTCTCTTGTTCTTGAGAGATAATAGAACCAAATTTACCTTTATTCAATAGTCCAGTTCTATTTTGTTCTGGCAGAACAAAATTTCCTCTTCAAAGCTTTTTGAGGAAAAATACAATAATCTTCAAAATTTGGCTTGGACATCAAATGGCTTTTATTAAGCAACATGTTGAGTTGAATATAAATAAATTAAAAACATATTTTAAGTAATAGAGGAAATGCATTTGGAAAACTTTATGTTAGATCTTTCCAAAAGCAAAATAATTGAAAATCTGTTATGATGCTTGGCAAAATTGAGGAAAAGTATTCCTTTTTCTGAGTTTCTTGGGAAGAACTGTAAGGAATTGAGTGGTTTGAGATGTGGAGTTCTGTCTTGTCTTGAACCAGAATAATCTGTTAATATATTTCTTATCTCCAGGAATAGTAACAGAGAAAGTTATAGGAACCTCCCACCCTACATATGGAATTATACTAATAAACTGCACTGAAATTGGTTTTTTAAAATAAGTTTTCTACTGTGTCACACAGAACTAGGGAGAATGAAATAATGCTAAAATTCTAGATACTATGACAGGCACTGAGGGGTCTGATCTGTATCAGGGGGCCCATTTGGCACTCCTAGACACTATTTAATGGCATCCTATATTTGTCCCTGCAGCTGGAAAAAGGTTTTAACCTTGCACATCCTGCTTCCTCTCATAGCTTATAGACTGTAAACTGGAAGAGCCTTTAGATGACCTCTGTCACTATTGTAATTTGAACTCAGGGTATAGGCTGGTTTCTCAGCAAGGTCTTTTTCTGACTTTTTCCATCAAAATTAGGTCTCCCTCTCTTCTAGTTTCTTTATCATAGACCCTATTTATTTTCCTTTCTAACCTTTATTATAATTGGTGACTTCAAATTTTTTTAAGTTTGTCTAATATCTACTCTCCCATTAAACTGTTAGCTGTGGCTTCATTGTATACCTCCCATGTCCAGACAGATATCCTGACAGCTCCCCTCTGATTTCAGCCATTCACTTCATGATGACAGTGTCTTCCCTCTAGGAGTAGTTTATTTTATCCCTGATCTTCTCTCATGCTGCAGTCTTTGTGGTACCCATCCATCAAACAGGCATTTACAACCTGGAATACAGGGAGTTAATGTCTCTGGGGATAACTTTCATCCACTGGGGTCCAGAACTAATGAATAAATCCTTTGGTCTATCCTTGATGGCTGAACTATTGAACTCACTCATATATAGAGTGCACCATTGGCTCCACTAAGCACTATACAATAGTGAATGTAGCCCATTTTCCCAGCTGTCTTGACCAAGGTGTTCACATTCACATTGAAAAGGCCCAGTACTTCTTAAATCAATTAACTGGGTCTGGTCTGTAGAAAATTAACTGTAGTAGTGAATGCTGCATCCTCAGATATAGAATGTGTCAGAATGGTTTATCCTGCACTGTACTGAGGATCCTTTTGCCCTTTGTCAACTAATCAGCTGACCTCCACACTTCATTCTCACCTTTTATTGGACTGTCTCCAGATTCATTCTCAGAATTGTTTTTCAAACAATGACAGGGCTAGTTCTTACTCCTCACTCCCAGGTAGTGTCTATGGAGACCCAGGAATGTCAGTGTTGTTCTGGACCTTGGTGGCATCCACCACCTCTTCTCAATGAGTTCTGACAAGGACATCAGAGTAATCTACAGTCATCTTTTTTATAATCCTCTTTCCAAATGATCTTTGTTGTATCTCAAAATTTCACAGCAATCTGGCATTTAAGTTTATACATAGCTCTATAGTAATTGTTGTGCCTTCAGAGATTGGACATTCAAACCAGTTGACTTTTGAAATTAGCATTCCCAGGGCTTAAATTATTTATAGATTTTCAAAACCAACTCTACTCTTAATTATTATTTGAGGATCGGGAGTAAAGCTTGGCTTTAGAGTCTAAGGGTTACTTGCTGGAGCCAGACAGAGCTCTGAGGAAGACAAATGACTCACTGGTGGTCCCAGGTGCAGAGCCATATGGGAAATGGGAAGGCATATGAGTTTGAGGTTCAAGTCTAAAGCCTCCATATAAGCTTAGAAGGAAAAACTGTTCACCAGTTCTTAAGTATAACATTTACATTAAAATGTGTAACATGTAGATGGTAACCACAATGCACTTTTATTTCTACTTCCCATTATCTCTTTTAAATTTTATTTAGAGGTATATAATCTAGCCCTTCCTCTAGATGAAAATTTGGGCATACCTATGACTTTACTCTTCCCATTTATATTAAGGATGAACAAACAAAAAATCTAGCCATTTTTAATCACAAAAGTCAAAATGCAGAAGTTAAATAAAATTAATGTCCAGTCTCACATAAAAGTTAAAATTTGAAACTTGACTTAGTGTTAAAGATTTGATTGAACCCACTTCAGGCTGAAAGTCTCCAAGAGCAGGAGTGTAAGGTACTTCTGTTCTCTAATTTCTTCATATTCACATTCTCTATTTTCCTTCCAGGGAGGTGGTTGATGCTGGTGAGTCAGTAGGCCGGTTCTTACTTGTCTTGTCAAGAATATTCATTAACTATTTATATAATATTTAGCCTGGCAAATGCCTAAAGTTAGTGACCCTGGGTATGCCCAGCCAATGATGATCTTTATCTTGTGGGTGCTCTTGTGGCACTGCCATGGTAGCCTGCTTGGTCCCCCTTGCTGTAGTTGCCATGATCAGCCAGATGTATCTGTCTCTCAGATGGCCTCTTGTAACCTCTAATTGAGTCCCTGAGCATTCAGCAGCACAACCTCAGCCTTTCTCCTAATGCCCCTTAGCCCATCCAGAAGATTATATGATCAGAACCAAGAGGATGCTGCACTTACTCCTTCCACCACAAGACCTACTCTAGATGGTGGAAAACACATCTGCAGCACTTGGGGGTTCAGGACCCTCTTAGTGCAGTAGCACTAAACTGGTTCTGCCACCAATATTAGTCTACCTGATGATTGCCTTCTGGATTTTCAGAGATGAGATCAAACCCCATCCCTAATTCACTTTAGCTTCTTCAGGCAGGAATCAGACACTATCTTTTAACTGTAGAGATATAACTCTATCTTTTAACTGTAGGGAATATATTACAAAGCACTCTGAGTGATCATCTTATCAAGGAACGTTATCTAAAACTTATAAATAAGGCAAAAAGATTACCATGTGCCCTTTCAAATTTATATCAGAGGAATGTCTGACCAACCTGTCCAAAGGTCATCTGTCACTCTAGATAAAGATAATATTTTTGACTTACCATTTGCTGATAAGTAGGACTCAGGCTCTAAAAAGTCAGATATTAACTTATAGAATATTGATCAGTTGCAAATTATTTTTAATCAGTAGGAATGCAAATGAGATTTTTTCGTAGAGAAGATGATTTATGATTATGACACTTTTGCCCTATAGGACACTATATAATATTCCGTCTAACTTTAAAATATTATTCTGGCATTTGCTTCTCTACTGAAAAAATATATGTGTGTGTGTTTTATATGTATGTAGATATATACGTATTTTTCTTTGAACCAGGTTTGTCATTAGGTGGGTTTACTCATTAGTGAGTTAAATAAATTATTGACACACTATACATTTGAGTGAGAGTTAATTTTCTGCAAATTATCTTTTGATGCCTTCGAGGCTCCCTTTCTAAGCTTGAAGTTAGAAAGTGACACCTTGCTTCTCCTACACTGAAGGTGGCCATTTGAGAGTTCACCAAGGCAACAGGTCCTTTAAAGGACTGTATTCACAAATCTCTTTCACAAAGTCCTTTCCTAACACTCTGATCTCTTATTATATTCATGAAGTGTTCCAGGATTTCTGGAACAGATTTTGAATCACTTTCATTGAAAATCAGCATTTAGACGGGTTTTGTCTCATTCAAGTTTGGCTCCCTGATAAACCATAGTATTTACACCTCAGTCAATCTGAGACTCATTAAGTCATCTTCTGGCATCTTGTTTTACTACTATTAAAGTGAAAGAACAAATTGAAAGAACAAAGGTAAACATGACTATTTTTAAGTTCTGACTCACTTGTAGGAAACTAAGGTTTTATACTTGCAACCCCTTTTTATATAATACTTCCTTTTTCTATGTGGACTCAGCCATACTATTCTTAGGACTTCACATTTTCACAATATTATTGTCTAGAAATTTGGATTGGCCCAGCCTCTATTACCTAGGAAGCTAAAAAATGTTCTCTGTTAATGTGGAGCTGGTACAAGATGCATGCTAAGGAAGGGACTATATTAGAGAAAGTGACTTCACCTCAACTGTTGCCTTCTTAAATATATAACATAATCACTGGGAAGCTAGTATGATCTTTTGAAGATGTTATAGAACCCCATTTTGTAATATTACCAGAATTACTTTTCTAGTTCCTTCTCATCTGAATAGTGTATTTCTTCAAATTGTTCTTGAATGGACTGTGTGGGTTTTTTTGTTTGCTTGTTTGTTTTGTTTTTTTTTAGATGGAGTATCGCTCTATCGCCCAGGCTGGAGTGCAGTGGTGTGATCTCTGCTCACTGCAACCTCCGCCTCATTCTTCTGCCTCAGCCTCCAGAGTAGCTGGGACTACAGGTGTGTGCCACCATGCCCGGCTAATTTTTATATTTTTAGTAGAGATGGGGTTTCACCATATTGGCCAGGCTGGTCTTGAACTCCTGACCTCATGATCGGCCTGCCTTGGCCTCCCAATGTGCTGGGATTCCAGGTGTGAGCCACCAAGTCCGGCCCCTATTAAGGATATTTAACGTTTATTTTAGCCTAACTTTATTCTTGGTGCTTATAGGGTTGAAGTCTGTATATGAGTTCCTTAGTTATAGAGAGTCTCTGTGCACTGGTATCCCCCAATAATGGTTGCAGTAGTTATGTTCTTGGTATGTGGGTGAATTCACTGTCTCCTATGAAGTTGGAATGGCAGGAGTCTCTTGAAGCTTATCTCATTCTCTCATGGTGTATGCTTTGTCTATTTACTTATTTTTTTCCCAGTGTTTTATTTACTGAGTTGACAATTCAGACTTCAGGCCAATAGGGGAGGTATCCCTGGGTAGGCACTGGTTGTAGCTAAGGCAGTTGGGTATAGTGATACTCAGTGATGGGCCAAGGTCCCAGCCTTAATGAGGGTGTCTGGGGGAGCTCTCAATTAGATGTGCTAAAGTTTTGTCAAGTTTAAGAGTGGGAGTTACCTCAGCTCCCCTGCCAGGAAAGCAGGAAGGAGAAATCTCTGAATTGCGAGAAAAATAATTCTCGGAAGGTTGATTATTAAGCCACTTGAGGAGAAATCAGGTAAAGGTGAAAACCAACTTAAAGAAATTCATAAAACCAACACAAGATGTAGAAAATTAAAAAAAATACAAAAAACACTTTTCAGAGAAATAGATATCATAAAGAAAAAACAATCACAACTTTTGAAAATGAAAGACACACTTAGGGAAATGCAAAATGCAGTGAAAAGTTTCAACAATAGGCTAGAAAAAGTAGAAGAAAGAACTTCAGAACTAGAAGACAAGGCTTTCAAAGTAACCCAGTCAGGCAAAGACAAGAAAAAAATTCTAAAAATGAACAAAGTCTTCAAGAAATATGGAATTATGTTAAAAACCTAAGAATAATTGGTGTTCTTGAGGAATAAGAGAAATCTAGAAGTTTGGAAAACCTATTTGAGGGAATAATTGAGGAAAACTTTCCTAGCCTTGCTAGAGATCTAGATATCCAAATACAAGAAGCTCAAAGCTCACATCTCAATAATTACATTGAATATAAATGGCCTAAATGCTCCATTTAAAAGATACAGAAGAGCAGAATGGATAAAAATCCACCAACCAAGTATGTGCTATCTTCAAGAGACTCACCTAACACATAAGAAGTCAGATAAACTTAAAGTAAAGGGGGTGGAAAAAGATATTCCACACAAATGGAAACCAAAACAGGCTTTAAAGCAAAAACAGTAATGACAAAAAACAACAGTATCAGACAAAACAGGCTTTAAAGCAAAAACAGTAATGACAAAAAAAGAAGGACATTATATAATCACAAAAGGATTAGTCCAACAGGAAGATATTATAATCCTAAATATATATACACCTAACATTGGAGCTCCCAAATTTATAAAACAATTATTACTAGATATAAAAAATGATATAGCAACACAATAATAGCAGGGGATTTCAATATTCCACTCACAGCACTAGACAGATCATCAAGACAAAAAATCAACAAAGAAATAATGGACTTAACTACACCCTAGAACAAATGGACTTCACAGATATTTACAGAACATTCTGTCTAACAACTGCAGAATATACATTCTTCTCATCAGCATATGGAACATTCTCCAGGAGAAACCATTTGATGGGCCACAAAACAAATCTCAATAAATTTAAGAGATTTAAATTAAGTATCTTTTCAGACCACAGTGGAATAAAACTGGAAATAAACTCCAAAAGTAACCCTCAAAACTATGCAAATACAAGGAAATTAAATAATCTGCTCTTGAGTAATCTTTGCGTTAACAATGAAGCCAAGATGGAAATTTTAAAAATTATTTGAATTCAATGATAATAGTGACACATCTTATCAAAACCTCTCGGACACAGCAAAAGTGGTGCTAAGAGGAAAGTTCATAGCATTAAATGCCTACATCAAAAGGTCTGAAAGAGCACAAATAAACAATTGCATGTAACACCTCAAAGGACTAGAGAAGCAATAATAAACTTAACCAAACCAGCAGAAGAAAAGTAATAACAAAGATCAGAGCAGAACTTAATGAAATCGAAACAGAAAAATACAAAAGATAAATGAAACAAAAATCTGGTTCTTTGAAAAGATAAACAAGACTGGGCATGGTGGCTCATGCCTGTAATCCTAGCACTTTGGGAGGCCAAGGTGGGCGGATCACGAGGTCCGGAGTTTGAGATCAGCCTGGCCAATATGGTGAAACTCCGATTCTACTAAAAATACAAAAATTAGCCAGGCATGGTGGTGTGTGCCTGTAGTTCCAGCTACTTGGGAGGCTGAGGCAGAAGAATCGCTTGAACCCAGGAGGTGGAGGTTGCAGTGAGCAGAGATTGCGCCACTGCACTCCTGCACTCCAGCCTGAGTGACAGAGTGAGACTCTGTCTCAAAAAATAAAAAAAAATGAAAAAAATGAAAAAAGAAGATAAACAATACTGGTAAATCACCAGTGAGATTAACCAAGACAAGAGGAGAGATGTTTCAAATAAGCTCAATTAGAAATGAAATGGGAGATCTTATAACCAATACCACAGAAATACAAAAGATCATTCAAGGATACTATGAACACCTTTATATGCATAAAATAGAAAATCTACAGGAGATGAATAAATTCCTGGAAATATACAGCCCTTCTAGATTAAATTAGGAAGATACAAACTCTGAACAGACCAATAACAAGCAGCAAGACTGAATCAGTAATTAAAAAAAAAGCCAACAAAAAAGTTCCTGGACCAGACAGATTCACAGCTGAATTACATCAAACATTAAAAAAAAAAATTGGTACCAATCCTACTGAAACTACTTCAAAAGACAGATAAAGAGGGAATTCTTCTTAAATCATTCTATGAAGCCAGTATCACCCTAATACCAAAATGAGGAAAGGTCATAATAAAACAAACAAAAAAAAAGGAAACTACAGATCAATATCCCTGATGAACATAGATGCAAAAATCCTCAACAAAATATTAGCTAACTGAATCCAGCAGCATATCAAAAAGACAATAAAATACATCATGATCCAGTGGGTTTAATATCAGGGATGCAAGGATGGTTTAACACATACAAGTCAATAAATGTGATCTATCCCATAAACAGAATTAAAAACAAGAATCATATGATCATCTTAATTGACACAGAAAAAGCATTTGACAAAATCCAGCATCTTAAAAATAAAAACCCTCAACAAAATTGTCATAGAAAGGACATACTTTAAATTAATAAAAGCCATGTATGACAAACCCACAATGAACATCATACTGAATGGGGAAAATTTGAAAGCATTCCCCCCAAGAACTGGAACAAGACAAGGATACCCACTTTCACCACTTCTATTAAACATATTACTGGAAGTCCTAGCCAGAGCAATCAGACAAGAGAAAGAAATAAAGGGCATCCAAACTGGAAAAGTCAAAGTGTTTCTATTTGACAATCATATAACTGTATACCTAGAAAATCCTAAAGACTCGTCCAAAAAGCTTCTAGACCTGATCAATGAATTCAGTTAAATTTCAGGATACCAAATCAATGTATAAAATGAGTAGCACTGCTATACACCAACAATGACCAAACTGACATCAATCAATAACTCAGTCTCTTTCACAACAGCTGTGAAAAAATAAAAAGAAATACTTAGAAACACATTTAGTCAAAGAGGTCAAAGATCTCTACAAGGACAACTACAAAAGACTGCTGAAAGAAATTTTAGATGACACAAACAAACAAAAACATATCCCATGCTCATGGATGGGTAGAATAAATATTGTGAAAATGACCATACTGCCAAAAGCAAGCTATAGATTCATTGCAATTCAAAATGCCATCATCATTCTTCACAGAACTAGTTAAAACAATCCTAAAATCCATTTGGAACCAACAAAGGGCCCACAGAGACAAAGCAATACCAAGCAAAAATAACAAATCTGGGCCAGGCACAGTGGCACACGTCTGTAATCCCAACACTTTAGGATGCCAAGGCAGGCAGATCAAGAGGTCTGGAGATCGAGACCATCCTGGCTCACACGGTAAAACCCCGTCTCTACTAAAAATACAAAAAATTAGCCGGGTGTGGTGGCATGTACCTGCAGTTCCAGCTACTCGAGAGGCTGAGGCAGGAGAATGGCGTGAACCCAGGAGGCAGAGGTTTCAGTGAGCCAAGATGGCGCCACTGCACTCCAGCCTGGGCGACAGAGGGAGACTCCATCTCAAACAAACAAACAAACAAACATCTGGAGGCATCACATTACCCGACTTCTAATTATTCTACAAGACTATAGTTACCAAAACAATATGGTACTGGCAGAAAAATAGGAATATACACCAATGGAATAGAACAGAGACCCCAAAAATAAAGCCAAATACAGCTAACTGATCTTCGATAAAGCATACAAAAATATAAAGGGAGGAAAGGACACACCATTCAATAAATGGTGCTGGGATAACAGTAAGCCACATGTAGAAGAACGAAACTGGATGCTCATCTCTCACCTTATAGACAAATCAAATCAAGATGGGTCAAAGACCTGAAGCCATAAATATTCTAGAAGATAACATCAGAAAAACTCTTACAGATATTGACTTAGGCAAAGAATTCATGACAAAACCCAAAAGCAAAAGCAATAAAAACAAAAATAAATAGATGGGACATAACTAAACTAAAAAACTTTTTCACAGCCAAAAATAATAATAATAATAATAATAATAATAATAATAATAATAATAATCAGCAGAGTAAACAGACAACCCAGGAAGTAGGAGAAAATATTCACAAACTATGTATCTGACAAAGGACTAATATCCAGAATCTACAAGGAACTCAAACAAATTAGCATGAAAAAAAACATATAATCCCATCAAGAAGTGGGCAAAGAACATGAATAGACAATTATCAAGAGAAGATATACAAATGGTCAACAAACATGAAAAAATGCTCAACATCACTAATTATCAGATAAATGCAAATTAAAACCGCAATGAGATACCACCTTGCTCTTGCAAGGATGACCGTAACTTAAAAATAAAAAAATAATAGATGTTGACATGGATGTGGTAAAAAGGGAACTCTTTTACACTGCTGGTGGGAATGTATGGTGATTCCTTAAAGAACTAAAAGGAGAACTACCGTTCGATCCAGCAATCCCACTACAGCGTATCTACCAAAAGAAAAAGAAGTTATATGGAAAAGACACATGCACACACATGTTTACAGCAGCACAATTCCCACTTGCCAAAATATAGAATCAACCTAAATGCCCATCAACCAACCAGTGGATAAAGAAAATGTGGTATATATATACACCATGGAATACTACTCAGTCAAAAAAACAGAACAAAATAATGGCCTTTGCAGCAACTTGGCTGGAGCTGGAGGCCATTATTCTAAGTGAAGTAACTCAAGAATGGAAAACCAAATATTGTATGTTTTCTCTCACTTATAAGTGGGAGTTAAGCTATGAAGATGCAAAGGCATAAGAATGACATAATGGACTTTGGGGACTTGGGGGGAAGAGTGGGAGTGGGGTGAGAAATAAAAAACTACATATTGGGTACAGTTAACACTGCTCGGGTGATGGGTACATCAAAATATCAGAAATCACCACTAAAGAACTTATTCATGTAACCAAAAATCACCTCTTCCCCCAAACTATTGAAATACATATATATACTCAATAAAATATATATAACATCACTTTGTTGAAAGTGAATTTGTAGAATACTAGATTTCCTACATAAAGCCTATATTCAAAAATATCAACTGAAAAAGTTTATAAATTATCAACTAGGGAATGATTGCCTGATTAGGGTTATATAAATTTTGGCAGAATTACCTCCACCTTGCTCCAGTGTCTATTATGACAATAGGCTCAAGCAACATCTGTTAAGTTTTCTTTTCAAGTGTTCATTCACAGACAGACACATTCTCTATCACTTGAATACTTGAAAAGATAATAAATGCAAGACATTTCACTTAACACAGCCTCCAAACAGGGAAGCAGTATTTGTTTGCAACTATTGACTAAATGGAACTGACAAGAACTTTCAGGTTGGGATTTTCCTTGCTAATTGTATTTCACTTTCAGATGATTGAAACTTTGGAAAATGATGAGGTCAGTATAGGCAAGCCCAAAGTGGTTGAGATTTTTATTATCCTCTTAGATGCATAAAACGATGTCATCTTAACAAATTCTACAAAGTTTCAGACTTCTCTTAAAAGTGAAAAAAATCTGTTAATTGCAAACATTAGGATCCCAAGTTGATTATTATAGTGCTGCATTTTCTGGGAAAAATATTAAATAGAAAATGGTCACCCATCCTACCATTTTATGTTCAGGCCCTGTTCTCTTTGACATGCTTAAAATGCAAGTTGTATGGAAACTCTAAAAAAGAATTCATTGTGCCAGAATTGACAGAGGGCAGCAGAAAACTTACAAACTTTCCTCTAGTTGATTCAAAAAGTAATTAATTGCAGCTGCTGTTTTGCAGCAAGATAGGGAAATGTCATCAAATACAGAAAACTCCAGAAAGAGTGAAAAGGCCTTCCTGTAATTCTCCCAGCCTAAACGGAAATGAGATGAATGCTTTGTGACTGCTGTAGGTAATGAGACTTTGTAAGATTATCATAAATAGGGTGCATAATTAGCACTTTACAATTCAGAAAGCATTTTGTGTTGTTTTTGTGAATTTGGAGTTGGCCCCAATGACTTGACAAAACATTCACTCTCCCTAAATCAGGCAAACATTTTGGCTTCAGACACTGATTCCAAATACATGGACTGTCAATTATCTGTGAAGACAAATTTAAAAAATAATCAAGACATTAACTACAGAGAGAGGAACTAACAGTAAGAAGGTGGCTATCATGTATCAGCCAGGGGCCATCTGCTCTACAAAGCACACATTACCTGTATTAGGTCGTTTGATCTGCATAAGGCGCTATTGCTTTTCTCTTTCACAGATAAGAAGCTGAGGTCTGGAGAGGTAAACGTGATCCATATTCATAGATAATAAGTGATATTTAAACACAGATCTGCCAAATTTAAAATACTCGAGTCTCTGAATTCCAAACCCTACCTTCCACAGTTTCTGCAATGTCTGGAAATTTATATTGTGGATTTTTTTCCTTTGGCATTCTCTTTGGAAAAGTGTTTGCTATGCACTGTAGTGAAAAATCTTCCAGAAGAGCACATGTATTTACCACAGAGAAACTGATGAAGGCAGCCACGACAGACAAAAAGAAAATGTTCAAATTATTAACGGATGAGAGTTAAGTACCATCCATCACTCTGTACTTTTATTTGCAAAGGTGAACTCATAAACATCCAGAAGATTTTATTTACTTTTGGTAAGGATTAAAAATAAAGTGGCTAAAATTGAATGAGTAGCTCTGTTTTTATAATGATGGGAAGGCATCATCAGCTTAGAAGAACATCAGTAAAGAGGAAGGGATACATATCTCTTTATGACTAGATATAAAACGGGATTTAGCCCTCAAATTGTATCATGGTCAAAAGCATCTTGAAAACTATGTTGTGAACTAGAATCTGTGTAATGTGGGACTGGGGTAAAGGAAATGCAAGGAAAAAGAGTAGGCCAGGTTACTGAAGAACCCCTTTACTTGTACTAGTTGGGGTAGACTCCAAACTAATGCAACAAAAAAAAATACAAGACACAATGGCTTAAAGATTATAAAAACTTACTTTTTTCACATAATATTTAAACATAAGAAGTTCAAGGCTGCCAGGGAAGCTCTATTCTTCTCAAAATACGCTTGATCTCTGGATCCCAGGCACCTCCCTCTGCCATCATACCTGCATGCCAGCCAGTGGCAGAGGAGAGTGACAAGGAGAAAGCAGACTTGCTCCACATAAGAGCAAGATCCAGAAGTGGCCCATATGCCATAGGGCTCCATCACCTGGCCACAGCGGGGCTGGAAGAGGTGGAGTCTCTAGTTAACTGCACAGGGGTCAGCTAAGACTTTGGAGAGCAAAGACTTTGGTGGGCAACTAGCAATATCTGCCACATCTGCCAAGGGAAGGAAGGAACCTGGGTGGCTGAGCTGAAGGAAACATCTTGGTTTAAAGGCTGAGTTGAGAATTACCCTCTGTCTCTTCAAATCCCTGCCCTTTTTCTGAATACCTCTCCTCTTCCCTCTATCTCTGGAGTGTTACAAGATAGAGAAAAGAAATATGAGTTGTTATGCATGCAAAGGTGGAGTTTTGACACTGAAATCCTATTATATATCATTACAGCTTTCTGGGGTTGATAGTCACACACACACCACCAACAACAACAACAACAAAAGAAAATGAAAAATAAGCAAGTGGGAAATAAAGGACCAACCTTATTTTTTACCAGCCACACCTTCTATTTTAATTTTTTTTGTAGAGACTCAAATGATCCCCCTGCCTTGGCTTCCCAAAGTGCTGGCATTACAGGCGTAAGCCACTGTGCCTGGCCCTAACATCTTTTATACAAACAGGTGTAGGTGTAGGACTTTTCTAGAGAGATATATGTATATATACATGTTTTTTTTTCCTTCAGAGACAATGAGCCTGTAAGCCAAAGTAGATGGCCCTACTCCTTTCCATTTGTGCAGTTTGTGGAGACGACTCTGAATCTACTTCCCCTACAGGTCACATGGACAAGATTGGGAAGTATGCATCACACACCATCCCCCAATCTGAGATGGAACTGCAAGTGTGAGGAGGCTGGTGGCTCTGCTCAGGGTATGCCTGCACCTGCATCACCGACACAGAAGAGTGAATGCTGCACCCGGGGGCAAAAGCTGGAAGCAAAATCCCACTGATGATTGGATGCCTTTTAAATGACATTCAATACTGAGTTCTGACCAGTCACTTCAGCCTCTCCTTCCTTTGGGGAAGTAGTAAAGGATAAAGAAAGAAAGAAGTAGTAAAGGCATATTTTTTCCTTCTTTTCAGGTTGAAGTGTTAAAATAAGACTAGAACATAATACTGTATAGAAAAGAGTACAACAAAACTGAGCCATCCATCCACTGGGTGATTGGCCCTTCTCTGCTAAAGTGGTAATTCAAAGAGAAATGTTTAAAACCAAAAGACCTTAGGATAACATAAAATAGACAGGCCCAGATATGATTCTACACGTGGTAGCAATCTAAAGACAACAAGACACAAAGATGGAAACACATCTTTCATACTGTTCTGCCACATAGCAAGAAGAAGAGACATTTTAAAGTAGCAAACAAGGCCGGGCGCGGTGGCTCACGCCTGTAATCCCAGCACTTTGGGAGGCCGAGACGGGCGGATCACGAGGTCAGGAGATCGAGACCATCCTGGCAACACGGTGAAACCCCGTCTCTACTAAAAAAAAAAAATACAAAAATTAGCCGGGCATGGTGGCGCACGCCTGTAGTCCCAGCTACACGGGAGGATGAGGCAGGAGAATGGCGTGAACCCGGGAGGCGGAGCTTGCAGTGAGTCGAGATCGCGCCACTGCACTCTAGCCTGGGCGACAGAGCGAAACTCCGTCTCAAAAAAAAAAAAAAAAAAAAAAGTAGCAAACAAAATCTGGATGTTAAGAATTTATGGTCCAAGTATATTGCTTTTTAAGCGGGATGAAGAGCTCCCTGCTGCAAGCCACCATCGTGGTCAGGGCTTTTTTGATATCCTACAGCTCAAGAGAGGCTGGTGCTCAAGTCACAAATACATTACTTGACCTGCTGATGTATACTTAGCCCTAAGGATTGTATCTGGGAACCCTCACAAGTCCCTGAGTCTTTCCTTCTATTTATGTCTCAGTTCTGCTGCTGCTGGAATCGGAGGGAAGCTAACATAGGCTTTTAAAGGGAAGGCGCTTCTGAAGGTTTATCAACTCAGAAAGCAGAGTCTAAATTTAGTGTGCATGTAATTGTAAGTCTCAGTTTTCCCATTAGTAAAATGAAAATAATAAGTATTCAAACCATTGGGTTATTATGAAGATGAATTAGCATCATAAATGCCAAGAGGGAACACAATGTCTTATATGATGTGAGAATTCAACACTTTTTTTTGATAAAATTTACCATTCCTTTATGTTAAAAACTCTCAGTAAACTGGGTATTGAAGGAACATATTCTAAATAATAAGACCCATCTCTGACAAACCCACAGTCAACACCATACCGAATGGGCAAAAGCTGGAAGCATTCTGCTTGAAAACCAGCCCTGGAAAAGAATGCCTTCTCACATCACTCCTGTTCAACATAGTATTGGAAGTCCCAGCCAGAGCAATCAGGGAAGAGAGAGAAATAAAGGGCATCCAAGTAGGAGAAGAGGAAATCAAACTATCCCTTTCTGAAGATGACTTGATTCTATATCTAGAAAACCCCATAGTCTCAGTCCCAAAAATACTTCAGTTGATAAACAATATCAGCAAAGTTTCAGGACATAAAATCAATGTACAAAACTCACTGGTATTCCTATACACCAACAACAGCCAAGCTGAGAGTCAAATCAGAAACACAATCTCATTCACAATTGTCACAAAAAGAATAAAATACCTAGGTATACAGCTAATCAGGGAAGTGAAATATCTCCACAACAAGAATTACAAAACACTACTGAAAGGAATCAGAGATGACACAAAAAAATGAAAAAAGATCCCATACTCATGGATAGGAAGAGTCAGTATCGTTAATATGGCCATACTGCCTAAAGCAATTTACAGATTCAATACTATTTCTATCAAACTACCAATGACATTCTTCACAGAACTAGAGAAAACTATTTTAAAACCACATGGAACCAAAAAAGAGCCCAAACAGCCAAAGCAATCCTAAGCAAAAAGAGCAAAGCTGGAGGAATCACATTAACCAACTTCAAACTATACTACAGGGCTAAAGCAGCCAAAGCAGCATGGTACTGGTACAATAACAGACACATAGACCAGTGGAACAGAATAGAGAGCCCAGAATAAGGCCATACACCTATAATTATCTGATCTTCAACAAGGCTGACAAAAACAAGCAATAGACAAAGGAATCCCTATTCAATAAATGATGCTGGGATAGCTGGCTAGCCATATGCAGAGGATTGAAGCTGGACCCCTTTATTACACCATATACAAAAATCAACTCAAGATGGACTAAAGACTTAAATGTTAGACCCAAAATTATAAAAACCCTAGGTAATACCATCCTTGACATAAGAACTAGCAAAGATTTTATGGTGAAGACATCGAAAGCAATCATAACAAAAGCAAAAATGGACAAATGGGATCTAGTTAAAAGCTTTTGAGCAGCAAAAGAAACTATCAGCAGAGTAAATAGAAAACTAAAGAATGGGAGAAAATATTTGCAAGCTATGTATCTGACGAAGGTCTAATATCCAGCATCCATAAGGAACTTAAACAATTTTACAAGAAAAAATCTATTAAAAAGTGGGCAAAGGACATGAACAAACACTTTTCAAAAGAAGATATACATACAGCCAACAAGCACATGAAAAAAATTCAGTATCACTGATCATTAGAGAAATGCAAATCAAAACCACAATGAGATACCATCTGACATTGGTAAGAATGGCTACTATTAACAAGTCAAAAATAACAGATGCTGGCAGAATTGTGGAGAAAAGGGAATGCATATATATACACGGTTGGTGAGAGTGTAAACTAGTTCAACCATTGTGGAATGCAGTATGGAAATTTCTCAAAGACCTAAAAACAGAACTACCATTCAATCTGACAATCCCATTACTGGGAATATACCTCAAAGAATAAAAATTGTTCTGTCATAAAGACATATGCATGGGTAAGTTCTTTGCAGCACTATCCACGATAGCAATGACATAGAAGCAACCTAAATGCCCATAAATAGTAGATTGGATAAAAAAATGTGGTACATATACATTATGGAATACTACACAGCCATAAAAAATTACAAGATCCTTTGCAGGAACATGGATGGAGCTTGAGGTCATTATCCTTAGCAAACTAAGGCAGGAACAGAAAACCAAATACTACATGTTCTCATTTATAAGTGGGAGCTAAATCATGAAAACACATGGACAGAAAGGTGGAAACAAGAGACACTGGGGCCTACCAGAGGTTTGAGGGTGGGAGGAGGGAGAGGATCAGGGAAAGTAACTATTGGGTGCTAGGCTTAATACCTGGGTGACAAAATAATCTGTATAACAAATCCCCATGACACGAGTTGAAAAACCTGCACATGTACTCCTGAACCTAAAATAAAAGTTTTTAAATAAAGGAGTCAGCACATTATTAAAATTGCTATTGTTATGGATTTGATTAGCCATACAATATGGTCAGATTCAGGCACAAAACAAGAATTAGCATATGCTTTTACAGCAAAAGATATACAACCTAGTAGAAGACAGACATAAAATGAAATTAGAACAACAGAATAACACTTGTTCAGTAATTGACATCTTTACTGAATATGTTACCTGTCAGGAGATGTTTTATAGAGGAAGTCACAAATTTTACCTAATTTAACTCAATAAGAAAAAATTAACAATTTTGAAATTCTATTTTAATCTCTAAATCCGTATACATAAAAAGAGTCTTACCTGTAATTTCACCCATCCAGGAAACGACACTGACAATTCAGGTTTTTCCCCCAAGCTGCGAAACATATCTGTTGTTTCACATCTTTATGTTCAAAGCCTATCTCTATCCCCACCTAGCTTTTAAAGAATGAATGACATTTCCTTGTGTGGTGTTTATAAACATCCAGAAATAATGTACATAAAGCACCTAGCTGGTGTTCCATACACTGAGCACTGAAGGAACATCATCAAACTAATAGGTTCTCTGAATGACAAAGAGATATTTCCAGCTGGAAAGGCTTGGTTAGAGATGCTTGTGCTTCTGCAAATGCCCTTCTTGCCTTTCAGTCAAGAAAATAGAGGGTGTAGCTGGGGGTTGGGCAAACAACTTGGTTAGGGGCAGTAGACACAAGGGGTGGAGAATGTGGGAGCTTTCTGTTGGCTAGTTTAACCCCTTTCCTATTCGGAAAAAAAAGTGCAGCTCGCTACCAGAGCTCATTTAATTTTAGATAAACACGCTCATTGAGGCTGAAGCAAATCTGATTTTCAATGTGAAAATAAAATATAAAAACTGTTCCTGAAGTTCTTTCTTTACTTCTTAACAGAGAGCATAAAATCGTCTGAATCATCAGAATCACCTATTTAGGATGAATCTTTGGCCAACAACTGTTCGAGAATGATGTTAACATCATGTGTAGAAAATGCTACGTTTTCTAGGATTTGACGTTTTCAGCTATCGAGAATTACTATATTTTATACATGGAAAGACCACTACTAAAACCAGAATGGCTTAAATAGACTGATGTCTTGTTTCCAAAGTCGATATACCAGAGTGATGTGAAAATAATAATGAAAGCAAGATTATTCGTGGCAAAATTATCTCAGCATAAACACCACAGCCACAAGCACCACCAGCTAGTATTCTTGGGGCAAACGGGAAAAGGATGAAAAGAATGCTTATTGAGTATTGAAAAGAATGTGATTACGTGTCAAGAAATCTTCCCTTTCTAATGAGTATCTATTAAAAAAACTCTTGACTAGCAGTTTTAACTTGCTGGTAAGATTAATGAAAGACAGAATTTGCGGAGATAGTGCATGAAATAACATGACAATTGCATTCAGTCTATACCTGTGTACAATGAATCACATGACTTTTATTATAAAGGTCTGTGTGGCTAAGTAGCTGATCTGACACACAAATATTTGCTGATATATGAAAGAAAGAATGAGGAATGGATAGCATACTGGGTAGTTACCAGGAAATCGATACTTTCAATAGCTTGGGCTTTCTTGTAATGTTGTCTGTACTTAGCACATGTTCAAGTTCTTCCCCAGGTATGGGTGCTTTTCTAATTTCTTGTCACTCCAAGAATGACATCCCAAGCCAGATCACCTTTATTGCTCAAAGAAATGTGTATGGAGCATCACAGGCATTCCTATTTCCTCTGACATTTATGTTTCCTACAGTGTCCCTTTCCAGCATATCCTGAAATAGGACATGTTCAGTAATATGAAATTTGTTGTCTGACAATGTTATCAATAGAGCAGAAACTTTCCTCAAGATCCCCTGAGACCTGTGTCTCATATTCATAAAAGTAGTTATTACTTTAGGTGCTGCTGGACTGTGAGTCTCTCTATAGTTATTAATTACAACTCTCAGCTGCACTGGATAGAAAGGAGCTGGTGCTTTATGAGTTTTCTCATTTCCCCAATCCTGCAATGTTTTGGACTCTGAATGGGGCAAAAAGTAATTCACAAAAGCAACAGTTGTTGTTTGTCTCATACAATTAAATTCTTGGAATTGACTCCAGAGGTGATGTTTTGAGGGGAAACAGAGTATATTGGTCATACAATGTCTTTGCCATTTGTTGAAATTGGAGTTCGATTTGGAGATGAAATCTGATAAAGTAAACGGAAAGTTGCACTGGTGTTTGGAGACCTAGGTTATTGTCTGAGTACTTGTGCTGACTTTCTGGGAAGCTTTAGCTAAACATATTATGCTCTTCTGTGCTATAATTTCTTCATGTGCAAATGTCAGTAGCTGTGTCTACTTTTCTATTAGATGAAAGATTTTTACTTGTAATTGCATGTATATAGCAAGGTACTTAACTCTAAATTACAGTCATGGCATGCAAACTGTAGAGTCACACAGTGTCCTGTGCTTGGTTTAAGAGTCAGCTGCCACTGCATTGAAAATTAATAATTTTTGAATAAGGCACCCAAAATTTTTATTTTGCCATACCCCAGAAATTATGTAGCTGGTACTGATTCCATTATTGTGATTACATTCATTTGTAACTAAGAAAACTTTACATATATAGATCTCCACACTAAATTTTTTTTCAGTGATATAAGTTAACAATTTATCCAATGTTTTAAAAGAGAAGTTTTTTATTAGGTCGGTGCAAAAGTAATTGCATTGCGGTTTTTTCCATTGAAAGTAATGGTAAAAACCGCAAATACTTCTGCACCAACTCTAATTGTTCCTATCCCATAATAGCACTCAATATTAACAAGTTTAATATACTACTACTATGAGTAATTTCTACTTGATTTTTTTATAAGATACAGCCATCATTGTCTTATGGGAAAACAAATTAAATCCTTGGGGACAAATGAATTGATGAACTTTTGAAAAATATACCTTGGGCCAAGGTCACATATTCTATACAACTTCATTACTTTTGAAAATACTGAAAGTTTTAGGTAAAAACTGTCTTCTGTCACCCAAAGTCCCTGAGTACCTGACAGCTGTCAAGTAGAATCCTAGACACAAGTCAACTCAGCAATACCTAGTAGAGTGGTGGCCACTGCTGTGTCTGTCATTATAAGCTATAATTAATCAATTTTTTCTTGAAAATATATTACTGAATATGATGAGTAAGTGATATTTACAATATTTATGGGGGTGAGGAGTATGATTAACCAGTTTAGTTAATAAGACACATTTTCAGTAGAGCCATCCACATTAGGTTTTTCCTTGTGACTTACTTTCCCCTGTCATATAGAACTAATAAGTTAGAAGTTCCTATTTCTCTGGAATTGGAACTTTTTCCTTACCTTTTCTTTCTTTTGGAGGAGGGGAAGGGAAGGAAGGTCATAGAGTTGCTATTTGCTTCTGTTCATACACATATAATTGACACATGAACCAATCACAAATGGGTATCCTTGTTGCATTTCCAGTTTGGGGCTTATCAGCTTTCACTTAATCAGTTTGCCAATCACAAAACTCATGATGTTAAAATGGTGTTTGGAAGAAACTCCCCTCTCATATCATATGTGTGCTGTCATTATGTTCCTTTTGTCATATATGAAAACATTTTTGCTTGAGGGAGCTTATAGTTTTGTTTGAAATGTAAACATGTAACTGTTGATTTAAAAATTATGTCCAATTTGAAGATGAAATCTGATAAAGAGTTAGGCTAGAATTAGGAGACCTAGGTTATTGCCTGTGTACCCCAAATGATTTATTGAGAAGCTTTAGACACACCATACCTTTCTGTGTTACTACAGTAAAGTATAGAAGGACCACCTAGTTTGAACTGGAAGAGTAAGAAAGGAAACTACATTTCAGCTTATACCTGGATGACACTAGTAGCTGTTTGAACTCCCCTGCTTGACTTTAAAGACAGCTTGTAAGCAGAAGGTATGAACCAAAGAGAATGGATAAGTAGAAGGTATATGATGAAAACTACAGTCTGGTCAAATATGAGGAAATAAATTGAAGTTAAGGAGAGACTTAATTTTTTTAAAAAAGGTAAGAAACAGTAGTTAGTGGGAGATTATCTGTATTAAAGGCCAGCAGTTTATGGTTGCAGAATCTGAGGATAAGTCAAATTTAGAGTATGCAGTGCTTCTGGGGAATGTTTTCTTTCTTTTAAAAGGTGCTATGTGAAAGCTCCATGAGGATGTAGGGTCCCTCTTATTCTCTGCCATGTCACAAGGCATATAGACAGTGTTCTCAAGAATAAGCCCCCAATATCATGTGTTGGATATTTGAATGAATTGTCCAGCCAGTATTTAAGTAAGTAAGTTGAAACTGAGAAGACATATTTGTCTGATCCATATCATGCTAAAATCTGTAACTAAGTTGCATGCCTGTAAATTGTCTCCCTGGATAGCTTCCTTACACTTCAGTAAAACACTTTGTGCACATAACTAAGGGCTATGCTTATTTTAGATGAACAGACAGAAAAGGAAAATCACATCATGGATTATGAATGGAGTAAAAATGTCCAAGAATGATTGAACCTCTTACTTTACCATTAAAAATAAGTTTTAAGAGCTATTTCAAAGTCTAAAACATAATTTTTAACTCTTTCTTCTGTGTGTGATTTTAATATACTAACCTCTCCATTGGCAGAGTGTAAGGGGTTCTAGCAGGTCAAGGACTTCTTAATGACAACCTAGAAACATTTGTCTCAGTACTGAATAGACAGCTTCCAGAATTTTCATCTAGATCACTTGAAGGACTCATAACCAAATCTAGGACCCAATATATTCTCTGACAGTGAATTTTTTGGGGGTAAAGTTATAGACTATTGATAATGTTCTATAAATTTCCATTTGCTTTTCTTATATTGACTATTTTAAAAATACCTAATTCTGAACTCCGAAAAGGGTGCATTTATGGATGTGATTTTAACTACAGAAAAACAAATTATACCAAAGAGAAGCTATTTATTTAGCTAATGACAGAATGTTAGTATAAACCAGTGACATGCATCATGTGAGAAACCATTAAAAGTAGATTAAAAAATGCCTTGAAGGAATAATGGAATTCAAATGAAAATATTTTTAATGAAAACATATAGGAGAAGATCAATATAATTAGTTTTTAAAAATATTTTGAGCATTGATTTTTAAAAAAATTTAGGATATTTATTTACCATGAGGAAAAAAAAGAGTAATTAGTGATTGATTCTTCAGGCAGAGTAAAATCTATTGTTACAGAGAATATTTTAAGAATCTAATGAAGGAATGTAAGCTGGAGTCCCTTATATTAAGATGATTAAATGAATCATGTTTCACGTATTTAATCAAGCAAAATCATGTCAGTGAAGTAAAGGGCATTATTTTGAATCACAAGGGCTAATACTGTATAGCTTCATATTCTCCTATCAATTACAGTCTCACAAAGATTTGCAGCCCTGCCCTGTGGGGCTCAAGAGAGGGCATGTGGGTCATTGTCAGAACCACATAGGAAGAAAAGTTCCTTGGAAGGTGGGCCAATGTTTTATTTTTCTTGTATGGACAGCACATTTAGCAGAAATGAGGAAAGGCCGTGAAGAACTTACAGATAAAAGGGACTTAATCTATTCTATTTTACTTTCTTAAAATTTTTATTCTACTCCTCCTCTCTAAAGAGAAAACTATAATTCTTCCAAGGTATAAGTAACATAACATGAGATATCTACTTAATCAGAGTTCCCTGAGCAGGGAAACTTCAAAATTTCAAAAATTTGAAAGTAAGTTCTGTGCTAGAATATGAAATTTGGTAGGAAAACAGCCAGCACCTGTGTTTAGTCAATAGGGTTTGGGTGTCTCAGTACTAGTAGGGTCCATGCTGTGTGGAGTCCCTGGGTTTCTGTTGGCCATAATGTGATAAACAAAAGAGATATTCCTCAGAGATGTGGGGAACCTTTAATGGATCTCATTATTCTTGGTTTGGATATGACTGACTTGCTTGTTTGCTTTTTTATTTATTTATTGAGACAGAGTCTCGCTTTGTTGCCCAGGCTGGAGTGCAATGACACGATCTCAGCTCACTGCAACCTCCACCTCCTGGGTTCAAGTGATTCTCGTGCCTCAGCCTCCCAAGTAGCTGGGATTACAGGTGCCCACCACCACACTCAGCTAATTTTTTCTACTTTTAATAGAGACAGGATTTCTCCATGTTGGCCAAGCTGGTCTCGAACTCCTGATCTCAGGTGATCCACCTGCCTCAGCCTCCCAATGTGCTGGGATTACAGGCATAAGTCACTGCATGACTTGCTTATTTTTATGATTCCTGAAGAACATGAGCTCTGAGGTCTCTATTAAGGATATAAAAGCCTGTCTCTCCTCCCAGGTCCATCCTACCTCAACAATAGTGCCTTTGGAGAGTTTAAATGATTGCTTTGTTCCCCTTTTTACAGCTGGACCTCTTTCACCTTTAGTTAGAGCTCTTCTGTAGTTCATTTTCAAATCCATCTATCGTATATACATGTTTACCCTTTTCAGGATTTGTGAAACTAAAACAAAACATCTGTGGTCGATTAAAGATGGTTGGTTGCAAATACTTTGCTATTCCTCCAATTTAGGTGTGGAATCTAATCATGCTCCCCTTGAATCTGGCCTAGCTTATGGACTTATTAACCAGTGGATACTGCAGAAGTAATTTTACGAAGTCCTGAGGGTAGATCATACTAAGTCTTGCAACTTCTGCCTGGACCTCTTAAAACATTCCTTCTTGGACCCTTTAGTCTCCATATAAGAAATCTGACTACTCACCTGGAGGGAACTTGTGGAGAGGGCCTGAAACCAAATGAAGAGGGACGGGTCACACAGGAGTTTACGTTTTCAGCCTTCCCAAACAAGGGACCAACCATGTGAGTAGCTATATTGGACCTTTGGTCTAAGAGGGATGCTGGATCTCTCAGACTGAAAGAAGGGAAGAAAAGCAATATGGGACCTCCTTCTATCAAAAGACTGAAAATGCAGTTGCAGCTGAGGACTACGAAGAAAATAGGAGTTCAGGAAACAATGTAACCATAGCAAAACAAGATAATTCAACAACAGAGAGAATTACACCTCGAGTAGGAAAACTGCAATAGGGGGAGCAGATCTGAAAACTGATAAATAAAAGTGCTAGTTACTCAATAATCACAAGGAAGATAACTAAAGGTAGCCACAAATAGGAGGGAATTCTAAAATCAGCATATAAATGCGCCTCAATTTTTTTTTTTTTTTTTTTTTGAGATGGAGTCTCGCTCTGTCGCCCAGGCTGAAGTGCAGTGGTGCGATCTCGGCTCAATGCAAGCTCCACCTCCAGGGTTCACACCATTCTCCTGCCTCAGCCTCCAGAGTAGGTGGGATTACAGGCACCTGCCACCATGCCCGGCTAATTTTTTGTATTTTTAGTAGAGACGGGGTTTCACTGTGTTAGCCAGGATGGTCTCAATCTCCCGATCTCATGATCCACCCACCTAGGCCTCCCAAAGTGCTGGGATTACAGGCTTGAGCCACCGCGCCCGGCCAATGCTCCTGAAATTTTTGACTAGCCTTTTAGCTCTGTATTAACAAAAACTTGCATATAAATAATCTTTAAAGAGCTTTCTTAATAAATGTTCTCAATGACTACTGCTTATATTTTACGGACCACCCTGAACAAGAATAAAGCTGCTAATATGTAGTATTCTTTTTTTTTTTTTTTTTACCTTGTGGTTTATTGTCAGCAAAAAATAAAATAGGATTTCTCTCTGTAAAGGGGAATGGAATACTAAAATCAGGTTGCTAACTAGAATTATTTGTCAAAAAAAGATAAGTACTGTCTAAGAACAAGAATGCTAAGAATGACATGATTGTGATAATGACCTAATCCCTACTCCCTCATTTTGTCTTTGAGGAAGACACGAATTATATTCTCTGAACCGATTTATTGAAAAATGTTTCATTAAAGGAGCAAGAACATCTTTGGGAAGAAATGTAATGGTTATTATCTGTGCTAAGATGCTAGTGAGAGACAATGAAATTGGATAGATTCTTTGGATTCTATGATTACAAGAATGATATTGCCATAAGGCTCTTTGGCCATGGCTAATGGATTATGAGGTCTCTTGGACTGAAATAATTGGGCAGACGATTAATAAATTATTGGATATATATTTTTAAATAGCACCAGAACTAGTGAACAGAAAATGATTTTCTATCATTTCCATGATAGAAAATCTTCACTCGTTTCCCCATTTTCCCACTTGGGTCATTTCAGTTTCTTTTCCAAGTATACAACTTTTCTGTTAGTTCTACTTATTTGATTATTTGTCATATTGCCTCTTACACTTTTGTGTTATTAATTCATATTAATATGTAACTTTTGTGAATACTTTATTTCCAAAACTCATCTGTAATTTTTCTCAAGAAGGAGCCATGTTCTGTGCTTCTCATTTCCCAAAGTGCCTAGCTCAACAAAGAACGTATGCTATCCATCTGCAATTACTTTCTTGAATTGACTGGACACAACATCTAGACAGGAAATAGCTATTAATTTTTGCAAACACTACCTTCATTCAGAAATCCTTCCCCTATCCCTGGGATGATATATTTGAAAAACAGTGGTTCCTATATTTCTCTTAAACATGTAAATAATCCACTTTGGACATTTGGACATTTAAATAATCCACTTTCAAGTATTTTCTACATGTAATTCTATTTTTATGTAGTATAAAAACAGCTAAATATGTTTAGGCCAGTCAGTTGGCTTATGCCTGTACTCCCAAAACTTTAGGAGGCCAAGGTGGGTGGATCACTTGAGGTCAGGAGTTTGAGGCCAGTCTGGCCAACATGGTGAAACCCCGTCTCTACTACAAATACAAAAATTAGCCGGCTGTGGTAGTGGGCGCCTGTAATCCCAGCTACTCGGGAGGCTGAGGCAGGAGAATCACTTGAACCCAGGCAGCAGAGGTTGCAGTTAGCCGAGGCCGCACTAATGCACTCCAGCCTGGGTGATAGAGTGAGACTCCTTCCCAAAAACAAACAAACAAAAAAAGACAAAAAGAGGTGTAAAAGATAATTTGAAAAAAATTGCACAAAATATTCCTAAATGAAGAAAAGTCATCAGTTCAGACATCCAGAAAATTCATCAAAACTTGAGCAGTATAAATTCAAAGGAAAACACATGTATGTATATCAAATAAAAATGCTGACAATTGAAGATAAAGAAGAAATTCTGTTTCATGTTTTAAATTTTTTAGAGTTTTAATTAAAGAAGGACAATTGTGTCTATAGGATATAATGTAATATTTCAATATGTGTATGTATTTTGGAATGATCAAAAATCCTTTCTTTAGCTTTTTGGAAATATACATTATTATTAGCTATTGTTGCCTTACTGCTCAAAAGAATACTTGAACCTACTTCTAACTGTAACTTTGCACCCATTGAGCAACGTTTTCCCTTTCACCTCCACCTCCCTGCTTCCTCTAGCTTCTAGTAACCATATATGTACTCTCTACTTTGTCTGTCAGTTTGACTTTTTATGATTCTACCTATAAGTGAGATTATATGGTGATATGGTTTGGCTCTGTGTCCCCACTCAAATCTCATCTCAAATTGCAATTCCCATAATCCCCACATCAAGGGAGAGACCTGGTGGGAGGTAATTGGATCATGGGGACGGTTTCCCCCATGCTGTTCTTGTGAGAGTGCGTGAGTTCTCAGGAGATCCGGTGGTTTTATAAGTGTTTGACAGTTCCTCCTTCACATACTCTCTTAGTTGCCACCATGTAGATGCCCCTGCTTCCCCTTCTGCCATTATTGTAAGTTTCCTGAGGCCTCCCCAGCCATGTGGAACTGTGAGTCAATGAAACCTCTTTTCTTTATAAATTACCCAGGCTTGGGCAATTCTTATAATAGTGTGAGAATGGACTAATACATATGGTATTTATCTCTCTGTGCCTGGCCTCTCTCACTTAATGTAATGACCTCTGGATTTATCCATGTTATTGCAAATGACAGAATTTCCTTTTTTTATTAAGGCTGAATAGTATTCCATTGTGTATATATACCACATTTAAAAAATCTATTTATCCATTGACAAACACTTAGGTTGTTTCCATATCTTAGCTGTGGTGAATAATGCTACAATACACATGGGAGTATAGATATGTCTTCAGCATATTGATTTCAATTTCTCTGGGCATATACCCAGTACTGGGATTGCTAGATCAAATGGCAATTCTATTTTTAGTTTTTTGTGGAATCTTCATACTGCTTTGCAAAATGACTGTAATAATTCACAATACCAACAAAAGCCTATGAGGGTTTCTTTTTTTTCACATCCTTGCCAACACTTATTTTTCATTTTTTGATAATAGCCAATATAACAGATATGAGGTGATATATCTCATTGTTGTTTTAATTTGCATTTATTTGATGATTTGAAATAATAAGGTTTTTTTCATATATCTGTTGGTCATTTGTGTGTCTTCTTTTAAGAAATCTCTATTCAAGTCTTTTGCCCATTATTTAATAGGGTTATTTGTTTTCTTGTTATTGAGAAGTTAGAGTCCCTTGAATATTTTGGATATTCACCCTTTATCTAATATAACATTTCCAAATATTTTTCTCTTCATTCTTGGATTGTCTCTTCATTCTACTAATTGTTCTCTTTGCTGTATAGAAGCTTTTTTTAGTTTGATGCAACCCTATTTGTCTGTTTTTTCTTTCTTTGCCAATGCTTTTGAAAACATATTCACAAAATCCCTGACCAGACCAGTGTCATGGTGTTTTTCCCCTAGATTTTTCTTCTAGTAGTTTTATAGTTTCAAGTCTTAAATTTAGGTCTTTAATACATTGTGGGTTGATTCTTACATAAAAGGGGAGATTTTCATTCTTCTCTATGTGAATATTTAGTTTTCCCAACATCATTTATTAAAAGTAATGTCCTTTTCCAACTGTGTGTTCTTGGCTCTTTTGTCAAAAACCAACTGATCATATATATGTGGACTTATTTCTCGGCTCTTTGTCCCATTCCATAGGGCAATGTGTCTGTTTTTATTCCAATACCACGCTATTTGATTACTATAGCTTTGTAATGTACGTTGAAATCCAGTTGTGTGGTGCCTCTACCTTTGTTCTTTTTGGCCAAGATTGTTTTGGCTGTTAGAAGTGTTTTGTAGTTCCATAGGAATTTTATAATTACTTTTTTTTTTCTATTCTGCTAAGAACAACATTGGAATTTTGATAAGGATTGCATTGTAGAGCCCTTCAGGTATTATGGGCATTTAAACAATATTAATTATTCTAATTCATGAATGTGAGATATCTTTCCATTTACTTGTGTATTATTCAATTTCTTTCTTAAGTGTCTTATAGTTTTCAGCATACAGATATTTCATTTCCTTGGTTAAATTTATTTCTATGTATTTTATTATTGATGCTATTGTAAATGGGATTATTTTCTTAATTTGTTTTTCAGATAAGCTGTTGTTAATGTGTAGAAATTTTATTGATTTTTTGTAGTTGATTTTGTATCTTGCAACTTTAAAATTGTTTGTCAGCTTTGATGGTATATATTTCTCTTCTCTAATTGTTCTGACTAGGACTTCCAGTACTATGTTGAACAGAAGTAGTGTAAGTGAGCATCCCTGTCTTCTTCCTGATCTTACAGGAAAAAGCCTTCAACTCTTCACTGTTGAGTATGATGTTAGCTATAGGCTTGTCATATATGGCTTTTATTCCATTGTGAAACATTATTTCTATACTGAATTTGTTGAATTTTTTCATGAAAGGATATTAATTTTATCAAATAGTTCTGCATTTATTGAGATTATCATATGGTTTTTGACCTTCATTCTGTTAATATGGTGAATCACATATGATTTGTATATGTCGAACCAAACTTGCTTCCCAGGGTAAATTTCACATGATCGTCATGAATGATTCTTTTTAAAATTTCTTGCCTTTTAAAAAAATTATGACACATAATAATTTTGTGTATTTATGGGGTCATTTTAATGTACTTTTGAACAGGTTTGCTAGTATTTTGTTTAGAATTTTTGCATCTATTTTCATGAGAGATATTGGCCTATAGTTTTCTTTTCTTGTAACGTCTTTGTATAGCTTTGGTAGCAGAGTGATACTGGCCTTGTAAAATGAGTTTGAAAGTATTCCCTCCTCTTTAATTTTTCTGAAGAGTTTGATAAGAATTGGTACTAGTTTTTCTTTAAAAGTTTGATAGAATTCAGTCATGAAGCCACCTAGTCCTGGGCTTTTCTTTGACAGGAGACTTTTAATTACTGATTCAATTTCCTTATGTGTTATTGATCTGCTTAGATTTCCAATTTCTTCTTGGTGCAGGCTGGTAGCTTACATGTTTCTATGAATTTATTTTTTCTAGGCTGTCCAATATGTTGGTGTATAATGGTACATAGTTGTCTCTTATGATCCTTTGCATTTCTGTGTTATCATTTGTAATGTCTTCTGTTTCCTTTTTTATTTTATTTATTTGAGCCTGCTCTCTTTTTTTTCTTACTCTAACTAAAGGTTTGTCATTTTTTTTTTTTAGCTTTACAAAAAACACTTGATCTTTTCTATTTTGTTTTAGGGGTCTATTTTTTTTTTCTGCTCAAATCCTTGCTTTTTCCTTCCTTATGTTAGCATTTGGCTCAGTTTGTTCTTCTTCTTCTAGTTCCTTGAGGTATAATATGAGGTTATTAGAGATCCTATTTTTTATGTAAGTGTTTATTGCTATAACCTTCACTCTAGAACTGCTTTTGTTACATCCCATAAGTTTTGGTATGTTGTGTGTCATTTTCATTTGCCTCAAGTTATTTTTTAAGTTTCCCTAATTTCTTCTTTGACCTAATCGTTGTTCAGGAGCATGCTGTTTAATTTCACATATTTGTTTTTTTTCCCCATGATTCCTTCTGTTATTGGTTTCTAGCTTGTATTAAGCGAAATAACTAGATAACTAAGAGAAACCAATAACATTGTTTTTGGAAAAGATATGTGATATGATTTCAATCTTCTTATAGTTGGACTTGTTTTGCGGCCTAACAAATGATTTATCCTGGAGAAGTTTTGTGTGCAGTTGAGAAGAATGTGCATTCTGTTGCTGTTGAGTATAATGGATCCTTATATATCTGTTAGATCTGTTTGTTCTAAAATGCAGTTCAAGCCCAATGTTTTCTTTGTTTTTTTGTTTGTTTGTTTGAGATGGGCTGTCACCCAGGCTGGAGTGCAGTGGTGCAATCTCAGCTCACTGCATACTCTGCCACCCAGGTTCAAACAATTCCCTTGCCTCAGCCTCCCAATTAGCTGGGATTACAGATGGGAGCCACCAGAGCCAGCTTATTTTTGTATTTGTAGTAGAGATGGCATTTTACCATGTTGGCCAGGCTGGTCTCAAACTCCTGGTCTCAAGTGATCTGCCCACCTTGGCTTCCCAAAGTGCTGGAACTACAGGCATGAGCCACACCCCTGGCCTAAGCCCAATGTTTTCTTAGTGATTTTCTATCTGGATAATATGCCTAGTGTTGAAAGTGGGCATTGAAATCTCCTACTATTATTGTATTGCAGTCTGTGCCTCCCTTCAGATCTCTTAATTTTTAAAATATATTTAGGTTCTCACATTTTGGATGCACATATGTGTGTACAATTATTATGTCCTAAAGAGAAAATTTTAAACATAACCAGGGGAAAATACAAAAATATGTACATTATAATAAGAGGTCAGTGATCAAAATAGCAATCGCCTTATCCTCAGAAATAATGAGAAACAGAAAGCGAAAGAGTTATATATTTAAAATACATAATTTAGAAAAAATATCTATCAACTTAGAATTTTATATCTAGAAATATATTTCAAAAGCTAAGGTGAAATAAGGATATTTTTAGATAAAAAAAGCCCAGAGAATTTGTTATTAGATCGATACAACAAGAATGTTAAAAGCATTTTTGGCAAAAGAAATTAAAAATTAATGAAATTAAGGGTCTATGGGTAGAAATGTAGATTACTGGAAATGGTAATTGGTAATGGTTGAAGATAAGACATAATTTTTTGTTTTTAAATATTTTTAAATCTATTGACTATAGCTATATATATGTTTAACTATATAGTCAAATATTATTTATTTGTAAAATATATTTATTTATATCTCTATATCTAGGTATCTAGATATATAATATAGATATATAAATTTATATATGTCTATATTTTAGATATAGATATATAGACTACACGTTCTATATATTGTAGAATTCAAAACATGTAGAATTATGACATAAACAAGAATATCACAAGGGATGGGAGAGAAACTGAATTATAATATTACAAGGTTCTTACATTAAGTATAAATATTCTATAATAATTTAAAATAGAGATGGTAAATTAAAGAATAAAGCATTTTAACCATTATAGTTACCATATATTAAAAACAAAACATTAAATACCAAAGATTATCTAAAGAAAGCTAATAGTGGGAAGGAAACAGAATATCAAAAATTCTTCAAAAAAGATAGGAAATTAGACATAAAAGAAGAGAGAAACACTGAAAACAAATAAAAATAAATAGCCAGGGACAGACTTAAACTCAACCACATAAATCATTACATTAAATGTAAGTATACCAAAAATTGTAATTAAAAGGCAGAGATTGCCATAAGGAATAAAATAGAAAAAGACAAGTATATGCTGTTTACAACATACATTAATTGCAAAGACACACAAAATGCATTTTGCTTCAGGCCATTTAGAGTAACAGGGGTTGGATATACCCTATGACCTTAAAATAACTAGATAATTAAGAAAAATCTATAATACAATAGTTTTTAGACACCAGACAACAGGCAGAGCAGGACTGTGTCCAGAAATTTGAACTTTAAATGGAAAGCTACACAATATATTAGTGATCCTAATCAGTGTAATACAGTGAGAAAAAGAGGTAAAATTATTTAAGATTGCAATGGAAGAAGTAAAACTTTTTATTTGCCAATAGCATTACTGTTTATTTAGAAAATCCCAAGGAATCCACAAAGAAGATACTAAAATTAATAAGTGACATTAGTAGGATTTAAGGATATAAAATTAATACACATAAAAACTTGATTAGACAAAGAAGAGGAGCAAGATGGCCAAATTTAACCTTCCAGTGATTGTCCCTCCCACGCGAACAACTGAACAACTATCCACAGAGGAAAGCTCATTCCTATGAACCAAAAAATTAGGTGAGCAATCACAGCACCTGATTTTAATAAAACAACAACAAAAGAGGCATTGGAAAAGGTAGAAAGAAGAGCCTTGCATTGCCTACACCAACCTTCCTCCAACCCTAGGCAGTGAAGCATCTAGAGAGAATCTGTGTGATTTGGAGAGGGAGAGTGAAATGCAAACGTGGGACTTTGCGTTGTACTTCATTGGTTCCCTGTTACAGTGGAACACAACAGAGGGCAGAATTCTGCTGATGCCCACAGAAGGAGCATTTAAATCAACCCTGGACCAGAGAGGAATCCTCTACCTCAGCAGGAGGAAACTGGGTCCTAGCCAGCATCATGACCAGTTGACTAAATTGGCCAAGGATCCTGAGTAAATTTGTGTGCCAGTCAGGGCCACAAGTACTGCAGTCTTTGAGGAAGCCCTGGTGCTGCACTGGTCTTAAAGGCAATCAACTTGGGGCACCACCCAGTGTGACACAATCTGTGGTTGCCATGGGATTGCCTGTATCACCCCTCCCCAACTCCAGGAACTGCAGCTCTGGGATAGACTCCCTCTGCTTGGGGGAAGAAGAAGGAAGAGTATAGAGAACTTTGTCTTGCAACTTGGGTATCAGCTCAGCCACAGTAAAATAAAGCACCGGACAGATTCCTTAATCCCCTGATGCTAGGTCTTTGCTCCTGGATGGCCTTTCTAGACCCATCTTGGGCATGAAGGAAATCCACTGCTCTAGTGGCATGAGGCCAATCCTGGCAAGATTTGCCACCCACTACCTAAAGTGGCCTTGGGCCTTAAATAAACAGCATTGGCAGCCAGGCAGTAGTGGTCCAAGGACTTGGTTAAGCCCCAGTACTGTGGTGGTCTGAAAAGTCATTTGCCTCAGTTATGACCCAGTGCAGTGCCAGCTGTGGTGACCACAGGAATGCTGACATCATCCCTCCCCCAACTCCAGGCAGCCCAATGGAGGCAGAGACTCCTGATTGCAGAAAAGAGAGGGAAGAGAGGAGGTAACCCAAGGAATCCTCTTGTTATCTGCTCCAAATCCACCAAGGCTGTGTATGTAGGACTCCATATATCAACAGTTGTAGTGTTCCTGGGTTTAGGTGCCCCTAGTGCTAAAACAGCTGCAGTAACCACAGCCTTAGGTCGCAACACTCAAACCTCTTTGAGTTCTTGGAAAGGCCTCTCAAAAATGATGCGCACAAACAAACCCAGACAGCACAAATTGGAATAAATACACAAGTCTCTAATGCCCAGACATTGACAAATGTCCAAAAACATCAAGAAAATCTAGAGAAACGTGACCTTACCAAATGGACATCAGTGACCAGTCCTAGAGTAATGGATATATGTGAACTCTCTGACAGGGAATTCAAAAGAGCTGTCTGGAGGCAGCTCATCAAACTTCAAAATAACACAAAGAAGAAAGTCAGAATATATCAGAGAAATTTAACAGAGATTGAAATAATAAAAAGAAAGCAAGCAGAAAATCTGCCCCTGAAAAAATTCAGTTGACAAATAAAAAATGCATCAGAGCCTCTTACCAGTGGACTTGATTAAGCAGAAGAATTAGTCAGCTCGAAGATAGGATTTAAGAAAATATATAGTTATAGGAGAAAAAAGAAAAGCCAATAAAAAAGAAGCATGCCTAGAAAATCCAGAAACTAACCTCAAAAGGACAAATCTAACAGTTATTGGCCTTAAAGAGGATGTAGACAGAGATGGGGGTAGAAAGTTTACTCAAAGAAAATAACAGAAACTTTCCAAACCTAAAGAAAGATATGAATATCCAGGTACAAGAAAGTCAAAGAGCAGTAAGAAGATTCAACCCAAATAATTACCTCAAAGTATATAATAATAAAACTCTCAAAGGTCGAATATGTTTTTAAAGAATGATCTGAAAAGAAACAAGAGAAAAAGGGAAAATAGCATATAAAGGAGCTCCAATATTTCTGACAGCAGACTTCTCAACAAGAACCTTATGGGCCAGAAGGGGGTGGGATGACATATTCAAAGTGCTGAAGTAAAACAATTTTCAACTTAGAATATTACATTCAGCAAAATTATCTTTCAAATATGGAGGCTAAATAAAGACTCTCCCAGACAAACAAAAGCTGAGGGATTTTGTTAACACCAGATCTGTCTCGCAATATATTTGAGAGAATTTGTCAATCTGAAAGAAAAGGATGTTAATGAGCAATAAGAAATCATCTGAAGATATAAAACTCACTGATAGCAGTAAGTACACAGATAAATATAGAATACTCTACCACTGTAATTGTGGTGTGTAAACCACTCATATCTTGAGTAGGAAGACTAAAAGACAAACATATAAAAAATAATAACTCAAAAAAATTTAAAGTGATAGACAATATAAAAAGATAAATAGGGGCAACAAGAAGTCAAAATATGGAGTGGATTAGAATGAAAGTGTAGTTTTTTATTTTTCTCTTTGCTTGTTTTTTTTCTTTGTAATAAGAATCAAGTTGTCACTAGCTTAAAATAACTGATTATAATAAGATGTCATTTGTAAAGCCATATGGTAACCACAAAAAAAACCTATTAACAGTTACACAAAAATTACAAAGCAACGAATGAAAACATACTACCAGAGAAAACCAACTTTACACATAGAAAGGAAGAAGGAAATAGAGGACCAAAAACCAACCAGAAAACAAATAACAAAATGGCAATAGTAGGCCCTTATATCTCAATAATAACATTAAAAAGACCCAACTACAGGTAGCCTGCAAGAAACTTCCATCTATAAAGACAAACAGACTAAAACTGAAGGGATGTAAAAATGTATTACACACAAATGGAAACCAAAAAAGAGGAGGACTAGCTATATTTACATCAGATAAAACACTTTTCAAGACAAATATGGTAAAAAGAGACAAAGTATATCATTATATAAAAATGAAGGGATCAATTCAGCAAGAGGATATTACAATTCTAAGTATATATGGACCCAATGCTGGAGCATTTAGAATACTGAGTAACTATTATTAGAGCTAAAGAGAGAGATAGACCCCACTACTATAATAATTGAGTATCTCACCATCCAACTTTCAGCAATGCACAGATCATCTAGACACAAAATCAGCAAACTCCTAACTGAACCTGCACTATAAGCCAAACATACCTAATAGACATTTATAGAACATTACATCCAGTGACTACAGAATACCTATTATTCTTCTCAGCACATGGGACGTCCTCAAGGATAGACTGGAAGTTAGACCAGAAAATACATCTCAAAAAATTAAAAAAAAAAAAAGAAAAAATATCAAGTACCTGTTCTGACCACAAACAAATAAAGCTATGAATCACTAACAAGAGGAACCTTGGAAACTGTTCACACACATAGAAATTAAGCAATATGCTCCTGAATAACCATTGGGTTAAAGAAATAATGAAATTTAAAATTTTCTTGAAACAAATGAAAATGGAAATACAACATACCAAAAATCTATGCAATGCAGCAAAAGCAGTACTGAGAAAGTAGTTTATAACAATAAACACTTACATCAAAAAGTAGAAAAACTTCAAATAAACCTAATGATGAATCTTAAAGAGCCAGCAAAACAAGAGCAAACCAAACTCAAAATTAATAGAAAAAGTAAAGATCAGAGCAGAAATAAATGACATTGAGAGTAAAAACTAAATATAAAAGGGTAATGAAAAAGAAAATTTGATTTTTTTGAAAAGAGTAACAAAATAGACAAACCTTTAGCCAGACTAAGAAAACGAGAGAAAACCAGATAAAATCAGAGAAAAAAAAATGGTATACAGCTGATACCACAGAAATAAATGAACCTTTATCCTTCTACCCTTTACATGTACTGAAGTTGAGTTGAAATGTATTATAAACACACGTCTAGAAACTATGAAATAAAACATTTAGAAGAAAATGTTGGAGAAAGAATAACATTTGTTAGATAAGACAGCAAAAGCTTAAAGCATAAAATTAAAGAATTAGACTTCAAAACTAAAAAAAAAGTGATCTTCAAAAAACATCATTTGGAAAATAAAATAATAATATACAGCCTTGGCAGATATATTTTCAAAACACATGTCTAATAAGCTTCCATATCTCAAAAATTTTGGCCCCTCAAAATTGGGAAAACTTTGGAACAGAAATATCACAGTTACACAAATGTCTAATAATCACATTAGTAGGTGCTCAACCTCATTAGTTATCAGAAAAATGTAAATCACAAGCACAATGAGCTATAGCTAACAATTAGAATAGGTTTTATATATATATATATATATATATATACTATACATATATATACATATATATATAGTATCTCACTAAATGTCCTCATCACAATGTGTTTATCCATTCACCTGTTGACTGACTTTGTCTTTTGCTAAACAAAAGAAGCCAGACACAACTAAATGATTACTAATTACATTTACATAAAACTCTTAAGAAGGCAAATCTAACCAATGGTGACAAAAAGCAAATCGGTCCTTACCCTGAATGTAGGATTAGGGTTGAGGATTGACTGGGAAAGGGAACAAGATAACTGCTGCCTTAGTGGTTATATGAGTGTATATTTTTGTCAAAACACATCAAACTACGTCCTTAGAATTGGTGCATTTTTTTCTATGCAAATCATAGTTCAATTGCATTATGGATTTTTTAATTATAAAAGAAAACTAAATAGCTAGAATTAAATTTAAAACATTCACAAAACCATACAAAAAAGCTGTGCATTCATTGCAGCGAATTAAGAAAAATAAATAAATATAGCAAACTCATATTGTGTAAATCTGTGACACAAAAACAAACAATTCTCTACAAACTAAAGAATAGATTTAATTCATTCACAATGAAAATCCTAAGAGAGATTTGTTTATTATGTTTACAGATTCATCCTAAAATTTACGTAGAAATTTAAACAACCAAGAATAAGGCAAATCTTAAAGAAAGAAAAAAGCTAGAATACCAGCAATTCAGGCTTATTATGCAGCTATTCCAATTAAAACAGTGTATTCTAACTTAAAAGCAGACTGATAGGCCAATGTAACAGAACAAAGAGTCCTGATCCACAAGTACTGTAGTCTGATTCATGTCAAGACTAACATTACTGAGTACAGAATTTTTTGATTAATAAATGGCTTTGGGATTATTGTATACTCATATATAAACAAAGTAAATCTTGATCTCTTTTCACTGTAAACACAAATTTAGTTGCAGAGGGATCGCAGATGTAAACATAAAAGATAAAACAACTAAAGGAAAAATTAGAACATCTTTATGATCTTTAAGTAGGTAAAAATAAAATCTAGTCTAATCTAAAAGAAAAAAAAGGACAAATTGGACCATATTAAAATTAAGAACTTTTCTTCTTCAAAACACAACCCTAAAAGAGTAAAAATATAAAATACAGAATGTTAGAGGATATTTATAATACACCCAATGAAAAATTCATACCTAGAATGTGCAAAAAAAATCCTTTAAAAATAAGGGCAATATGAACAATTCATTTAAAAATTGTTAAGAAATTTTAAGATGTACTTGTTATAAAAGTATATTCCAACTGACAATGAACATATGAAACAATGTTAATGCTTACCATTATGTGCCACCAGAATGCCTAAGGATAAAAAGTCAGAAATATCAAAACTTGGTACAGAGGTGGAGTTAACTAGAACTCCTATAACACTGATGGTGGGAGTGTAAGTGGGTACAAACAACTTATTTGGAAACTGCTCGGCAGTGTCTACTAAAGCTGAAAGAATAAATCACGTGGCCCAGCATTTTACTTTTAGGCATATATATCCAACAAAAATGTCTTCATATTTCACCAATATATTTGTATCAAAATTGTCATACTGTCACAATAATCTTCTTAAACGAGCTAGCAATAATCTTCTTAAACTGGATGGTGTATATGGGCATGCCTATTCAGGTATGTTCAGTTGGAAAAATTCATCAATATGTAAAAGTATGATTTGTATACTTTCCTTTATATATGAGGTACTTTGATTACAAGTTTATAAAAATAAAAATTTAGGGAAAACTGCATTTCTAACAAAATCAAAATTCATTGTTCTCAGCTTTGGCAACGCAGCTCAAATTCTGAAATAATAGAAAATGTTCTTGCTATACAAGCTATAAATACACTTAGAATTCCTAATCCTGTATTCTTGTATGCATAAAGGCAACAGATTCTGGCATAGCACCATGTTAGAATTTATGCTATTTAAAGTTAGAACAAATCATTGCAATATTTTCCATAAAACTACTTTGAATGTTCTGGCTCTGAGAATAATTGGAAAAGCATGTTATTTACCAACTCATGTGAGGAAATGAGGAAGCTAAGTAAAATGAAGTGTTCTGTAACCAATACTTCAGTTCCATTAAGATTTCATAGGGTCTGGGCAAGAAAAAGGATACTAGGACTTTGAGCAAGATACTAACCATGTTGGAAGAGTTTATTTCTTTTGAGGCTTCTCTCCTTGGCTTGTAGATGACTGTCTTTTCCCTGTGTCTTCACATGGTCTTCCCTCTGTATATGTCTGTGTCCTAGTACTAACTTCTTCTTCTTACTAGGAGAGCAGTCATATTGGACTAGGGCTTACACTAAGAACTTCCTTTGACTTTGATTACTTTCTTAAAGTCAGAATCTCCACATACACTCACATTGTTAGGTACTAGGGTCTAACTTCAACATATGAATTTTGTGGGGACATAGTTCCACCCATAACACCAACTAATTTGAAGACTGTTGCAGTACTCTTCATTTCATACCCAAGAACTATTAAAAAAAGCACCTCCCACTTTCATGCTAACAGCACCCAATTCTTCTATGTACCAATTATTCCTGGGCTTTCTGGTTCCTTCCAAGACCTAGGATATGAATAATCTAGGCCAACTATTATCATATCACTTCCCTTTCCACTCTAGTCATGGACAAGTGATATAGCCCTGGCCTATGAGATATACAGGAACTGCATATAGGGAGCACCTTAGAAAGCATATAGGGAGCATATAGAACTGCATATAGGGAGCATCTGCATTTTAAATACAGAGAGAATGCAGGAACTAGTCTAATATATGACTGCAGATTCTGTTGCATGAGGATTCGAAGCTGGGAGTTAAGGAGATATCTTGCCACTTTGAAGGTAACGTTTCATACACTCTAATAAAGCTTAGGGAAGAATGGGGAAAAGCCAAGGAAATCTCAGTGAAAAAGCTGATGTGTAACTGTGACAATAGGGAGTTGTTGAAGTAACCTCGTAATTGTCTTGCCCTGACTTCTTGTTGAAAAAAAAATGAATATAGTCTTCTCTGTCAAACTAATCTTAGTTGGATAATCTATTTCTTGCAGTCAAAGACATCTTAATTGATAAAAGGATAATATAATCTGTACTTTGAGAGTATTTCTATTGCTCATTTCACAATTATTCTGTGGGAAATGGAAGAAGGGAATTGTTTCTTTTCTTTTCACACAGCTGCTGAAAAAGCCTAGACACTTCACTACAGTTGGAAATAAGACATCACACCTACATTGTTTTCCAGCAGTATAATTTTACATGGAATAAAAAGTTCATGCTTAGGGAAAGGAATTTGTCTAAAAAGTGCTTACAGTTGTTCTGTTATGTTCTTATCTTTGTCCCAGCCTACCTCCTGAAAGCTTTGGTTATTAATTTTAGACTTGTCGGCATTGACGAGATGACTTAGGGAAGTTCCTAATGCCTGGCCTTGTCCAATGTTGTGAAACCAATAAAAATCTCCTAGGTTTTCATTCTTTACACTAATGCCAACAAATTTCATTCCAACAGACATCTCTTACAAGAGGCGAACTTCCAGGTTTCTCTGTCAGATCACTCATGCATATAATTTATGTGAAATCACCTCCCACATTAAGTGCTAAATAAAAGTCACTTTATACTTCAAGAAGTGTCCCTAACAACTTTAAGATCCGCAGAAGATCTGTCATAAATGCCATGCAAATCTGGATTCTCTCTCGCTAGGTAGAGGGTTCTACTTCTTCGTTGCTTCCAATTTCTTTCCAGTGCTTTGCTCATATTCAATTTCATACTGAAGATTAACATCAAGGCAAGTATTTGAAAACTTATTTGGCTTCAACTTATATTCATCTGATATAGATTGATGAGATGACATTTTATGTTTCCTGAGGGCTATGAGTGTTCTTCTAGTCACTCAATCTAACAATTACTGGATTGGTTTTTTAGAATAAACGTAGATAGATTTCAGCGAAAGGAGGCTACTCTGTCATCAAACTTCAAATAAGGTAGCTGGCACTATATATTATACTTCTACTTTCAAAATTGTTTCTAAAAATGTGAAGAAAAAATGGCATCTAAATAAATCCATGTGAAAGTCATCAGGTTGTTTATGCTCAGTCATTGATCTTCAACAGATTTAAGATTATTGGTGTCAGGTGAGACTGCTAGTTAAAATCAGAATTGCCAATGCCCATTTCAACAATCTCTCAGTTATCTTCTGCATCTATTTTGCTTCTTATGAACTTTGGCACTGACATATTCATTTGATTAGGTGGCACATCCAAGCCAAGTTTTTACTGAGATTAATGATTAACCATGTAACATGTGTTTCTGGAACAAACGTTGAGACTGAGAATCTGTTAAAGAGTTTGGGGGAATTATCATATACCTATATGAAAGCTAGAATGGAGAGAATCCGACCTGCAATGAGGTTGCACCAAAGACCTCAATAGAGCCTACAGATTGAGGGAAATGTCACTCTAGAACTGCAATAGCATTATGGAGTTGTCTTAAATAGAGGGGTTGGGGACTCACGCTTCTATATCCATTCACAAACCAATTATTGGCTGCCAGACACTCCCAGGAGGGAAAGAGTATAATCTCAGGACAACTACTTCCTTGTTGCTGAGGGCAATTCCCAGTGAGTGAAGCAGCAACCATTCACAGTAGCTAGCAGATGAGTGCTTCACTCCAGAAAGAAAATATGGACAGAATACAGCTCTTATTGACAGCTTGTTAAGGTAATTCTATCTGGGAACAGCTACTCCAGGATTTGTCTTATTCTTATTCCTTGGGTTAATGGGAAATACTGTAAGCTCTACCACTAATAGTGGTCTTGGGGTGACAACTTATGATATAATTTATGTACTCTACAATTCTTTTTAGATTCTTCTCACACTCAGCTCCCACCTCTCCTGGTGTAAATGGCTTGCTTGTGTGTGCACACAGATTCTCATCCTTGAGGGATATGGGCCATAGGTTACAATGCCCTTATCAGGCTATGGCTGCTGCACTTCTCATCTACCATTAAATCCAAGCATGAAAGCACCAAAAGGTACCCTACTGTATCACCTGTGTGTCAAACATATTCTTACCAAACTTCTGAGGATCAGGGGCAATTACCTCTGCAAACATGATGATTCCTTGCCTTCCCTTATAGTCGTTGGTACAAATGACTGAGTGGTAGTCACAGCTTAAATTTCAATGGGACTCCTACTAAATTCTCTAGTGGCAGTGATCACCATCTGAAGCCAGGTTCTCTCTATAGATGTACAAAGTCTAAAATGTTACATGGCTAAAAAGCACACATTTCTCCAAGCAGATCAAGAGGGTGACATTAAGCAGGGTTATTTCTACTTTTACTTGTTGATTCCCAGACCCATGTCTTCTGCCTATTAAGGAAACAACACTTAATTTATGAAGATTAACACATTCTGGGCTGGGTGTGGTGGCTCACGCCTGTAATCCCAGCACTTTGGGGGGCCTAGGCGGGCGGATCACGAGGTCAGGAGATTGAAACCATGCTGGCTAACACAGTGAAACCCTGCCTCTACTGAAAATATAAAAAAATTAGCCAGGCATGGTGGCAGGTGCCTGTAGTCCCAGCTACTTGGGAAGCCAAGGCAGGAGAATGGCATGAACCCGGGAGGGGGAGCTTGCAGCGAACCGAGATTGTGCCACTGCACTCCAGCCTGGGCAACAGAGCGAGACTCTGTCTCAAAAGAAAAAAAAAAACCCCACACATTCTGGTGGATTTTATGCATTCAGAGTGCCATCTCTGAACTGATGCCTGAGCAGTATTTTTTAGATGTTATTTCAGTGACCTCTCAGGCTGGAGTTTCTGAGTGTTTGCAGTGTGCAGGAGCTTCACTATAGATCCCATGATCCTTTAGTCAATTCCAGACTTTCTTTGCTATTAATTAGGCCCCTTGATCTGAGATGACACTGTGAGGGATCTTGTGTATGTGTATCAGATACTCTGTAAGCCCTCAGAAGTTGTGCTGGGCAAGGTCCTGAGGGATGAAAAGGCAAACCTCTATCTCAAATCCAGCCAATCCCAGTGAAGAGGAATGAAACTCTCTCCCTTAGGGGTAGAAGGTTCCTAATCTAGTCAACTTGTCATCAAATTGCTGGTTGATCTCCTGAAGAAATTGTGCCATACTGGTGATGTGGGTTGTTCTTTTATGGGCAGTTTGAAGCATTCAGCAGTGGCAGTAGCCAGATTAGTTTTGATGTGTGAAAGCCTATGCTATTAGGCCCATGCATAGGCGTCATCCTGCCACTGTGCATGAGCCCATCATGCCAGGAATGGGGTGAGCATTGATAAAGGCTAGCTGATGTCAACTAATCAAGTCATTCTGTCTATTCAGTAGTTTTATGACTCTTGTGGTGGATGCTGTCTGATGGGAATTAACATCTGATACAAAGATCCTCACATGTTGTACCCACTTTCACTCTTCCCCACACTTCCCTGACTTCAATCTTTTAACATTTCTCTTTTAAGGCCTCTAACGAACCAGCCAGGTCATTTGCCATTGACCATGAGACTGTGCACATTCTTATTTTGTGCCATTTCTTTATCCAGACAAAATGGCTGACCAGGTACACTGCAAAGAGAACTGCCCATTGGGAGGATTTTATCCTCATTGCTCTCTTTCAGAAACACCTGAGTAAGGTTTAGCACACCTGCCTTCAATCTTTGATTCACACTAACAAACCAAGCCAATCTGTCTGGAAACTAAGTCTGTACTTCTTTCTTCTCTGTTAGCTGATGCCTAAGCCCCTATATAAGATCACGTAGACATGAGCTGAGGGAGAAGCACCCATGAAACAGTAGTGTAAGGACACATGGGATCAGATCATCTGCTTATGCAGTTTACTTGTGTCTTCCAGCTTTGCTCATACCCACTCACAAACATACCACCTCCAACTGAAGATAGATTGCTGCTGTTTTCCCCTAACCTATGACTCACAGGGTCTCACATAACTGACTAAAGTTGAGCAGTTGATATTTTCTGGTCAGATGCTCCATCTTGAGAGGCATTTAGTAGCATATTAGAACAATTATATTTTCTCTGCAGATGGTACACCCTTGCTACAGAACATCAAGGATTTATATTGTCGTTCTCCTGTTGAAGCTTGCCATAAACTCCATATGGCATCTTTTTCCATCACAGACACATTTTGTATCATAAGGTGTGTCAAATTGTATGGCCCAGTTTTCAGAAATACATATACTGCAGCCTGAATTTTACAAAGTTAGCCACTTCTGTGCCATCTAGCAAACGAGTCAGAGCAAGATTCTCTCGTGCAGAAGTGGGAAGCTGGGCAGATCTCCACAGGATTTATTTCAACTAGCTTCCCTGACACAATGGTGCCTTGGCAGCACTTGTATCAATATTGCCCAAGACTTTTTAAAATGCCCTATGTTTTTAATGCTACATTATAAAATCTTTTTAAAATTAAAACATCTGTGAATAAGAATAGGAAAAAATATTTAAATGCAGATGTGGAATGGCCAGATAAATTACTTGTTTTGGTAAATAACTCACCAACAGTAACAAACTCATGGGATGGTCCACTCAACAACATAAACTTATCAAGTGTGGTGACAGTGTCAGAGAGATACCCTTGAATCATTAAAACTGTGAACATTAAATAAGCAAAGTCAAGAGCTTACAGCTGAAGTGCTGGTAGAGTATGTATATTTCTTGAGTGAATATCTAGTTTCCATTCAGTCAACTGCCATGTCTTACTTTGTTTTAATTTCTTTGACAAATTAAAAAGCTGAGCACTCTTGCACTGCCAGGGGAGCTATTTTGGCTGATAACAGAGGGCATTTTTCTAGGCATCTATTAAAATTTACCAGAAAGAAAACTGCCTAATTGGACTACGATTAATACTGTGCTATATTATATTTATTCATACTCTGGGAAAAAATTTAAAAGGTCAGAAAAATAAAAACAACAAAGAAATCACAACAACAACCAAGTATGTTCAAATGCTTAGAGGCAAATAGTATGATTGAGAATCGTAAATTCTTCCAGGTCAAGAAACTATGAGAGCCAAGTGTGTCTGGGGAAATGAACATTGATACAGGTGAAGTACAAAAGAAAGTGGCAAACAAGGCCTGATTCAGGAAAGAAAAGACTTTCATCATGTTGGGCAAGGATAAATCAGTCATAATTATCTATAATTTATTATTGTCCTGTTACTTAACTCTGAAAGTAAGACTATTTGCTAATGACATTTTAAAATTGAGATAAAAGTTAGTTGCAATAAAATTTACCCTTTAGTATATGGTTCTATAAGTTTTGACAAGTGTATACAGTCGGGTAACTAGCATTAAAATCAAGATATAGACCATTTCCATCACTCCCCAAATTTTCTTCATGCCCATTAACAGTTAACCCTTGCCTCGACCAGTAGCCCATGGCATTCACTAATCTCTTTTGGTACCTATATGTTTGCCTTTTCTAGAATGTTACATAAATGGAATCATAAATGGTTTTATTCATGTTCTTATTTTAGACATTCATTTATTTTATTGCTGGTAAGTATTCCACTGTACAAATGTACCATCATTTGCTCATTCATTCACCAGTTGAAAGACGTTTGAGTTGTTTCCAGTTTGGAGTGAATATAAATAAAATTGTCATATATATTTAAGTGCAGATGTCTCTGTGAACATAAGTTTTCATTTCACTTGGATAAATACCTAGGAGTGAAATTACTGGAAAGTATGGCAAATGTATATTTAACTTATTAAATTTCTAAACTCTGTTCCCAAAGTTATTTTACCATTTTTTCAATCCCACCAACAATGCATAAATTCCAGTTGCTCCTCATCTTCACCAGCATTTAGTCTGGTCAGTTTTCTTTCCTTTTTTTCTTTAGCTATTGGAAAAGTTAATGAGTGGTTTGTTAAGAATGTTGAGAATAATTTCTTGCCCTTATTTGGACATTTGTATATCTTCCCTCATGATGTCTTTTCAAAAATTTCTTCACTATTTTAAATTCTGTTCTTTTATTACTATTAAGATTTGGAGGTCTTTATATATTCTGGATACAAATTCATTCATTATGAGATATATAATTTGCTGAAGCTGAGAATCAAATCAAGAATTCAACCCCTTTTACAATAGCTGAAAAAAATACTTAGGAATATATCTAATGAAGGAGGTAAAAGATCTCTACAAGGAAAACTACAAAACACTGTTGAAAGAAATCATAGCTGATACAAACAAATGGAAACACATCCCATGCTCATGGATGGGTAGAATCAATATTGTGAAAATGACAATACTGCCAAAAGCAATCTACAAATTCAATGCAATTCCTATCAAAATACCACCATCTTTCTTCACAGTACTAGAAAAAACAAGCCTAAAATTCATAAGGAACCAAAGAAGAGCCCGCATAGCCAAAGCGAGACTAAGCAAAAAGAACAAATCTAAAAGCATCACATTACCTGATTTCAAACTACATTATAAGGCCGTAGTCACCAAAACAGCATGGTCCTGGTATAAAAATAGGCACATAGACCAATGGAACAGAATAGAGAACCCAGAAATAAACCCAAATACTTGCAGCCAACTGATCTTTGACAAAGCAAACAGAAACATAAAGTGAAGAAAGAACACGCTATTCAACAAATGGTGCTGGGATAATCGGCAAGCCACATGTAGGAGAATGAAACTGGATGCTCATCTCTCAGCTTATAAAAAATCAACTCAAGATGGATCAAGAATTTAAATCTATGCCCTGAAACTATAAAAATTCTAGAAGATAACATCAAAAAACCCTTCTAGACATTGGCTTAGGCAAGGATTTCATGACCAAGAACCCAAAAGCAAATGCAATAAAAACAAAGATAAATAGCTGGGACTTAATTAAACTAAAGAGATTTTGCAGGGCAAAAGGAACAGTCAGCAGAGTAAAGAGACAACCCACAGAGTGGAAGAAAATCTTCATAATCTATACATCTATATATGTAGATGTATATATATATATGTTGAGCACATGAATCTACATATATATGTTGAGTATATGAAAACATGCTCAACATCACTAATGATCAGGGAAATGCAAATCAAAACCACAGTGCAATACCACCTTATTCCTGCAAGAATAGCCATAATCAAAAAATCAAAAAATAATAGATGTTGGTGTGAGTGGGGTGAACAGGGAACACTCTACTACACTGATGGTGGGAATGTAAACTAGTACAACCACTATGGAGAACGGTGTGGAGATTCCTTAAAGAACTAAAAGTAGAACTACCATTTGATCCAGCAATCCCACTACTGGGTGTCTACCAAGAGGAAAATAAGTCATTATACGAAAAAGATACTTGCACATGCATGTTTACAGCAGCACAATTTGCAATTGCAAAAATGTGGAACCCACCCAAATGACCATCAATCAAGGAGTGGATAAAGAAACTGTGGTACATACGCATATAGAATACTACTCAGCTATGAAAACAACTTAATTAATGGCATTTGCAGCAACCTGGATGGTATTAGAGACTATTAATCTAAGTGAAGTAACTCAGGAATGGAAAACCAAACATTGTATGTTCTCAATCATAAGTGGGAGCTAAGCTATGAGGATGCAAAGGCATAAGAATGACACAATAGACTTTGGGAACTCAGTGGGAAAGGGTGGGAAGGGGTTGAGGCATGAAAGACTACAAATCAGGTTCAGTGTATACTGCTCGGGTGATAGGTGCACCAAAGTTTCACAAATCACCACTAATGAACTTACTCGTGTAACCAAATACTACCTGTTCCCCAAAAACCTATGGAAATTAAAAAAAAAAAAAAGAAATATATGATTTGCAAATATTTTCTACCAGTTTGTGGTTTGTCTCTTTATTCTCTTCACATTGTCTTACAAGAGCAGTTCTCCATTTTGATGGAATTCAACACAGCCAGTTTTCTTTTATGGAACATGCTCTTGGTATTGTTTCTCATAAATCTTTCCCTTTTCCAAAATTTCAGATAGTTTCTTCAATATAATATTTTAGACTTTATTTTTAGGTTTAATATTTATACCTATTACCTATGTTTAGTTAATATTTGTATATAATTTAAGGTATAGAGTGAAGTTTGTTTTAATTTAATAAAAATATAATTATTCTAATGCCATTTGTTGAAGAGAGTGTACTTTATCCATTGATTTGCCTTTGCACCATTGTTAAAAATCAATCAACTGAAAAAGTGTGGGTCTATCTCTGAATTGTCTATTTTGTTCCATCGATCTATCTATCTATCTTTTCAACAAAACCCCACACATTCTTGATTAGAGTAGCTTTATAGTTAATCTTGAAATAAGCAAACTTCTACTTTGATCTTTATCAAAATTATTTTTTCTATTCCAGCTCCTCATCTTTTCACATAAACTTCAGAACTAGCTTGCCAATTTCTATTCAAAAGACGACTAGGATTTATATAGAAATTTTACTGAATTAAAGATCAGTTTGGAAATAGTTTCTCTCTTAAACTATTGAATCTTCTAATCTATAAACATGATATAGCTCTCCATTTTGTATATCTTGTTTCCTTTCATCACTGTTTTGTAGTGTCAGCATACAAATTGTTTATTATTTTGTTAGATGTATACATAAATACTTTATATTTTTGGTACAGTTGTGGATTGCATTTTTTAAAAATGTTGAGTATCAATTGTCCCCTGCCAGTATATAGAGATGCTATGGAATTTTGTTGCTATTGATACTATCAAATTTTATTGACTCATTTGAACATTGACTTTGCATGCTACAACTTTACTAAGCTCATATTCGTTTTAATACTGTTTTGTAGATTATTTGTGTTTTTTATGCAGAGAATTATGTTGTGTGCAAATAGAGACAGTATTATTTTATCCTTACTGAAATCTATGCTTTGTATTTATTTTCCATGCATGATTACATTGTTTAGAATACAGTATAGTGTTAAATAGAAGTGATGAAAATGGGCATGCTTGCCTTATTTCTTGAAGGGAGAAAGCATTTGGTTTTTTACTAATAAGATATTAGCTAGAGACTGAGCTGAATTTTGTTTGTTTTGGTAGATACTCTTTTTCAAGTTAAGGAAAACTTCTATTTCTTATTTTCTATATCTACTAATATTATCATTGTTTTCTTTAGTCTATTGAAGTGGTAAATTACATTTTTTGAATGTGGAAGCAGCCTTTTATTTCCAAAATAAATCTCACTTGTTCAAAATATATTATAAATTTTACGTATTACTGAATTTGATTTGGTAATATGAAATATTTTATGGATTTGTATAATATTTTATGGAGTATTTTTTGTGTTTGTATTCATGATAATTACTGATATCTTTTCTTGAAATATCTTTGCCTAGTTTTGGTATAGGGTAATTCCGGCTTTATTAAAAGATTGTAAAGTGTATCATACTCCTTATTTTCTGGAGGAGTTCGTGTTACTTAAAAAGCTTAATAACTCATATTATTTTGTCAGTGAAACTATCTGGATCAGGAGTTTTCTTACTTAGCATGTATTAAAATACAAACTAAATTATTTTAATAGATAATGGACTATTTAGCTATCTCTTTATTCTTTAGTAACGATCAGTTCTTTATGTCTTTGAAGAAAATAATCTTGCATATTCTAGTTGCCAAATGTATGGTCATAAAGTTGTCCTTAATATCTCCTAATTACCCTCTTAATGTTTGTGGAAATATAGTTAAATGTTTATTCCACTGATCTATTCAAATAAGTAGCTTTTTGCTTTGTATAATTTTTTTCTATTTTTTAAAGCCTCCCATTTCTTTTAGTTTTTGCTTATATTCATATTTTGCTTCTGCATACTTTGTTTTTTCACTTATTCTTCAAATTTGAGTTCCTTAACATGAAAGATTAGATTGGGTTTTTCTTTTTTAAAAAATAAGACTTTATTTTGTAGAACAGTTTGAAAATCACAGTAAATTTGAACAGAATGTGCATGTACTCCCTGCCCCCTACATGCATAGCCTCATTATCAACATTCCCACCCAAGTGGTTCATTTGTTATAATTAATGAACCTACAATGACACAAATTATCACCCAAAAGTCCATAGCTCACATTAGTTTTGTGTTGTACATTCCAAAGATTTGGACAAATTTGTAATTAAATGTAACCACCATTATCATATCATAGTAAGTAGTTTCACTGCCCTAAAAATCCTCTGTGCTATGCCTATGCATGCTTCTCTTCCTACATCCCTGGAAAACACTGATCTTTTTATTGTCTTAATAGTTTTGCATTTTCCAGAATGTCATGTAGTTGAAATCACACAATACGTAGACTTTTTCAGATTAGTTTCTTCCTCTTAGTATTGAGTAAATTACTCAAGAACCCTCCATGCCTTTTCATAGCTCAATAGCTCACATCTGAGCTAATTATAAATAGCTCAATTGTCTGAGCTGAATTGAATGTACCACAACTGCCTGAACGTACCAATTGTCTGAATGTATCACAGTTTATTTATTTACTTACTGAAGAATATTTTTGTGTATTCCAAGTTTTGGCAATTGTGAATAATGTTGCTGTAAACATCTGTGTGCAGGTTTTGGTGTGAGCCTAAGTTTTCTGCTCCTTTATGTATATACCAAGGAATGCAATCATTGGAAAATATGGTGAGTGTATATTGAGTTTTGTAAGATACTGCCAGACTGTCTTCCACATGTAACATTTTATATTTGTATTAGCAATGAAAAAAAGTTCCTGTTGCTCCACAACCTCTCCAGCATTTGTTGTCATCAGTGTTCTGGATTTGGTTTATTCTATTAGGGGTGTAATAGTATCTCATTGTTTTTTTAATTTTCATTTTTCCAATAACATATGATATAAAGCATCTTTTCACATGCTTATCTGCCATCTGTATATCATCTTTGGTGAGGTGTCTGTTAAGGTCTTTGGCCTATCTTTTAAGTGAGTTATTTTCTTATTGTTGATTTAAGAAAGTTATTGGTATATTTTGGATAACAGTACTTGATCAGATATGTGTTTTGCAAATATTTCTTCCCAGGCTATATCTTGTCTTTTTATTATTCTCAAAGTATCTTTTACAGAGCAGAAATTTTAAAATTTTAATGAAGTCTAGCTTACCAATTCTTTCTTACATGAATCATGTCTTTGATATTGGATCTAAAAAGCCACTGTTAAACCCAAGATTATCTACATTTTTTCCTATTTTACCTTCTATGAGTTTTATAATTTTGCATTTAACATTTAGGTCTATGATCTATTTTGGGTTAATTATTGTGAAGTGTGTAAGATCTGTGAGTCACTATTTCTTTTTGTTTTGTTTTGTTTTTTAATTATTATTATACTTTAAGTTTTAGGGTACATGTGCACAATGTGCAGGTTTGTTACATATGTATACATGTGCCATGTTGGTGTGCTGCACCCATTAACTCATCATTTAGCATTAGGTATATCTTCTAATGCTATCCCTCCCCCCGCCCCCCACCCCACAACAGTCCCCGGAGTGTGATGTTCCCCTTCCTGTGTCCATGTGTTCTCATTGTTCAATTCCCACCTATGAGTGAGAACATGCGGTATTTGGTTTTTTGTCCTTGCGATAGTTTGCTGAGAATGATGGTTTCCAGTTTCATCCACATCCCTTCAAAGGACATGAACTCATCATTTTTTATGGCTGCATAGTATTCCATGGTGTATATGTGCCACATTTTCTTAATCCAGTCTATCGTTGTTGGACATTTGGGTTGGTTCCAAGTCTTTGCTATTGTGAATAGTGCCGCAATAAACATACGTGTGCATGTGTCTTTATAGCAGCATGATTTATAATCCTCTGGGTATATACCCAGTAATGGGATGGCTGGGTCAAATGGTATTTCTAGTTCTAGATCCCTGAGGAATCGCCACACTGACTTCCTCAATGGTTGAACTAGTTTACAGTCCCACCAACAGTGTAAAAGTGTTCCTATATCTCCACATCCTCTCCAGCACCTGTTGTTTCCTGACTTTTTAATGATTGCCATTCTAACTGGTGTGAGATGGTATCTCATTGTGGTTTTGATTTGTGTTTCTCTGATGGCCAGTGATGATGAGCATTTTCTCATGTGTTTTTTGGCTGCATAAATGTCTTCTTTTGAGAAGTGTCTGTTCATATCCTTTGCCCACTTTTTGATGGGGTTGTTTGTCTTTTTCTTGTAAATTTGTTTGAGTTCATTGTAGATTCTGGATATTACCCCTTGGTCAGATGAGTAGGTTGCAAAAATTTTCTCCCATTTTGTAGGTTGCCTGTTCACTCTGATGGTAGTTTCTTTTGCCGTGCAGAAGCTCTTGAGTTTAATTAGATCCCATTTGTCAATTTTGGCCTTTGTTGCCATTGCTTTTGGTGTTTTAGACATGAAGTCCTTGCCTATGCCTATGTCCTGAATGGTATTGCCTAGGTTTTCTTCTAGGGTTTTTATGGTTTTAGGTCTAACACGTAAGTCTTTAATCCATCTTGAATTAATTTTTGTATAAGGTGTAAGGCAGGTATCCAGTTTCAGCTTTCTACATATGGCTAGCCAGTTTTCCCAGCACCATTTATTAAATAGGGAATCCTTTCCCGATTGCTTGTTTTTCTCAGGTTTGTCAAAGATCAGATGGTCGTAGATATGCGGCTTTATTTCTGAGGGCTCTGTTCTGTTCCATTGGTCTATATCTCTGTTTTGGTACCAGTACCATGCTGCTTTGGTTACTGTAGCCTTGTAGTATAGTTTGAAGTCAGGTACCGTGATGCCTCCAGCTTTGTTCTTTTGGCTTAGGATTGACTTGGTGATGCAGGCTCTTTTTTGGTTCCACATGAACTTTAAAGTAGTTTTTTCCAATTCTGTGAAGAAAGTCATTGGTAGCTTGATGGGGATGGCATTGAATCTATAAATTACCTTGGGCAGTATGGCCATTTTCATGATATTGATTCTTCCTACCCATGAGCATGGAATGTTCTTCCATTTCTTTGTATCCTCTTTTATTTCATTGAGCAGTAGTTTGTAGTTCTCCTTGAAGAGGTCCTTCACATCCCTTGTAAGTTGGATTCCTAGGTATTTTATTCTCTTTGAAGCAATTGTGAATGGGAGTTCACTCATGATTTGGCTCTCTGTTTGCCTGTTATTGGTGTATAAGAATGCTTGTGACTTTTGTACATTGATTTTGTATCCTGAGACTTTGCTGAAGTTGCTTATCAGCTTAAGGAGATTTTGGACTGAGACAATGGGGTTTTCTAGATATAGAATCATGTCATCTGCAAACAGGGACAATTTGACTTCCTCTTTTCCTAATTGAATACCCTTTATTTCCTTCTCCTGCCTGATTGCCCTGGCCAGAACTTCCAACACTATGTTGAATAGGAGTGGTGAGAGAGGGCATCCCTGTCTTGTGTCAGTTTTCAAAGGGAATACTTCCAGTTTTTGCCCATTCAGTATGATATTGGCTGTGGGTTTGTCATAGATAGCTCTTATTATTTTGAGATATGTCCCATCGGTACCTAATTTATTGAGAGTTTTTAGCATGAAGGGTTGTTGAATTTTGTCATAGGCCTTTTCTGCATCTATTGAGATATTCATGTGGTTTTTGTCTTTGGTTCTGTTTATATGCTGGATTACATTTATTGATTTGCATATACTGAACCAGGCTTGCATCCCAGGGATGAAGCCCACTTGATCATGGTGGATAAGCTTTTTGATGTGCTGCTGGATTCAGTTTGCCAGTATTTTATTGAGGATTTTTGCATCAATGTTCATCAAGGATATTGGTCTAAAATTCTCTTTTTTGGTTGTGTCTCTTCCAGGCTTTGGTATCAGGATGATGCTGGCCTCATAAAATGAGTTAGGGAGGATTCCCTCTTTTTCTGTTGATTGGAATAGTTTCAGAAGGAATGGTACCAGTTCCTCCTTGTACCTCTGGTAGAATTCGGCTGTGAATCCATCTGGTCCTGGACTTTTTTTGGTTGGTAAGCTATTGATTATTGCCACAATTTCAGAGCCTGTTATTGGTCTATTCAGAGATTCAACTTCTTCCTGGTTTAGTCTTGGGAGGGTATACGTGTCGAGGAATTTATCCATTTCTTCTAGATTTTCTAGTTTATTTGTGTAGAGGTGTTTGTATTATTCTCTGATGGTAGTTTGTATTTCTGTGGGATCGGTGGTGATATCCCCTTTATCATTTTTTATTGCATCTATTTGATTCTTCTCTGTTTTCTTCTTTATCAATCTTGGTAGCGGTCTATCAATTTTGTTGATCTTTTCAAAAAACCAGCTCCTGGATTCATTAATTTTTTGAAGGGTTTTTTGTGTCTCTATTTCCTTCAGTTCTGCTCTGATTTTAGTTATTTCTTGCCTTCTGCTAGCTTTTGAATGTGTTTGCTCTTGCTTTTCTAGTTCTTTTAATTGTGATGTTAGGGTGTCAATTTTGGATCTTTCCTGCTTTCTCTTGTGGGCATTTGTGCTATAAATTTCTCTCTACACACTGCTTTGAATGTGTCCCAGAGATCCTGGTATGTTGTGTCTTTGTTCTAGTTGGTTTCTAAGAACATCTTTATTTCTGCCTTCATTTCGTTATGTACCCAGTAGTCATTCAGGGGCAGGTTGTTCAGTTTCCATGTATTTGAGTGGTTTTGAGTGAGTTTCTTAATCCTGAGTTCTAATTTGATTGCACTGTGGTCTGAGAGATGGTTTGTTGTGATTTCTGTTCTTTCACATTTGCTGAGGAGTGCTTTATTTCCAACTATGTCGTCAATGTTGGAATAAGTGCAGTGTGGTGCTGAGAAGAATGTATATTTTGTTGATTTGGGGTGGAGAGTTCTATAGATATCTATTAGGTCTGCTTGGTGCAGAGCTGAGTTGAAGTCCTGGATATCCTTGTTAACCTTCTGTCTCATTGATCTAATATTGACAGTGGGGTGTTACAGTCTCCCATTTTTATTGTTGGGAGTCTAAGTCTCTTTGTAGGTCTCTAAGGACTTGCTTTATGAATCTGGGTGCTCCTGTATTGGGTACATATATATTTAGGACAGTTAGCTCTTCTTGTTTAATTGATCCCTTTACCATTATGTAATGGCCTTCTTTGTCTCTTTTGATCTTTGTTGGTTTAAAGTCTGTTTTATCAGAGACTAGGATTGCAACCCCTGCCTTTTTTGGTTTTCCATTTGCTTGGTAGATCTTCCTCCATCCCTTTATTTTGAGCCTCATGTGTCTCTGCACGTGAGATGGGTTTCCTGAATACAGCCCACTGATGGGCCTTGACTCTTTATCCAATTTGCCAGTCTGTGTTTTTTAATTGGAGAATTTAGCCCATTTACATTTAAAGTTAATATTGTTATGTGTGAATTTGGTCCTGTCATTATGATGTTAGCTGATTATTTTGCTCGTTAGTTGATGCAGTTTCTTCCTAGCCTTGATGGTCTTTACATTTTGGCATGTTTTTGCAGTGGCTGGTACTGGTTGTTCCTTTCCATGTTTAGTGCTTCCTTCAGGAGCTCTTTTAGGGCAGGCCTGGTGGTGACAAAATCTCTCAGCATTTGCTTGTCTGTAAAGTATTTTATTTCTCCTTCACTTATGAAGCTTAGTTTGGCTGGATATGAAATTCTGGGTTGAAAATTCTTTTCTTTAAGAATGTTGAATATTGGTCCCCACTCTCTTCTGGCTTGTAGAGTTTCTGCCGAGAGATCCGCTGTTAGTCTGATGGGCTTCCCTTTGTGGGTAACCCGAGCTTTCTCTCTGGCTGCCCTTAACATTTTTTCCTTCATTTCAACTTTGGTGAATCTGACAATTATGTGTCTTGGAGTTGCTCTTCTCGAGGAGTATCTTTGTGGCGTTCTCTGTATTCCCTGAATCTGAATGTTGGCCTGCCTTGCTAGATTGGGGAAGTTCTCCTGGACAATATCCTGCAGAGTGTTTTCCAACTTGGTTCCATTCTCCCTGTCACTTTCAGGTACACCAATCAGACATAGATTTGGTCTTTTCACATAGTCCCATATTTCTTGGAGGCTTTGTTCATTTCTTTTTATTCTTTTTTCTCTAAACTTCCCTTCTCACTTCATTTCATTCATTTCATCTTCCATCACTGATACCCTTTCTTCCAGTTGATCGCATCAGCTCCTGAGGATTTTGCATTCTTCACGTAGTTCTCGAGCCTGGGCTTTCAGCTCCATCGGCTCCTTTAAAGACTTCTCTGTATTGGTTATTCTAGTTATCCATTCGTGTATTTTTTTTCACAGCTTTTAACTTCTTTGCCATTGGTTTGAATTTCCTCCTGTAGCTTGGAGTAGTTTGATCGTCTGAAGCCTTCTTCTCTCAACTTGTCAAAGTCATTCTCCGTCCAGCTTTGTTCCGTTGCTGGTGAGGAGCTGCGTTCCTTTGGAGGAGGAGAGGTGCTCGCTTTTTAGAGTTTCCAGTTTTTCTGCTCTGTTTTTTCCCCATCTTTGTGGTTTTATCTACTTTTGGTCTTTGATGATGGTGACGTATAGAAGGGTTTTTGGTGTGGATGTCCTTTCTGTTTGTTAGTTTTTCTTCTAACAGACAGGACCCTCAGCTGCAGGTCTGTTGGAGTTTGCTAGAGATCCACTCCAGACCCTGTTTGCCTGGGTATCAGCAGCGGTGGCTTCAGAACAGCGGTGGCTGTAGGACAGTGGATCTTGGTGAACCGCAAATGCTGCTGCCTGATGGTTCCTCTGGAAGTTTTGTCTCAGAGGAGTACCCGACTGTGTGAGGTGTCAGTCTGCCCCTCCTGGGGGGTGCCTCCCAGTTAGGCTGCTCGGGGGTCAGGAACCCACTTGAGAAGGCACTCTGTCCATTCTCAGATCTCCAGCTGCATGCTGGGAGAACCACTACTCTCTTCAAAGCTGTCAGACAGGGACATTTAAGTCTGCAAAGGTTACTGCTGTCTTTTTGTTTGTCTGTACCCTGCCCCCAGAGATGGAGCCTACAGAGACAGGCAGGCCTCCTTGAGCTGTGGTCAGGTGGGCTGCTTTGTTTACCTAATCAAGCCTAGGCAGTGGCAGGCGCCCCTCCCCCAGCCTCGATGCCCCCTTGCAGTTTGATCTCAGACTGCTGTGCTAGCAATCTGCGAGACTCCGTGGGTGTAGGACCCTCTGAGCCAGGTGCGGGATACAGTCTCCTGGTGTGCCGTTTTTTAAGCCCATTTGAAAAGTGCAATATTAGGCTGGGAGTGACCCGATTTTCCAGATGCCGTCTGTCACCCCTCTCTTTGACTAGGAAAGGGAACTCCCTGACCCCTTGCGCTTCCCGAGTGAGGCAATGCCTTGCCCCCTTCGGCTCACGCACGGTGTGCTGCACCCACCGTCCTGCACCCACTGTCTGACACTCCCTAGTGAGATGAACCCAGTACCTCAGATGGAAATGCAGAAATCACCCGTCTTCTGCTTCACTCACGCTGGGAGCTGTAGACCGGAGCTGTTCCTATTCGGCCATCTTGGCTCCACCTCTGAGTCACTATTTCTTAAATGTGGAATTTCCATTTCTTCAGCGCCATTTGTTAAAAGAACTATCTTTTCTCCGTTGCCTTTAATCTTTCATCAAAGATCAGTCGACTATGTCAGTCTATTTCTGGGCTCTCTATTCTGTACCACTGACTGCTTGTCTATTCCTTCACCAATATCACACAGTCTTGATTACTGTGTTATTATAGTAAGTCTTGAAATTGGATAGTGTTAATTCTTCATTTTTGTTTTTCTCCTTCAATACTGTGTTGGCTACTCTGAGTCTTTGCCTTCTACATATAAACTTTAGAATAGGCTTCTTGATGTAAAAAGAAACCTGCTGGGATTTTCATTGGGATTGCATTGAATCTGTAAAGTTAGCAAGAACTTGTTATCTTGAAAACATTAAGTCTTCTATAAATGAACATGATATTTATTCTTTTATTTATTCTATCAGAATTTTGCAGTTTTTCTTATATAGGTATTGTACATATTTTGTTATATTCATATCTAAGTATTTTATTTTGGAGATGCTAATGCAAATGCTATTTTTTTAATTTAAAATTTCAGTTGTTTATTTCTGGTATATTGAAAAGGAATTAACGTTTGTGTATTAACCTTGTATCCTGCGACATTGCGCTAGTTCCAGGAGAATATTTTTTGTCTACTCTTTCAAATTTTCTAAATAGACAGCCATGTCATTTGTTTAAAAAAAGACCATTTAATTTTTTCTTTCCCAATCTGTATTACTTTTGTTTCCTTTTCTTGTTTTATTGTATTATCTAGGACTTCCATTACAATGTTAAAATCAGTTATGAGAGGGGCATCCTTGCCTCATATTTTATCTTACAGGATTTTTTTAACACCATTGTAACCATTTTTTTTTAACACCACTAACTGTGGTGTTAGCTTTAGAATTTTTTGTAGATGTTCTTTACCAAATTGAATAAGTTCCTCTGTATCCCTAGTTTACTAAGAGTTTTTATCATGAAGGGATGTCAGATTTTGTCAAATGCATTTTCTGCATCTATTAATATGATTAGAAGTTTTTTTCTATAGCCTGCTCCTTAAGTTAATGATAGATTACATTAATTGATTTTCAAATTAAACCAAACTTGGATATGTAGAATGAATCTCACTTTGTCATGGTATATAATTCTTTTTTATACAGTGTTGCATTCAATTTGCTAATATTTTGTTGAGAAATTTGAAGCTATGCAAAACTTTGATCTAGGGAAAGTAGTGAATGCCAAGCCTCTTCATTTGTCAGATCTAAGTGCGTTAGAATGCAGTCCTTCAGGTGGGAGCTATACAAGTAGCTTCAGTGCATGGACAAAACTTTTTCCAGGGAAAATCTATACAGCTGGATTTATCACTAGATCAAGCCAATGAAAAGACTTGGGAAGTGCCCAAGCCCCACTTTGGTTCCCAGGGGCCTATTTTTTGCTGCCTCATTAACTCTGGGATTCAGGCTAGTTAGAAGATTTATCATCAAGTAACAACTACAAGAGTATGCAGGGAAACCTCTTTCAGGAAATGGGAGCTATGCATTTTAGCTCCTCTCTTCACTGATCTCTGGAGATGTAGCCCCTGGAAGTGTTTGTGTCCCCATTTAAAACCACCTCTTTGTACTGTGATCTGAGAAAAATTACACGTTTAGTCCTTTCTACTCCCAGAAGTAGGTGGCTTAGGATGCAGTCTCTAATGTGGGAGCTGTGGAATTTGGGACATTCAGTGCATGGACACTCTTCCCAGCAAGAATTGGATTTATCACTGGAGTGGGCTGGGGAAAAACCTTGGGAAGTGCGTGAGCTCCTGTTCAGGACTTTTTGTCTGCCTTATTAACTCTCTAATACAGGTTAGTTAGAAGTCCAACTGTCAGCAGCAGCTGGTAGAGTGTGCTGACAAATTCCTTCTGGGGAGAGACTGCGAGCTGTGCCTTTTAGCCCCTTTTCTGCCCTGATCCCACAGATCGAAGCCCCTAAAAGTGCTTGCACACTCATATAAAACCAGTGCTTTTTCTGTGATCTAGAGAGATTTCTATATGCCTGGCCCCTTCTTCTCCCAGTTAGGTCAAAAACTAGCAAACCATAAAGAACATTAGAGTTAGAGCACTATATATATAGCCTAAATTCTCCCTTCTCAGTAAGACACTGAGTGTTGAGGATTCCTTCCTGATTGTATGGCACGATGCTGGGATAGGGTTTGTGCTCAAGTGTGCCTCCACTTTTTCTATCCATTTTGATGTGGATTTTTTTTTTCATTTGGCCAGGTGTAGGAGTCTCTCAACTCATTTCTGACTTTCTTCTGGAGGAACTTACACATGTATAGATGTTTATCTGGTGAATCTGTAGGAGAAAGGTCAGGAGCCTCCTATTCCACCATGGTTTTTGACATCACTCTTCTCAGGATTTCTCTTTACCTTAGATTTTCTGTAGCATGAAAATAATATGCCCAGGTGTTTTTGTGGCATTTAAATTGCTTGGGGTTTTCTGAGTGCTCTGGATCTCTGGTTTGTTATCTGACACTAATTTGGGGAACATTCTCAGTCCTTGTTTCAATTGTTTTTTCTCTTCTTTTCTTTCTTCTCCTCTGATATACCCATTATGTATATGCTATACCTTTTGTAGTTGTCCCATAATTTGGGATTCCTTTTTTTTTTTTGTCTTTTTCTGATTGATTTTCAGGTTTGAAAATTTCTATTGAGATATCTTTAAGCTCAGAGATTCTTTCCTTAGTTATGTCCACTCTACTAATAAGTCCATTGAAGGTATTCTTTGTTTTTGTTATAGTGTTTTTGATATATCATATTTCTTTTTTCTTAGAATTTCCATCTTTCTGCAACTTGCAGCTTACAATGGTTCTTGCAAGCTGTCTTCTTTATCCATTATAGATAGCCATTACCATATTAATCATAGTTGTTTTTAATTTCTATTTTGAATTTTTCATATACCTACCATATCTGAGTCTGATTCTGTGTGTGTGTGTGTGTGTGTGTGTGTGTGTGTGTGTGTGTGTGTTTTCTTTTCCTTTTTTTTTTTTTTTGCCTTTCAGTATGCCTTGTAATTTTTTCTTGATATTTGGACATGATGCATTGGATAAAATCAACTGCTGTAAGTAGGCCTTTAGCAATGTGTTGGTAAGGTGTGGTGGGAGAAATGTTCTATCATCCTCTGATTAGGTCTCAGACTTTTAGTGAGCCTATGCCCCTGGATTGTGAACTTTGCAAGTGCTTCTCTGCCATTCACCCTTCTTTAAGTGGAATTGGATGGTCCAAGTGGGCTCAATTTGTGTACTTCCCTTCTCCCATGAGGAAGGCTAAAGGAAGCTAGAGTTGGGTATTTCCCTTCCCTTGGGTCAGTTAGTCTCCGATAAAACCCTAGCAAGTTGGCCTATGCTTAACTAGTTTCTGTGGAGGGCAGACCTTGATAAGAAGAATAGAGTGCTCTGGTGTATTTCAAAATGGTTTCTTTCTTTCTCCTGCCAGAACCATGAAGGGATTTTTTTTTTTTCTGATTATCACTGTGAGGATTTGATAGAGCTCCTGGAGATAAAACTCATAAAAACATGGGCTCCCCCTTTGACTAGCTCCCCCTGAAGGTTTTAATTCTCATTCATATCCCTGATGAGCCTCCAGCAATTCATCAATTATAGTTCGGATTTTCCTGCTTTCCACAGTTACTGTAGGGCTTCTATTTTGGTAAGCTGTGATTCTCTGTATTTGCCTGTCTGCCTCAAATGTTAGGGGCAGTATTCACTCTGTGACCTCATTTTTCTTGCAGATTTTAGAAAAGTTGTTGATTTTTTAATTTGTTCATTTTTCTTGTTGTTGTCACTTGTTAGATGAAGTGAGGACTTCCAAGCTTCTTATTTGCAGGAGTAAGAGCTAAAAAGTCCCTCTTATTTTTCTAATATAAATGTTTAATGCTATCATGTCCCCTCTAAAAACTCTTTGAAATGCATCTCCTCAATAAAACATGTTGTATTTTTATTTTCATTAAACTGAGAATATTTTCTAGTTTTCTCATTGACTCATCAGTTATTTAGAAGTTTTGTTTTTAAATTTTCAAATATATGGGATTTCCCATATAACTCTCTGTTACTGATTTCTAGTTTAATTTCACCATGGTCAGAGAACATACTCTGCATCATATTATTTAAAATATATTGAAGTTTTATTACCCAAAATATGGCCTCTTGATGAATGTTCCATGTAAACTTTAAAGGAATGTGTATTCTGCTCTTTTTAGATAGCTGAGTAAGGAGTGTTAATGTTATCAAGAAAAATTGTAGATTTGTTTATTTCTTTTTTTGTTTCTATCAGTTTTTGCCTCATGTATTTGAAACTAAGTTGATAGGTACATAAACATTAAAAATTGTCATTTCTTCTTTTGAATTGACTCCTTTTATTATATGTGATTCTTTATTCCTAGTAAATTCCTTATACTAAAGTCCACTCGGTCTGATATTAATATGGTCATTCTAGCTTTCTTTCAGTTAATGAGTTCACTTTTCACCTATCTATATTCTTATGTTTAACTTAGATTCTTTTTAGATATGTAGATATAGTTTGAGATAGTTTGGTTTACTTTTTTATCCAGTTTTAAGATACCTGTCTTTTAATTTGTGTTTAAATGTTTAAGATAATTATTAATAATGTAGAATTAAATTTTACGCTTAGTCGTTTTCATTTAATATGTTATTTTTTCTTTTATTCTTCCTTTTTGCCTACTTTTGATCAATTGAGTATTTTATTCAATTTTAACATCACCATTTGTTTATTACTAAATACTTTAAGTTGTTTAATTGTTTCCATGGTTTACAATATTTATATTTTTTAATAGTAATCTATCTTCGTGTAATATACTACTTTACATGTAGCATAAGAACCTTCCATCAATATATCTCCAATTGTTAGTCTATCTTTTATGCTATTTTTGTCATACATTTTAACTTTTATGCACTATAACCCACAATACATTACTACTATTTTTGTATTAGACAGTCATTTATGTTTTAGAGTAATTACAAATAAGAAACAGATGTATTTTACATTTACTTTTATTTTAACCATTTCTGTTGATCTTCATTTCTTCATGTAGATTCAAGTTTCTAAGTATTATCACATTCCTTCTGCCTGAATAACTTCCTTATTTTTCAAAGTACAGGTGTTCTTGGAATAAATTATTTCAGCTTTGGTTTGTCTCAATTAATATTTATATCTTATTTTTTAAAAATAACTTTTTCTGGTTATTACTTTCTTGATTTGGCAGGATTTTTTTTCAGCATATTGCTAATGTTACTTGATCATCTATAGTTTCTAATGAAAAGTATGATGTCTTTCTTCTATCTTTGCAACTATATGCACTGTGTATCTGTGCCTTTTTCTTTCTGTCTACCTCCTAGATTTTTCTGTATTTCTGGTTTAAAGCAGTTGAAATATGATATGGAAGTTGTGTATGCATGTGTGAGTGTATGTATCTCTGTGTGTATGCATTTATTTAGCTCAGGAATCTCTTACCTTGTTAAATCTGAGGTTTGATATCCTTTATTTTTGTGAAAATTATTACCAATTATATCTTCAGATATTTTTGTCTCCCATTCTGTTGCTCTTTCAGTAGTCTGATTGCATGTATGTTACATTGTCTGATGACATTCCACAGCTTTGGAAGCTCTCTTTTCTGTTTTTCTCCTGTTTTTCTTTTCTTTTTATATTTTACTTTGGAAAATTTTTATTGACTCATCTGCAAACTCACTGATATTTTACTCAGCTGTGTCAGTTTACTCATTAGCCCATTGAAGGCATTCTTTATGTCCACGATTTTGGTTTTATTCTACTATTTCCATTCAACTTTTTTGTAGTTTTCATTCTCTGTTGAAATTCTTCATCTGTTCATTCATGCAGTGTATCTTTTTCACTAAAGCCTTTAACATAATTATCATAACTATATTATTTTCCTGTTCATTTTAATATCTAGTTAATCTGAGTCTTGTTCTATTGATTGCTTGATCTCTTGGGATTTTCTTTTTTATTTCCTTAATTTTTTTGGTGTTTCTCATAGTTATGTTTGATTATACTATGTAGCACATAGAAGTATTGAGACTAAGATAAATCATATTTATGTCTGGCATTGGGAACACCTTTTCTTCTGCTAGGCCATTAATATTATGGGTTGAGTGAATCTACTTAGGATTTCTTTGACATCTGGATTTTGTTGTTGGTATTTTACCTTCTTTATACTTTTTATGTGGCGTGGGATTTGGTTTGTCAGAGAGTTTTTCTCAATGTTTATGCTCAACTATGAACTTCAGTTTACCCCTGCACTCATGCTTTTCAAATAGAATCTCTCTTTTTACCCTTGTCCTTGCCCCCACCCTTCCAACAATAGTAAAATGCCATTGCTTCTTCCTCATTGCTTGTTAGCTTGGTGCTGGTCATTGTGAACATTTTCTTGGAGGTGGAATTTCTCAACATTCCTGCCCCTCATCTAGCAGTAAGATATCTCTGTTTCCTGTTCTCCATGCCAAGGGCTAGATTTTCTTTTCTTTTAACCTTCCCCTAGACACAAGAGATCTTTTCCTGCACCCCAGGAACTACAGGGTTTACTGCTGCTCTCTCAGCCACTTAAGGCTTTGTTCTGTGGAGAAAAGGTACTAGGTGTGAGCTTTGCGCTTTCTAACAGTGGCAGTCACATACTTCACTCAGACCTACAACAAGGATGGAGTCTTTCTCCATCCTTGCTTTCTCCCTAGCCCACATTTGCCATTTTGTGTTTCTTCAAACCTTTTAGCTAATTTCCTTTTATATGCTTATATTGCAAAAAACACCTATTCCTTATTCTACCAGAAATGAAAACAATCAAAAATACAGAAGACAAATCCTGCCCTTGGGCAGGTTCACAAACTCTCAGGAATGTTTTGTACTGACTGCTTTTTCACTTTAAGTCCATATTAGTTGCTTTAGTTTTTGTAGGTCAACATAAATTCTGGGCATTTAACACTGTAATTAGTTTATCAGATAGGATGTATTAATTTGCTTCTTGCTCCTAACTCTAAGAGTAACCCAATTCTACTTTTTGACTAATGTCCCAAATCACTGCTTGAGTTTTTCTAGTAGATTTACTTCATGTCCAAGCAGCTAAGATAATAAAAACAATCTGTTGAATGAGTTCTTGAATCCTTCCTCCAAAAGCCCGTAATATTCTTCTACCAATGGGATATGGTAGCCTTGGGAACCACCCCCATTATCATTCAACTACACTTGCCTCCCAAAACGTCTAGCACTAAGATATAATAGAATTACTTTGCTAACCTCTTTGTTCTTGATATTTTGCAAATTGGCATAGGCCTCTTTGAGAATTTTCATTTTTCTTAAATATAACGGTGCAGTTCACAAAGTTAGAGATTTTTTTTTCCTTATAACATCTGTTTCAGAAATCATTATAGCTCAAGTTTCTTCATGGCATAAATTGCCTTATTTTGATTTCATCAGTTTTTATGTCATTTCTTTTTCATGTCAATATGATTATGGCTATATTTAGAAATTGCATTTTCAGACAACCTTTGCTTATCTGGCTGCACTTCTTATGCACATGTTTTTGGGCTTTAATTTCCATGCAGATATATTCTTTCTCTTGGCAACTTACCTTCCTTGTTTCCACTAGCTACCTACACACAAAATCTAGATAGATTTAATACTTTAGTGCTTTTAAGTCAAAATGGTGGAACACTTTTATTTCTCACTGATATTTGCTTTCCTACTCTTCATAAACTTGTATACAAATTATACAAATGATCTCAAAATACTGTTTAAGTAAGATTTTGTGTTTCTTTTTACATTGCTAACTTGAAGAATAGCACACATATTCTCAATCCAAGTGATCAGGGAAGTAGACAGCCTCCCACTGAGGTCCCCAAAAGCCAGTGCTAATGGACCCATACAGAGAAGCTATTGTGCTGGGGTGAATCTCTCAACCAGTGCAGCACAGCAATATTGGTTTTGACATGTATATATTCATTACATTGACTTAATGATACAGAAGACTCATATCTATATAAAATTGTACATCCTGTTGGCTAGGCTGTAGTCCTAAAAATGTGGCCATAAGAAAGGAGAATGACAATAGGAAGTGGTGAACATACTAAATAGTATTTCCTTTTTAACCACAAATTTTAAAAGTATATTTTAGCTCTTTATGCATGCATTTAATATATTTATTTATTTATTTATTTATTTGAGACGGAGTTTCACTCATGTTGCCAGGCTGGGGTGCAATGGCGCAATCTCGGCTCACTGCAACCTCCACCTCCCGGAAAGCAATTCTCCTGCCTCAGCCTCCTGAGTAGTGAGATTACAGGCGCCCGCCACCACGCCCAGCTAATTTTTGTATTTTTAGTAGAGACGGGGTTTCTCCATGTTGGTCAGCTTGGTCTCCAACTCCCGACCTCAAGTGATCCTCCCACCTCGGCCTCCCCAAATGCTGAGATTACAGGCGTGAGCCACTGCACCCAACCTATTTTTTGTTGGTGGTGGTTGAGAGTACTTTTGAAAAGTTTATAAAAATCTACTGAACTCTTTCCAAATAGTGATGTAGATGGAGAAACTTCCATTTTGGCATTGGCTCTTGGAAAGCTTCCCCCATCCCTCTTTGAGCTTTGTAATTAGTGCTACCTCAAGCACCAAGTTATGAGTAAAATTGCTTAATGAAAGACCCACTCTCAGAACCTGCTATGGGCTGGTGGAATATAGGGCTGCTAAACAAGATTAGATAGGAGAGGCCAAAAAACAGGCATTTCTCTTGTCCACTCCCCAAATGCTAATTTTATTACAGCATCACAGTATCTCAATTCTGCTTTTTGATTGGGCCACTGGAGACTCCTTCAAAATCTTTATTTTATCATTAAGAGGGACTATGGCCCAAATCTTTAAGAACATGGGCCATAGAACAAGATCCTTTGTGCTATAATCTTTTTTTCTGATACTATGGGAAAATTATTTAATCTTATTCCTAAGACAGGAGGTCAAGAGACCTCTTAAGATTGCTATGAGTAAATAAAATATCCATAACCCATTCTTAAAATAGCCCCTGACACTTAGTAAAACACTCCTTAAATATTAGCAATTAGTGTTATTATCTAAGAGGAGAAAGACATTCATTGTGAAACACTTAAGTCCTTTGACAGAAAGTACTTCTCATTATAGCAGGATTCTGCAGGGATGAAACAGAGAAGGTCAGAATCTGTCTTAAGCACTAAAAGCTGATAAGAAAACGAAAACTTGGTTTTGTCTATTATATCTAACTATACATACACATATTTTATGAATGATATTTAAGAATATTGAAGAACAATGACAAATTATATATATATGTGTTATGTGTACACACAAAACAATAGCTATACTTATATATACACATAATATTTGTCATTCTTTTTTTTTTTTTTTTTTTGAGACGGAGTCTTGCTCTGTTGCCCAGGCTGGAGTGCAGTGGCACGATCTGGGCTCACTGCAAGCTCCACCTCCTGGGTTCACGCCATTGTCCTGCCTCAGCCTCCCAAGTAGCTGGGACTACAGGTGCCCGCCACCATGCCCGGCTAATTTTTTGTATTTTTAGTAGAGATGGGGTTTCACCGTATTAGCCAGGATGGTCTCGATCTCCTGACCTTGTGATCCGCCCACCTCGGCCTCCCAAAGTGCTGGGATTACAGGCATGAGCCACCGCATATTTGTCATTCTTAAAGATGGTTTCCAAAATTGTATTTCAGGCCCAAGACAAGGATCCTCTCCTGTCAAGCTGAGCAGTTTGACTCCAAATTTAATGTACCTATGAACCACTTGGGGATTTTTTTATAAGACGGATTTTTATTATATAGGTCTGGAGTGAGGCCCAAGATTCTAATGGGCTGATAACAATGCTGATGGTCTCTCTGGGAGAATATTATGGGTAACAAGGACCGAGAGCATTTTGAGTAGAGATAAAAGTTGAGCACAAGACTCTACCTACTCATTCTCTGCTGTGTCCCATCAATACTGCCAGCACAGCTACCCTGATCCAAATCCCTTAATAACCAGTGCTATTAATGAGCCTGCACTTTCCCTGGGTGATATACTGTGCTGTCAGAACATACTCAGCATAGCTGAAGAGTGGAAATGCAATCAGATTGTCATTTGGCTGTTTGGGTACTGATCCTGTTGCCTTTGATTAAAAATACATAAGCTTTCCTGCTTCCAAGTCATACCCTCTGGGGACATAATGCGGCTCAGGGAAGGGTCTCTAATGCCTCCATGGAAAACACTCCATTACCTGACCCTCTGATAATTATAAACCCCTTGTGAGGTCAGAATCTCATTATCCAACACTTACAGGATGTTTGCTATTTGGCACTGGATAGGCCACAGTTTCACAAATAGTGGCACTAATAGAAACATTAGAGACCCTTTAATCCAACTTTCTCTACTCACAGATACTACATGTGAAGTCTGGAGGTATTAACTGACTTGTGCAAGATAACACAGCAAGTTAGGAACACAATTTTCTCCTCAGCCCATCTCTCCTCTAAACAATGTTATTGCTGAGAGGATGGAGGGTAAGCTTTACATAGGAAAAGAATGCTAACCACCCATGGTAACTTGTAACATGCAGAACAGTGGTGCGTTTACTGAGGCATTTGAATGGGAAATTCTATAAGGACAGAGATGGCCAAGGAAAGTCTTAAAGGATATATGGGAATGAAGTTGGACTTTAAAAGAAGAAAGAACCAGATCCAAATTCAGTCCTCCAGTGAGAGAATCACATTAAAAAAGGCTATGCTTGATGCTCATCCTGGAACCTGGATGGTTATAATGAAATCTATGAAGATCTCAAGAAAGCATCTTCATTGGTATAATTCGAAACCATGCCAGCTGGGCAGGTAAATCATGTAAACTGCATCACTGCTATCAGAATATTTTAAGGAAATGAGGAAAGGCTAGGTATGTTTCTATTCATGGAACCAAGGGGATGGCTGTGATAAAGAAGACTTAGTCTTTGGAGAGACCACCAAACAAGGTATGTCTGGGTTCTAAAAACTTGAGATATTGATGAACACCTCTCAGATGCAGGAGCAGAAGGTCCAGGCAGATCCTGGAGATGACTCTATTCCTGGTGACTGGGATTTAAGTAACAAGAGCTTAATCCCCAGGAGGATGTTTTGAGTAAATAGATCCTGGAAAACAAAGGATACTGGAAGGAAAACAAAGGCAGGTTTAGGCATAAGGATGTAAGATAGGCTGGAACCAGGATATTAAGAGGTTAATTAATTTCCAGAAATAAAATAATATCAGGGGTGTTGGCATTCAGACACATGGTCAGAGCAGGGCCCAGGACATGGCTAACATGGCACTTGCCGGCCAGCCTAAGGATTTGAGGACAAGGACAAGATTATCTACAGGTAGAGATGGATGAGTTAACTGGCTACAATTTGGATGGTTATGGCAATGAAATCTAGGATTGAAGCATTTCACCATAAACAGGGACAAGCTTCTCTCCATGACTATGAAGGTCATCGGCTACGTTAATGTGCAAGAGTGTGCTGTAAAGACAAAGACATCACAACACTAAAACTAGGTAGCTAGAGCTTGGACTCTGAAGCCAAGTCATTATGTCATTTTGCTGCTTCCATGTACCTAGGGATGATGTGCTTGGCCTGTGAGCAGATCTCAGAGATCGGAGGTAAGTCTGGGTTAAAGTTTGGAGTCTGACACTGATCTATTGTGTGATCTAAATCAAAGCACTTTTTTTTTTACTGCCCCAAGCCAAATTTGTTAATCCATAAAATTGAATAGGGAGGCTGACTTGATCATGCCAAACCTTTTAGGGTATTGTTTTAATATTTTTTTATTTCAAAATAACTTCAGATTTATAAAAAGTTACAAAAATAGTCAGTAACTACATACACTGTATACCTTTCAACCACATTCCCCAAGCATTAACTTTTTAAAAAATCATGTTTGCTTTAACATACTGTGTGTGAGTGTCACTTTTTTTCCAAATCATTTGAGAGTAGGTTATAGACATGACATCCTGCTACCCCTACATACTTCAGTTTGTAATTCCTAAAAGTAAGAACATTCTCTTACATATGCCCAAATAATTATAAAAATCAGGAAATTTACTGTTAAACTATATTATTCATCCTAAAAGGAATTATTCAGATTTTGTCAGTTATTCCAAAATCCCCTTTAGGGAAATCTGCTTTTTGGGAGGTAGCAAGGTCTGGTGTAGGCCTAATCCAGGATTGCATGTTGTATTTAGCTGTCATATGTCTTAAATTTCTTTTAATCTAGAATAGTTTCTGTCTTTGTATTTCATCTTCTTAACATTTTGAAGAGTGTTAGCCATATTTTTTTGGTAAAACGTCCCTCAATAGTGTTTTTGATATTTCCTCATGGGTTAATTCAGGGTATATGTATTAGTCCATCCTCATGCTGCTATAAGAACATACCTGAAACTGGGTAATTTATAAAGGAAAGAAGTTTAACTGACTCACAGTTCTACATGGCTGGGGAGGCCTCAGGAAACTTACAACCATGATAGAAGGGGAAGCAAACACGTCTTTCTTCACATGATGGCAGGAGAGAGAAGTGCAGAGTGAAGCAGGGAAAAGCCCCTTATAAAACCATCAGATCTCGTGAGAACTCACTCACTATCACAAGAAGAGCATGGGGGACCACTTCCATGATCTAATCACCTTCCACAAGGTCCATCTTCCAACACGTGGGGATTACAATTCAGATTACAATTCAAGATGAGATTTGGGTGGGGACACAGAGCCAGACCATAGCAGTATGAATTTTTGACAGGAATAATGTTGACTTCATATTTGTCATCAGAATCAAATGCAATAATGTATACGAATGTGCTTTGGTTAAATGTAAAGTTCTATTACAAACCTAGGGTTGAGGACCGAATTCTCTATCTTCTCTCTGTTCTTATCTCCTAGAATGCATGAAAAGTACCCTGGGGAGACAAATGTTTCATTTAGGTACAGTAATGAAACTGGAGGATATAAGTCAGTTCTGCATCATGTTCGCCGTGACAGAAACTTTAAAATACTGGCATTAGAATAACCTAGAGGATCCCTAGCCTCCTCTGGACCTCTATGTTTTTTCCTTACACAGGGATTTCTCCTTGTAAAATCCTTACACATTTAATTCCTTCTTGGTATTTGAGGACCTGAACTAATACACGGAACTACTGTTCTGCTGAACACTGTGGGAAAAATATGAGAGAAAAAAATTATCTCTGACTGAAGAGTGGAGCACGCTACTGAAATAGACAAGTTGTCTGGCAGAGGACATCTCATGAATACCTCTCCCTGCCAAAGTCCAAACTACAGCATTTGATAAAGTAAACACTGAAATACCCCAACCATTTACATTTCAGAGAGAGCAGAGAATGCCAACTTTATCCCAGAGTGAACACCCAGTTTGGTCAGGGATAGAAAGGCAGAACAGAGGCCCCAGGAAGGGAAAGGAGAAGGGAAGATACATAATATGGATCCAGTAATTTGCCATAATAACAAGTGTCCCCTTAAGCAAGAAGAGTAAAGTTTATTGGTTTTATATTAGTTGATAGTAAGAACAATGATTAAGAATGAGAGGAAAACATCCACCTCCCTGAAGGAGATTCTAAATGGGGTTTCTAACATTTCCAGCTCTCAAATGAGGATGGGTAATGATCCCTCATATTTCATTCTTAATGTGTCATGTAAACAACTAGGAGACAAGCCTGCCTGGAGTTGCAGCCAACATACCAGTTTTCTCTAGCTAAGACTATATCTGATGTGTGAAAGGCACATCAGCCTTTCAGAGGTGGAAGAGTCAATGTTCCCCAGGGCTTCCTGTTGGTTTGCATCTTTGGTGATGCTTGGAAGGCAAGTATGCTAGTCCCAGAATCACCCACAGTCTGACTTGCACAGCCTCAGGGGACTGCTCCGGCAGCCTTTGTGAGGAGTCTAAAGTGCCTCTGGCACTCCTCAAAGTACTGAATGATCCAGGTGGAAACCTGGGAGTGAAAAGGAAAAAAAACATTTGACTTATGTCTACATTTATTGAAAAAAAAAATAGGATGCTGTGTTCAGTTATAAAGATCTCAAGAAAACATCCTCATTGGTCTAATTTGAAACCATACCAGCTGGGCAGATAAATCATTACATAAACTGCATCACTGCTATCAGAATATTTTAATGAAATGAGGAAAGGCTACGTATGTTTATATTCATGAATTCTCTTCATCACACACACACCAATGCTGAATTTGCTATAATTAGTTTTGTTCTCTACAGAAAACTTCATTTATTGGGGATGCCATTAAACAAGTGAAATACAAATTACAAGTGACATTGATATGATCATAATCACTCCTTCCTGGCTTCCAGAGATATTTTCTGAGAGGAGCCTGCATTTCTACAGATGGCATAAAAAAATGAGGCCTGCAGAACACACCATTATTCCTGCGAGGCCCTCAGTTCATTAGTTGAAGCAGCCAAGTCTTCACGAGCCGCAACTGATCAGCAAATGGGAAATGAGCAAGAGTATAAATTCCCAGCAAACCAAATCATTAACATTTGCTGCCTGCATCCTGGAAACACAGTAAATCAAATGTGTCATCATTTATCAAGACAAAATATCATTACTAATTGGGATTAATTTGCTGCTGTGGGATTGCTGACCTTTGCTGAAAGAAAATAAAACTGCTCGTTAGCTGTCTTCATTTAATTTTCCTTGAAGTAGGGAGAGGGGAAAAGGCATTCTGGCTTAGGGAGGAGGGAGGAAAGGTAGGGTGGAGTGTTCTTATCTTCCTAACACTACACATTTTAAAGTCACAACTTGATGAGAGAACCTGCTCCTATGCTGTTGCCAATCCATAATCCAGGGTTTTCTATTTGTGATAACAATGCCTCTGGTTGTCATTGTCTGTGATTTAACACTGTCTTGGGAAATAATAATTAAAATAATTGCCAGGGTAAAATTATACCTGGTTTCGTTTATAAATAGGAAAAGGCAAGCCCATTGCAACTCTAGGATTTATCTTTCTGCACTAACATTAAAGGTGATTCAAAAGAAATAACACATAAGTCTGAGCATCCCCAGTGATTCTACATCTGCCTGGGGTCTACATGGAACCATTGACTCAATTATTTTGGGTATTAACTTTTACTCTAGTAGGTATCAATTTTTTTTTTTAGGGCAGATGAATATGTGTGCTATGCTAAATGGCTGTAAATGCTGGAGTCAGGATTCTTGTCTTTAGACTCTAAGGAAACTGTGGATCCTGAGATGTCAACTGTGGATTCAAATCAACACATTAAACACCACTGATATTTACATTTTGTAAAACACTGCATACAAATTTTATTTATCTTGATCGTTGAGTTATTTGATGCCCCCTTAAATTTTGCTTCTGAGGAAAGTATCTCATTCACCTTACCCTAGTTGTGACAGGCAATGTTGAAGATTAAATGATTTACTCATCACAACACCTAATGGGAAAACTGAAGATGAATAACCTTCCAAACCTGGCAAACAGTAGAATCAGGACCCAAATGGAGAGCATCAATGCCTTGTTTCAGCATCCATGCTCCTAATACTGCTATTCCTCTTAGCTACTGCGAGCAAATCAGAGTGGATTAAGAAGTGGACCATGCCACCAAGTGGCGTCATGGGAATTTTAGACACACATATACTAACATGCGAACACACATACACATACACACTCACATACACGTACTTGAAACAATTATATACCAGGCAATAATTAAGAATGTGTGGGTGAGCCAATGTGTGCTACTGTGAAATTGAAGGTGAAAAAATGAAACCCCAATTGTTTTATTTAGGACTTCTACAAAGCACTGCACTGCCAAATCTGCAAGTCAGCGCTAGCCACTTGCTATGAAACACAAAATTCTGGACCAAAGCAGGAAAGGGGTTAAGGCAAATGTGCAGTCCAAGGCCTGGACACATCGTAAGTCTCTGATCAAACTGTTTTGGGAGTTTGCAAATTTCCAATTCAAAAATGCCTTACTTATTTTGTCAACATAAGCTAATATGCAGTGGTAGGAAGCATATTAATATTTCTTCTTAATTGTTTTAAAACAATTTTCTCCTCTTAACTAGGAAAAACATTCTTCTCATATTTTTGCACTGTAGTGTGAGTTGCAAACTTTGTGTAACTTTTTTATTTTTTAAATTTTTGTGGGTACATAGCAGGCATATATATTTATTGGGTACATGAGATGTTTTGATACAGGTGTGCAACATGTAATAATCATATCATGGAGAATGGGGTATTTATCCCCTCAAGCATTTATCCTTTGTGTTACAAACAATCCAATTATACTCTTTTAGTTATTTTTAAATATGCAATTAAATTATTATTGACTATAGTAACCCTGTTGTGCTAACAAATAGCAGGTCTTATTCATTCTTTCTATATCCTTTTGTACCCATTAATCATCCCTCAACTCCCTACCACCATCCCCGCTCTACCCTTTCCAGTCTCTGGTATCCATCCTTCCACTCTCTATCTCCATGAATTCAATTGTTTTAATTTTTAAATCTCATAAATAAGTGAGAACACGTGATGTTGGTTTTTCTGTGCCTGTTTTGTTTCACTTAACATAATGATCTCCAGTACCACCCATGTTGTTGCAAATGACTGGATCTCATTCCTTTTTATGGCTGAATAGTACTTCATTGTGTACATGTATCACTTTTTAAAATCCATTAATCTGTTGATGGACACTAAGATTGCTTCCAAGTCTTGGCTATTGTGAACAGTGCTGCAACAAATGTGAGTGTGCAGATATCTCTTTGATATACTAATTTCCTTTCCTTTGGATATTTCCCAGCAGTGGGACTGCCAGATCACATGGTAGCTCTATTTTTAGATTTTTGAGGACACTCCAAACTGTTCTCTATAGTAGATGTACAAATTTACATTCCCACCAACAGTGTATGATCTTTTCATCCTCACCAGCATTTGTTATTACCTGTCTTTTGGGAAAAGAAAAAGCCACTTTAACTGGGGTGAGATAATTCATAGTAGTTTTGGTTTGCATTTCTCTGATGATTAATGCTGTTGAGCACCTTTTCATATGCCTGTTTTCTATTTGCATGTCTTCTTTTGAGAAGTATCAATTCAAATCTTTTGCCCATTTTTTTCCTATAGAATTATTGGAGTTTCTTATGTATTCCGGTTATTAACCCCTTGTCAGAGGGTTAATTTGCAAATATTTTATCCCATTCTATGGGTTGTCTCTTCACTTTATTGACTGTATCCTTTGCTGTGCAGAAGCTTTTTAACTTGATGTGATCCCTCTTGTCCACTTTTGCTTTGGTTGCCTGTACTTCTGAGGTATTGTTCAAAAAATGTTTGCCCAGACCAATGTCCTGGAGACTTTCCCCAATGTTTTCTTGTAGTAGGTTCATAGTTTGGGCTCTTAGATTTAAGTCTGTAATCCATTTTGATTTGAGCTTTGTATATGATGAGAGACAGGGGTTTAATTTCATTCTTCTGCATATGGATATTCACTTTTCCCAGCACCATTTATTGACCAGACTGTCTTTTGTCCACTGTATGTTCTTGGCACCTTTGTTGAAAATGAGTTTACTGTAGGTGTGTGAATTTGTTTTTGAGTTCTCTATTCTGTTCCATTGGTCAATGTGTCTGTTTTTATGCCAGTATCATACTGTCTTGGTTATTGTATTTCTGTAGTATAATTTGAAGTCAACTAATATTATTCCTATAGTTTTGTTCTTTTTGTTTGGGACAGCTTTGGCTATTCTGGGTCTTTTGTGGTTCCATGTAAATAATAGGATTTTTTTTCTATTTCCGTGAAGAATTTTATTGGTAGTTTGATAGGTATTACATAGAATCTGTACAGTGCTTTGGGTGGCATGGACATTTTAACCACATTATTCTTCCAATCCATGAACATGGAATATCTTTCTGGTTTTGGTGTCCTCTTCAATTTGTTTCAACACTGTTTTATACTTTTCATTATAGAGATCTTTCAGGTATTTGGTTGATTCCTAGGTATTTAATTTTATTTTATTTGTGGCTATTGTAAATGGGATTACATTTTTATTTCTTTTTTTTAGATTGTTCACTTTTGGCATATTGAAATGCTACTAATTTTTGCACGTTGATTTTGTATGCTGTAACTTCACTGAATTTGGTTATAAGTTCTAATCATTTTTTTGTGGAGTCTTTAGGTTATACCAAATATAAGATCATGTCATCTACAAACAAGTATAATTTAAATTTTTCCTTTCCAATTTGGATGCCCTTTATTTCTTTCTTTTGTCTGATTGCTCTAGGTAGGGCTTCCAGTACTATGTTGAATAACAGTAGTGACAATGGGCATTCTTGTGTTCCAAATCTTTGAGGAAAGGCTTTCAGTTTTTCCCATAGTGCAGGTCTGATAAATGGCTTTTATTCTGTTGATTTATATTCCTTCTATACACAGTTTTTTGAGAGTTTTTTTCAAGAAGTGATGTTGAAGTTTATTAAATGTTTTTCCAGCATCAATTTAAATGATCACATGGTTTTTGTACTTCATTTTGTTGATATGATGTATCACATTGATAGATTTGCATATGTTGATTCATCCTTGCATCTCTGGGACAAATCCCACTGGCTCATGATGAATGATCTTTTTAATGTACTGTTGAATTTGGTTTGCTAGTATTTTTGAAGATTTTTGCATCAATATTCATCAGAGATATTGGCCTGTAGTTTTCTGTTTTTGATATGTCTTTGTCTGGTGTGGTATCAGGGTAGTACTGACTCCACAGAATGAGTTTGGAAGTATTTCCTCCCCCTCTATTCTATGGAATAGTCTGAGCAGGATTGGTATTAATTTTTTAAATGTTTGGTAGAATTCAGCAGTGAAGCCATTAGATCTCTGATTTTACTTACTGGGAGATTTTTTTATCATGGCTTTGATTACTGTATTAGTCCATTTTCACACTGCTATGAAGAACTACCTGAGACTGGGTAATTTATGAAGACAAGAGGTTTAATTGTCTCACAGTTCTGCAGGCTTAACAGAAAGCACGACATGGAAGCCTCAGGAAACTTACAATCATGGCAGAAGGTGAAGGGAAAGCAAGCACATCTTACTATGGCAGAGCAGGAGAGAGAAAGAGAGAGAGTAAAGGGGGAAGCCCTGCACACTTTCAAACAACCAGATCGTGTGAGAACTCACTCACTATTATGAGAAAAGCAAGGGGTAAGTCTGCCCCCATGATTCAATCACCTCCTACCAGGTTCCTCCCGCAACATGTGGGGGTTACTGTTCGAGATGAGATATGGGTGGGGACTCAGAGCCAAACTATACCAATTACGTTTCTTGTTATTGGTGTGTTCAGGTTTTGGATTTCTTTCTGGTTCAATCTTAGCAGGTTGTATGTGTCTATGAATTTGTCCATTTCTTCTAGATTTTCCAATTTATTGGTCAATAAGTGGTCATAGTAGCCACTAATGATCCTTTGAATTTCTACAGTATCAGTTGTAATGTCTTCTTTTCATTTCTGATTTATTTGGATTTTCCCTTTTTTTTTTTTTTTTTTTTTGTTCAGGCTAAAGTTGTCAATTTTGTTTAATTTTGGTTTTTTTTTAGTTATCAACTTTAACTTTTCAAGAAAACCAACCTTTTGTTTCATCAATCTTTTGTATTGTGTTCTTCATTTCAATTTTATTTATTGCTCAGATTTTCTAGTTCTTTAAGATGTATCATTAGGCTATTTATTGCAAGTTTTTCTTTCTTTATTATAACCACTTATACTGCCTTTGCTGTATCCCATAGGTTTTGGTATGTTGTTTTTATTCTCATTTGTCTCAATAATCTTTTATTTTTTTTCTTAATTTTTTCATTGATCCACTGGTCATTCAGGAGCATATTGTTTAATTTTCATGTATTTGCATAATTTCCAAAATTCTTCTTGTTGCTGATTTCTACTTTTATTCCATTGTGGTCAGAGAAGATGCTTGAGATTATTTCAATTGTTTTGAATGTTTTAAGACTTGTTTTTTGAGGTGGGGGGAGGGGGGAGGGATAGCATTTGGAGATATACCTAATGTTAAATGACGAGTTACTGGCTGCAGCACACCAACATGGCACATGTATACATATGTAACTAACCTGCATGTTGTGCACATGTACCCTAAAACTTAAAGTATAATAATAAAAGAAAAGACTTGTTTTGTGACCTAACATATTGACTATCCTTGAGAACGATTCATGTCCTGAGGAAAAGAATGTGTATGCTGCAGTTGGATGAAGTGTTCTGTAAACATCTATTAGATACATTCGGTCTATAGTGCAGATTAAGTCTGACATTTCTTTGTGGATTTTCTGTTTGGAAGAGCCACTCAATGTGGAAAATGGGCTGTTAAAGGCTCCAGCTATTGATGGTATTGGGACCTACCTCTCTCTCTTTAGCTCTAATACTATATTCCTTTATAGATCTTTATATATGCACCTATCTTTATTGGGTGCATAAATATTTAAAATTGTTATATACTCTTGTTGAATTGACCCCTTTCTCATTATACAGTGATCTTATTTTTCTCTCTTTTTTTTTTATCTTGAAATCTATTTTGTCTGATGTAAGGATACCTACTCCTGCTCTTTTTTTGTTTCCATTGGCAGGGAATATTTTTTCCATCCCTTTATTTTCAGTCTATGTGTGTCTTTATATGTGAAGTGTGTTTCTTGTAGGCAATAGATGATTGGGTCTTGTTTTTTCATCCATTCAGCCACTCTATGTCTTTTTATTGGAGAGTTTAGCCCATTTACATTCAGCGTTATTGATAAATAAGTACTTGCTTCTGCCATTTTAAAATTTGCTTCCTGGTTGTCCTATGGCTTTCTTTTCCTTCTTTCTTTCCTCCCTGTCTTTCTTTTAGTGAAGGTGATTTTCTCTGGTAATATGATTTAGTTTTTTTCATTCTATTTTTTGTGTAGCCATTATATGTTTTTTGGTTTGGGGCTACATGAAGCTTGTAAATACTCTTATAACCCATTATTTTAAGCTAATAACAACTTAAAACTGTTTGCTTAAACAAATAAACAAGCAAATAAGCAAAAAGAAAACTGACAAATACTCTACATCTTAACTTTGTCCCCCTGCTCTTTAACTTTTTTGTTTCTATTTATACGTTATTGTACTGTCTATGTCTCGAAAAGTTGTTGTAGTTCTTTTTGTTGTTTTGTTGTTACTCGTTCATCCTTTAGTCATTCTGCTAGGGATAAGAGTAATATACATACTACACTCACAGTGTTGTAATATCCTGTGTTTTTTTCTGTGTACTTACTATTACCAATGACTTTTATACTTTTAGGTGATTACCTATTGCTCACTGATATCCCTTTCTTTATGACTGAAGTACTCCCTTCAGCATTTTTTGCAGGAGAGGTCTGGTGTTGATGAAATCCCTCAGCTTTTGATTGTCTAGGAAAGTCTTTATTTCTCCTTGTTTGAAAGATATTTTCACTGGATATACTATTCTAGGATAAAAGCTTTATTCCTTCATCACTTTTAATATGTCATGCCACTCTCTCCTGGCCTGTAAGGTTTCCACTGAAAAGTCTGCTGCCAGATGTATTGGAGTTTCATTGTTTGTTATTTATTTCTTTTCTTTTGCTGCTTTTAGGATCCTTTCTTGATCCTTGATGTTTGGGGATTTGATTATTAAATGCCTGGAGGTAGTCTTCTTTGGGTTAAATCTGCTTGGTATTCTATAACCTTCATGTGTTTGGATAGTGATATCTTTCTGTAGGTTTGAGAAGTTCTCTATTATTATTGCTTTGAATAACCTTTTTATCCCTATCTCTTTCACTACCTCCTCTTTAGGGCCAATAATGCTTAGATTTGCCCTTTTGAGGCTTTTTTTTTTTTTTATTTTAGATCCTGTAGGTGTGCTTCATTTTTTAAATTTTTTTCTTTTGTCTCTTCTTGCAATGTATTTTCAAATAGCCTGCCTTAAAGTTTGCTAATTCTCTTCTGCTTGATCACTTCTGCTATTAAAAGACTCTGATGCATTCTTCAGTAATGCAAGTGCATTTTTTCAGCTGCAGAATTTCTGCTTCTTTTTTATTATTTCAATTTCTTTGTTAAATTTATCTGATAAAATTCTGAATTCCTTTGTGTTATCTTGAATTTCTTTGAGTTTCCTCAAAACAGCTATTTTGAATTCTCTATCTGAAAGGTTTGATATCTCTATTTCTCCAGGACTGGTCCCTGGTACCTTATTTATTTAGTTCATTTGGTGAGGTCATGTTTTCCTTGATTGTATTGATACTTGTAGATGTTTGTCTGTTTCTGGGCCTTGAAGTTAGGTTTTTATTATTGTTTTCACAGTCTGGGCGTTTGTATGCATTCTTCTTGGGAAGTTTTTCCAGATATTCAAAAGGACTTGAATTTTGTGATCCAGCCTGTATCTGCTTTAGGGGCCATTCCAAGCCCAGTAACACTGTGGTTCTTGCAGACTCATAGAGGTACCATCTTGATTGTCTTGGACAAGATAGACACAGGGGGATTCTCTAGATTAACAGGCAGAGACTTTTGCTTTCCTCCCTTACGTTCTCCAAAACAAATGGAGTCTCTCCCTCTTTTCTAAGCCACTTAAATCTGACAGTAGAGTGACACAAGTAGCCCTGCAGCCCCCACCATTATAACTGCACTGAGTCAGACCTGAAGCCAGCACAGCACTGAGTCTCACCCAAAGTCTGGTGTAACATCTTCTTGGTTATTGTCTGTGTTTGCTCAAGGTCCCAGGGCTCCACAATCAGTGGTGTCAAAACCAGCCAGGAACATGTTTTTCCCTTTGGAGCGGTGAGTTTTCACAGGCCCCAGTATGGTTCAGAGGTGCTGTCCAAAAGCCAGAGACTAGAGTCAAAAATCTTAGAAGTCTAACTGGAGTTCTATTATTGTACTGCAGCTGAGGTGGCACTCAGACCACAAGAGACACTCATTCTCATTCTTTACTCCCATTTCCAATGGCAGAGGAGCTTCAATCCATGGCCACTGCCACCATAGGCCCATGGGGAGTACTGCCAGACTACCAGTGATGTTTCCTTAAGGTCCAAGTGCTCTTCAATCAGTTTGCAGTGAATGCTGCCTGGCCTGGGACTCATCCTTCAGGGCAGTCCCCTCTGGCCTAGGAAAGGTGCAAAATGCCATCCAAGAGCCAAGTCCTGGAATTGGAGACCCCAAGAGCCTGCTTGGTACTCTACCCTGTGGCCAAGGTGCAAGAAAAAGCCCCCTCTACTTTCCCTCTGCTTTTCTCAAGCAGAAGGTATCCCACACCATAGGCACCACAGCTGGGAATGTGCTGAGTCTCACTGGAAGCTGGGAAGTCTCAGAGTCTCATCCAAGGCCTTTGACATAGTACCTGGGTATCACTGCTGGTTATTCAGAGCCCAAGGCTATCCACTTACCAGGTGATGAATTCTGGCAGGACTGGATCCTTCCCTTCAAGGCAGCAGGTTCCCTTCTGGCCCAGTGTATATCTAGAAATGATGTCCAGGAGCTAGGGCCTGGAAAGGGAGCCTCAAGACTCTGACTAATACACTATCCTGTTGTGGCTGAGCTGGTATCCAAGATGCAAGACAAAGTCCTTCCTACTCTTCCTTCTCAAGTGAAGAAAGGGGTCTCTTTTGGAGCCATAGTCTGTGCAGCCTGTGGTTAGGGGAAGGGTGATGCCAGCACTCCCTTAGCTGTCCCAGTTGGTGTCTAAGTATGTCACGTGCCCACTGTCTATACACTGTCTTTTGGCCCAGTTCAGCACTAGCATTTTCCTGGGAGCTGCAGTCCTTGTGCCCTCGATTGCCTTTCACATTTATTTAGATCCTCAGAGCACTTTTGCTCATGGTGGTGAGGCTTGAGGGAACTCAAGTTCTGACCACTGGGAACAGCGATTTCCCTCTGACTAGGGCTGGTTTAAATGCTCCCTCTTTGGGTGGGCATCAGCTGAGTTTGGTCCAGTTTTTCTTTATGCTATAATAGGGCAGCACTGAGTTCAATGCCTCACAATTGCTGTGCTCTCCCTCCCCAACACACAGAAATGCTCTCTGCACCATGCCGCTACTGCCAGGGGTGGGTATGAGTGAGGGGTGGCATCAGCAATTCAAGACTGTTCTTTCTACCTCTTCAATGGTATGAAGTTAAAACCAGGTACTGTGAGTGCTCACCTGATTTTTGGTTCCTATGAAGGCGCTTTGTTTACGTGTAGATAGTTGTTAAATTGATGTCCTTGCAGGGGGGATGATCAATGGAGTTTTCTATTTCACTATCTTGCTCCACCTCCTCCCTATAATAACTTGTGTAACTTTTAAAAAAAGATGTGTGAGGTGGCACATTGAGGTTGGGCGGGAGGAGGGAGGCAGGGGTGTCAAACCAGGCCAATTTCCCTTAATTCTGATATAATAAATTATAATTTTGCTAAAATGTGTGATATTTCATAGCTCAGTGTCATGGAGAGACCCCAATGCATGAGTTGTAGAAACTCTTGAAGAAGATGGGTAGTTAAGCTCCTCTGAAGGAGAAGAGCTGTGAGTTAATGCACTGCCTGCTTATGATAGAGAGAACTTGCAAAGAAGTGAGGACCAGGTGGACACATTTAGAAGTCCCACAGCCCTTACCAAAATCATGTTCCTTCAAGCCTTGTCCAAGTGCAGCTGACTTTAGGAAACTGAATTGATGACTCTGCAATGCTTCAGAAAAAATAAGTTTATGTACCTGAAAGTTATTTTAGTTCAAGACGGTCTTGTTACAGATTTTTCTTCTTCCTATTCACTCAAATCTAATCTTAAATCTTGTTGATGTTAGAATTCTCAGGCATTCAACCTTGGTCCAAATAGGTCACATAATTTCAACCACATTACTTTGTTTTTATCACTGATTGCTCTTAGTGCCTTTATCTTACCCTGAACTCAATATGGGACAGCCAAGGATTTCATGAATTTGATTTGCTAGTACCCAGAATTGACTGCCTAACATTGTTAGGAGTTAAGAAATTCCTATTCATATACAAACTTTAAAAAATCTCCCTACCCTGCACCAGCTACTAGTTTCAACTACATGATACACAGAAGTAGTTTTAATTAAAGATAATATCTATAGAGACATCAATTTTATAACCTACTCCTTCTCCAAAACTCAATTAGACTCTGAAAGTTTTAGTTAACAGCATTATAATAACTGGATTGTATGCTTAATCCTTATGGGGCCTTGTAGTTCTACCCTAAATGTCATGTAAATGTATTTTTTTATTTGGGAGTTAAGAAATAAAGACAGCATTGTTTTTTTAAAAAAAGCATAAGATGAGGTAAAAGTTTATGCAATTTTGCTAAATCCCCTAACATTTCAAATTATAGCTACAGCTCTAAAATTTTGTCTGCCAGCACCTTTCTAGTGAGGAGTTGCTAGTGATCCTCTAACTAAAAATTAGATCAATGCCCTGCACCTTCAGACTTTGGGAGGCTTCTGGTGGGGCCAACTGAATGCAATGTATGAAAAATTGAAGCCAGATTTGCTTGTAAAATTTTACTAATATTTAATAATCTCATGGTATATAGCTCAAAGGAGGAAGCTTTGACAAAAGTGTATGCAGGCTCAGACTTTCCATATTACAGTATCACTCAGTCCTCTATGAGTTATGCCCTAACATATTCACACTACTCACACCACAGCAGAGGACGTGGGGTCTACAAGATCTGCACTGTGTCTGGGGGTTATCTTATCTAGTGATCTTGCACAAGCCTGAGGCCAGTGGTTCCAGATGCTCAGAATTTCAAGACCTTTTATTAAATTGTGCATATTTATGGGATACAGAGTGATATTTTAATACATATATACAACGTGTAATGATTAAATCAGGGTAATTAGCGTATCATCACCTCAAACATTATTGTGCTGTGAACAGTCAAAATCTAGCTTTCAAAAACATACAATCAATTATAGTTGATCATATTCACGCTACAGTGCTGCAGAGCATCAGATCTCATTTCTCCCACATAGCTGTAATTTTATGTTTGTTAATTAATTTTTCCTCATCCTCCCCTTCCCACTACCTTTCCTTACCCTCTAACACTCACAATTCTACGTTGTAGTATGGCTTTTTTTAAATTCTGGATTTTTCTGGCAAAGAATGCTGTATTTCTGGCAAAGAATATTGTCCAGGGACATGTTAACTTTGTCCCCCCCACCCCATGATCCAATTCAAATAAATAAGGCAACACTAAAATTGTATAGGTCTTCCAGAGCAAGTATTGTGAAAGTCAGCAACTTCAAATGTGCTTTATACTAATTCCCTTCTATCTAATCAGTAAAGTAAAAAGGTCTATATATATTATAATGTAAAGGAAAAGAAAATATTATATACTATAGAGATATGTGTGTATATATCCTATACACTGTATATGCTATAAAGATATACTATATAAAGAATCACATTATAAGTAGCTTGCAAACTTCTAGAGACAGAAATGATGACATAAATTTCTTGCTTATATGCTATAAAGATATATAAAGAATCACATTATAAGTACCTTGCAAAATTCTTAGAGACAGAGATGATAATGTAAATTTCTTCTTTGGTTGTTTTGTTTTTTGAGTGCCAGGCGTTGTGATGGGAACCTAGAAGTCCTGAATAAATTCTTGTTGATAGTTTGAACAACTAAATAATTCAACTTTATCTGGCTAATGTTGGTCCACTCAGAGTCCAGGAAGATTTGACCACAAATCCCATTATAAGCTCATCTTTTGCCCATCTCTGAAATGAAGGTTATTACAACCATATGAATGGGTGGGACACATTTTTCATACAAGTTTGTCAGGATCGTAGTGTAGACAATCTCACATGTTTTCTTTCTCTTAACTATCTCTTAATTTCTCCACTGCAAGATAATGATCCCTGAAGTCATAACATCTCCTGCCTCAGGGTAATGATCCCTGAATTCCTATCTCCATTTATTTTACTCATTTTTCTACTACATGTTTTTTATAAAGGATCTGTCATATTTTGTTCTCTTGTGTCTATTTCTGTATTTCTGTCTTGTATTCTCCTTCTATTTTAGCTTGATTAAAATTCAAAATGAAAAATATTATTGATATCTGGTCAAGTAACTACACACTTCAAAACTCCTTGTTAGATTTTGAGACCTAATTATTCTTCTAAGCCATTCTTCTGCTTTACCTACGGATAACCCACAGGAACCTGATAAACTGATGAGAAAAGATTGAGCTGCCACTCAAGCACGCCCACTGCCATGCCCCGTCTTCCATCTCAAGGATGAAATAACACTATTTATGGTATTTTTCAATAACATTTTAGATTTAGCTCCAGAGAGCTGACCTTTATCTAAATAAGTTCTTTTGTCCCATGTTCATGTTTATGGTAGCATAAAAAACCTGCAGAAGCAACAAGAAGGCAGCAAATGATATCTTTGAAATATCACAGGGTATCTTGGCAGCAATAAAATGTACTAAGCCTTCCAAGAAGATGCAAAGTCATCCCTCAAAGAAACGACAGAATTACAGAGTTAGTAGCTGCTGATTAGGCTTACAAAGGGGACTACTCAAAGGGAATCATGGAGTGCTTTACTGAGCAATCCCTTAAAGCAAAGAGGTCTGGAGAGTTGAAACAAGCTTTAGTCTGCATTCTCCTTATTTCCACCCCCACCCCTCATTTCCCTTTTAGGCTCTTTAGAACTTAATAACAAGCCATATTGTCTTTGATCCAAGAACTCAAGCCAGTCCAAAGAGAGGTTTTGTTTTACAATATATAATTTTGATGTCAAACTCCAAACTTTTCATTTTTCTTATTTTCTTGATAAAAGGAAGACCTGGCAATATCAGGCCCACATTTCCACAGGGCAACAACGGTTATTGCTGGGCAATGACTTTCTCATTTGGATGGGTTCATGTCTATTTTTACCATAGTATCTACTATCTCTTAAATTATTTCACTTAATAATTCATTTATGTAATATAGTTGAACTCTGAAGACATTTGCAACTTCTGCCTTAAACCTTCTGAGAGGTAAAAGGTAACTTGTTCAGGACTTATCCCTGGCAACCTGGCCTTCCCAAGCTCCATAGAAACTGAGTATAGTCCAGTGATCATAGCAAGCAATCCTAGTCTGAATTCTAGTCCATCTCTCAAAATACTAAAAAACAAGACTGATGCTTCCTCAACCATGGATACTTACATGATGAATTTTGCTGTTAGCATGCCATGTCACATAACTGCAACTGCAAAGCTTGAGACTAGCTTCTTAGTCATTCCAGGAGAGGGGTTGGTTCTCAACATTAACCATGAAAGTTCAGTCGGTGAGATATGGACAAAGGCATAATTCTATCATGCTATGTTACTATTACATCCTGGTCCTTCACCAAATCAGCATGGGCTGATATTTTTCTTATCACGAAACTGAGAAGCTCAAGAGCTCAAGGGTTAGGGTCTTCTCCCCAGAGTTTGACGTTTCATGTTGCTAGATCTCTGTGCTCACACCTAGCACATAATAGGCAATAAGAACTTACACACCTGCTACTTCTTTCCTTAATTTTTCTCATAAACAGGCTTTATGACAGTGCCCCTTGGCTACTTCCTCTTGTTTCCATAACAGCTGGTACTGGGAATCTTACCAAGAACCCACCATGGGCTGTTTGGTGTAAATCAGAGGATTAGAAATCAACGTTCTGCCTTGGGGATGGGATCAGTCTTGGGGGTGTCTACTTTGGGCTGCACAACTGACTATTGGCATCGCTGGTCACTGTTTATAAAAATTAGTTCCACAAGGTCCTGAGAAATGGCATCTTTTCAGAAAATGATAAAATCTGGAATGAATTCCTAGGTTGTTAATAAGGGCCTTAGAGAGTCACTTAGAAAGGAGTGCACTCCATAGAGGTGAATATTGAACTATGTTCCCTGATAAACCATGCACAAACACTCTCTTTCTCTCTCCCTCCCCAACCCTTCCACATACAAGCACATGAACAATGGAGTATAAGGACCCACTGGATATTTGCTGAAAGTCTGACTAGTTGGTACAAGGGAGCAACAATATTAGGGAACAGCACAAAACACCTGTAACACAAAAATAAAGAGGTCTCCAAAATATAATCCATGAGAGGGGAACTAGCTGACCACTTCTTTGAAATTCCAGGGTTATCCAGTGACTCAGATGTTGATACAGAAATAAGACTGTCTAACTTGAAATGTCTCCACAAATTACTGTGTTGGATAGATAACTCGATTTCTTACTCAATTAGATGGTGAAACACCAGCAAACACAGCACGGTGATGCCCCACAGTGATGAGCTTCTTCAGCTAATGTGTCATGATGACAGACTTGCCACCCAGTGCCAGAAGTGTTAAAGGGAGAATTGGTAGCCATTTTAGTGTTTGCTAATGGAACTACTGTGCTCCCAGTTCCTCTCACTTGTTTGCCCACCTCCATCAAGACATATCATCAGTACATGCCAATAAAAGTGACTGCCAACAATAGGTCCTAAGAAGAGAAGCTGGCCGGGCACGGTGGCTCATGCCTGTAATACCAGTACTTTGGGAGGCCGAGGTGGGCAGATCACGAGGTCAGGAGTTCGAGACCAGCCTGACCAACATGGTGAAAGCCCGTCTCTACTAAAAATACAAAAATTAGCTGGGTGTGGTGGCGTGTGCCTGTAATCCCAGCTACTCAGGAGGCTGAGGCAGGAGAGTTTCTTGAACCTGGGAGGCAGAAGGTTGCAGTGAGATGAGATTGTGCCACTGCACTCCAGCCTGGGCAACACAGCAAGACTCCATCTCAAAAAAAAAGAGGCTAAGTCAGTCATACAGTGTAGCTCTTCCTCCCTCCAAGAATATATGATTTCCTCAGCCAGTAGAAAAGTCCTGGAAGCAATGATGCAAGCTTTGGTTAACCTCTACTTGATCTTTCAGTCACAACCTTATTACTTTTTCTGGACTTGCAGATGTGACCCTCCTAGGCTATTCTTACAAATGACGGTGCCCTGTTTGCCTTGGGGAAATATAATCTGCACACTGTGACTAGTGAATTGGCCAATAATCACCATTTTTTAGAGTCTCCCACAACAATAACAATAAGTTGCACTGCTCCTGGGTTGAAATGGTACGCGTTGCTAAAATAGGGAGGCATGCCACATGTTTAGAGGCCGTCTTTGTGAGGTGAACCAAGTTATTAAGAAGGCAGTTATTTAAGACTGAGTGCCTGCAGGCTCTCTTCCTGGACTGAGTTGAATTCCTTCAGAGTTCAATGGAAACTAGATACAGCCCTAGCTTCCTGATTAACAAACGTACTTGAATCCAGTCCTCCAAGCTGCCTCTGATATTATGTCTAGGCAGGGTTAGTGCTGTCATGGTGACATCTTCCTGCTAAGTTGCCAAAGTAATTGGCCAAGTCATATGGCTAGTGTCAAGGCTTGTGCATCTGCCCTGGATCACCCCAGAAGAGAGACTACTTATTTCTAATCATACCACCTGGAAGCCCCACAACCCAAGAGTAAGGATCCATTTTCTGGAGCCCAATATCCAGTCAAGCAAAATTTCTGTGGCCTGTTGTAGAAAGCAGTGGGTCACTGAGGACCTGTACACCTATCACTGCTGCTGTGAGCTTTCCCTACTGAGGGGAATCAGGCCTCCTGTGAGAGCTGCTTGGGTATGTATCTTCCTTTGCAGAGCAACACCTGAGGAGTTTGCATTTGAGCCTTCCAGCCCCCGCCCCCAGAAAACGTCTGTAACAGCCTCTATATTGTTATCTATAAATCATGCTGAATTCTTCAACTTTCTCCTATTTATATGTACAGTTCTCCATTATAGGCTACTAACAATATTGATATTTGTCTTAATATAGAAATGCTGACTGTCGGAGAAAACAAGGATGGTTTTAACCGATATCATTGTGGCCAAATACTGAAAGCCCTTATATGCCTGGGGATGTTTACAGTTCTAATGGGAAGGTGTTGTTAAACACAAAATGTCAATAGCCACAGGAAAATCAAGAGAAGCATTGAATTTTCACTTTCTTTTGTCTTGAGAATAGCTTCATCTGGGCCTATGGGTTCCTGCTCTCTGGCCAGGTTGCTGAAGCCTAGCCTTGTGAAGGGCTGTAAATATCCTGAGGATCTCCCAGGAAGAAGCCCAGAAGAAGGAGAAAGGGGTTCAGTGTCCTTGTAATTTGAATATAAAAGGATTTTAAAAAATTTTATTCCTCAAACTGATCAAGCAGGTAATATCCATAACTTATTTCAAATGCGTAATGAATTTGTATAGTTGATTTAGTTTACCTAGAAAATGTTAAATATTCATAATTAAACTATTTATAAGCCAGAAAATGTGGGCAGTAAATTCTGAGAAACATAAAATACAGAGTAATAGTAAAATTGTTATGTAATCTAACTATATATATTTTTGCATCTAAAAATAGTTTTAATAACTCTGTTTGCTAGTGTCATTTGCTTATTAGTTCTTAAACTGTGATTTCAACCTCTTTTTTTTTATAGTAGGTTAGGTGAAGCTTAGAACTGGGTCACTCAGTCCTTTGTTTGTTTTCTCCTGGTTCAAGATACATGTGTCCCTAACAGCGGACATACTCATATGGGTAAAGTCACAGCACAAATTTACTTTAGGAAACTCTTTGAATACCCACCTTTTCCCTGACTACAAGAAAGAAAAAAGGAAAGAAGGAAAGGAAGGGAAGGAATGGAGAAAGGGACGAAGGGAGGGAAGGAAGAAAGGAGGAAGGGAGGAAGGAAGGGAAAAGAAAGAAGAAAAAAACAAAAGAAAGGGGATTTAGCTGAAAGGGCATTTAGTCCCTTTCGCTTCTTGTCTTTACCTAACAGAATTGGGATTACTGCACCTATTACTCATTGCTAGCAAGTCAAGTAGCAAAGGCCAGAAGGAATGATGGTAAAATTGCTTTGGTGGTCTTAATCATGTCTGAAAAAACGATGTCAGAGGTTTTAAAGTAAGAATAAAAGCTTCATATCCTCAAAGTCACCATCATTTTACTATTGCCATCACTTTCTATTTCCAAGGCATTTGGGGATCTCTTTAAATAGTTCAGATATTAGTAACTGAGAAAACAAAGGGAGTAATCAAACATGCCATTTTATTTTAGCCTTGCAAAAATCCCCAGATCCCTCTGATTTTGTTTCTCTTTTGCTGTGCAGACAGCCTCAGGGAATTAGATCACAGCCAGCCTCATGAGGCTGAATCAATCATTCATACGTTATTTGAAATCTATTGAACAAATAAGAGAAGGAAAACAAAAAAGACACCAAGATGCCTGCTCAGTTCTTAGTATTTGGCTACATGCTTTATTTATCTGAGGTCATCCTTCGTGGACCCAGAGCCCCTTGGAGAGCTTTTGGTTGCTACGTAAGCACTTAAGTACCCTCCTATAATTGTCTGTAGGTTCATATTCTATTTTGTTCTCTGCCCTTTTGTGTTTCCTGGGCCATGTGATGAAACCACACAGGTTCAAAAACCATGGACTGAGGGCCTGAAAGAATTTGTGAGAGGCTTGTAAAGAAATCAGGTTGTGAATGTGCCAAAAGGGTTAAAAAAGAGAAAAAACAAGACAGACCTTTCCCCAAAGTAACTGTGAATTGAAAGAAGGTGATAGAGAAATTGGTGATAGATGAAAAGAACACAGTGTTATTGTTTTATTTTAATGCTGCAGGTTAGAGAAATTGAATGGATGCTCATCAGCAAGCGAATGTACCCAGAGTACCTGATCTTCATGTTGCTTAAGCAAGCTGATGGGGTTCGGTTAAGAAAAAATAAAGTCATATGAGTTTTTAGAGACCCTGTAGCATCAGAAACACCCCAAGGGGAGCCCCAGGAGTTGAAAGACAATGGAGCAGCTAAGTACTGATTTATTACTTGAATCAGTAATAAGGCCGGTCGTGGTGGCTCATGACTGTAATCCCAGCACTTTGGGAGGCTGAGGCAGGCAGATTACTTGAGTCTAGGAGTTCAAGACCAGCCTGGCCAATATGGTGAAACCCAGTGAGCTGACATCACGCCACTGCACTCCAGCCTGGGTGACAGAGCGAGACTTTGTCTCAAAACAAACAAACAAACAAACAAACAAACATCAGTAAGAACTGAAGAGGAAGAAAGCTGAGAAAACTCTGAGGGATGTGGGGTTTCCATCTGGAGAGGCTCAGTGTCCACAAGGCCCTCTCTCCTTCCTGTCACCTACTGGGCCTCTTGCACTGTATCTTAGCAGGCCCTGTGCTACTGGGAACAGATTCCTCTACCTTTGTGGGCTCTTGGTCTTTCACTCTTACATTATCTGGACTTATAAGTCCTGGCTTTTCCTTGATGGTGGTGCCTTCTCTATTCCTGTAACACTGATGCATGGAGATGAAGGAGTAATGGACACCAGTGTTCTTGTTCTTCACTGCCTCTACCAGGCTATTCAAATGAAGAAATTTCATAAGGGTTAGTAAGGTGAAGCCCGTGCCATCCATATGACACATTCTTCTTCATCATCTTTACCTGCAATTCAAAGGCATGCTTGCAGGAAGCTGGGATCACCTGAATTCATGTATCAGCTCTGCTACTTTTCTGTCTTTTGACCTTAGGGAAATAACTGGAAATATCTCACCAGTTTATGTGTCTGTAAAATGGAGATAATGACACCTATCTTTAGAAAATGTTGAAAACAATAATCTAATATGAAATAAACTTTACTGTAACTTCCTGGACAATACAATACTTTGTGGCTATTGATAAGATTGTCAAAATTATAAAATTTCTCAAGATTTTAGAATCAGTTTCAGTCTTCTTTCCCAGTCTATCTTTTAAATCATCCTCCAGGACTTCCATATCATGTGATGGTTCTAGAGAACCATTATAACTGCCTAGTCACAATACTGTACTCAACCTTTGTATGCCCACATTTCTTTCATTCTCAGACATACATCTTTCAAATGTGTAAATTGCAGGTGGGTGCATTTTACAATGGATTTTTGAAAGTTTCCATCACTTATTCACCTTAAAATCTTGCTATTTAGACAATTATGCTTCTTATAATTGATGGCCTCTTAGAACTAAGGAAATGTGATAATTCTCTTTGGCTTAGGTGACATTTTTACCATCTTTTCCTCACTTCATGTTTACAGCACCTCATCAATAACATCCTCTCATTGCCAGCTGCTGCTCAGAAGATGGTTCTAGGCATCTCCTCTGTGCATTTCTCTCATTCAATCCCGGTTTCCCCCAATTCTATAGACATGCTATTCAGAATTTCTCTCAAGGCCCACTGTATCCAACTCAGTGCAAATGCAAGAGACTTCTTTGCCTTCAGCAGCCCTGGCCTACCCTGTCAGGGCTTCATTCCTCTATGCTTAACTCTGCTGCTCTAGGCCTGCCACACCCAGCCCAGGCATCTACAGTTAGATACCAATCCTTAGAGAGGAAGTCAGAAATCTTTTTCTGCCAGAAAGTAAATATTTCTGACATAAAAAGGGTCAGATAGTAAATATTTCAGTCTTTCTGGTCTATATAGTGACTTTAACAACCATTTAACTCTGTCATTGCAATGTGAAAGCAGCTATGAAGAATATGTTAACAAATAAGTGTGGCTGTGTTTTGATAAAATTTGATTTACAAAAACAAGTGGCAGGGTATCACTCATACATTACTGGTAGGAACATAAAATGATATAGTTACTCTGTAAAATAATTTAATAGTTCTTATGGAATTAAACATGCAATTACCCTATGACCTAGCAATTGCACTCTTGGGCATTTTTCCCAGAAAAAATAAAACTTATATTCACACAAAAGCCTAAATACAAATGTTCATTATCACTTTAATCACAACAACCAAATCCTAGAAACAACCCAGATGTCCTTCAACAGAGGAATGGTTGAACTGCATAAGATCTAGTCCATGGAATACTACTGAGCAAAAAAGGACATGAACTTTTAGATACAGGCAACAATTAGGATAAATCTCCAGGGAATAGCACCCAGTGAAAAAGGCAGTTCTAAAAGGTTATAAACTATATAACTGCATTTATAAAACATTCTTGAAGTTACAAAATGATAAATGTAGAGAAGTGATTAGTGGTTGCTGGGGGTAGGGACTGGGAGGGAAGGAGGTGAGTGCGGTTATGAAGCAGCAACACAAAAGTTTCTTATGGTGAGGGAACTGTTTTGTGTCTTGATCATAGTAGTAAATATATGAACCTACACATGTGACAAAATTGCACAGAACTCTCTCTCTATCTCTCTCACACACGCACACACACACAGAAACACATAAAGGAATACAAGGAAAACTGAGGATGTTTGAATAAAATTGAGAGACTCTATCATGTCAACATTCTAGTTATGATATTGTACTAGACTTCTGTAAGATGTTACTGTTGTGGAAAACTCAGTGAAGCTTACACAAACCTCTTTTATTTTATAACTGAAAGTGAATATACAATTCTTGGAAAATAAAAAGATTACTAAAGGATAATGAACTGGTGCCAGGTCAAATAATACCTTTGAGCTGGAGTTTGCTAAGTCCTACCACAGAGCAGTAGTGTTCTCGTTTCCTTTCTAAGTGAAGCCTCTGGAGATGTGGTTCCCAATTTTCTATTTCTGGTCTTTGCCTCTCTCTCGACTCATATACTCATTTACAATTGCCTTCTATTTGTATGGCCTTCTTGTACCTATATGCTCAAACTGTTCACAATTAAGTTATCATCATTGCTGATCCTACCCCTCAAAAAACTACCCATTTCTTCCTGTTTTCCAGGTTCTTGCTCTGGGAAAAGCAGCAAGAGACATCTCTGAATCAGACTTGGTCCAAAACCAGGAGTCTGTATTCTGTCCAAAACCAGAAATCTGTGACTTCTCCTGATCCCTCTGTAGCAGTCATGTGACAAGATCGGTAGGTTCTGTTCCCCAAAATGCCTCTTCTCCTGCTGTGACTCTGGGTCAGACTTTTCTTATTTACTGTTTAAACTATCGTCAGCATCTTCTCTATGGATCGTTCTTGCTTGTTTCTCCCCATTAAGCCATCCTATGCTGACTCACACCCGGGAAGAAGGCATTGCTCTCTCAAGCCCACTCTCTGGCTCTCCCTTATTTAAGAAGGGATATCCTGGCTCCTCAGCCTGCCATCTGGGGTTCTCTACATTTTCACATCTTTTCCATAACTAGCCTTTACACTCTTCTACTTGCCTATTCATCCACTATGAATTAGCCACAATGGAAGGCTTTCTACTTCTTGCATGTTTGTCTCTTGATGTCTTTGCTTCTTCTGGTTACATGTCTAGGTTTCCATATCTCCCTGGCAATATTCTTTGAGACAGTCATAAAAACATATCATTCTCTCAGTCAACAAAATAGCCCCTCATGGATATAAACAACAGGAACACTAGAAGGATTTAGTTTCTGAGAGGTAGTGGCAGTGATATTGATTTATAACACAATAATACCCTGACAAACTCAAACCTCACAAAAAAGATGCTTGTATATGCTGGTGTGCAACACACAGATTATGTTTAACTAAACAAAGTTAATTTGTGTTTGCGATGGAATGCCCAGGCCCAAGGGGGAGACAAGTTAGATATGGTCCAAAACCATTCAGATTAATTTTGTTTAGATCACATCAATATCCCTCTTGGGTGTGTCCCACTCCTGCACCACATCATTACAGGATACCCAAGTTACCACCCTTCTGCTCTCCAAATAATACTGAATCAAGGATGATGTACCTATGGATTTTTACTGACAGTCTGGGGTGATGAAAATTCAAGGATGGACAAATCCAGATCTACAGACTATATCTGTAGGAATCTCTCTCCATTTTTTGACACTGCTTCCCTTTGTTTTGACTTTGTTTTAGATAGGTTTCCCTTTCTGATTATAAAACAAAATGAACAAACAAAAAACAGTAACAAAAGAAGCTTCAGGCTATTGTATTCTATCTTCACAATTCCATCAACTAAATATAGTCATCTCTGACCTTAACCCCCATACCAGTCTGTTTGGGCAGCTTTTATGGAACTTATATTATTTCTTTAATTATAGCTGTGTAAACTAGTTATTATACAACCTTCATCTTATTTATTTATTTATTTTTCAGACAGAGTCTTGCTCTGTCGCCCAGGCTGGAGTGCAGTGGTGTGATCTCGGCTCACTGCAACCTCTGCCTCCGGGATTCAAGCCTCCTCAGCTTCCCAAATAGCTGGGATTACAGATGTGTTCCACCACACTCGGCTGATTTTGTATTTTTAGTAGAGACAAGGTTTCACTATGTTGGTCAGGCTGGTCTTGAACTCCTCAACTCAGGTGATCTGCTCACCTCAGCCTCCCAACATCTTATTTAATTCTTACTCTTTATTTAAGTACTATTATTTCTCACATCTTAGCAGTAATAAAACTGAGTTTTAGAGACTCCCTATCAACTTGCTAGAGGTTCCTCAGCTAGTGAATAGGTCACAATTTAAACAGAGGTCATCTAGTTCCAAAGCCCACATGCCTAAGAAGTGCTCTATTTCCTATCTAAAACTTGGTCTCTTTATTCTGAAAGTGAGGAGAATTATAACTATCCTTCTTTCCTCACAGAACTGTTGTACTTATAAAAATAAAAAAGATATATGATCCTGCTTGAAATGTACTGTTAGATGTATGGGATTGTCATTTTTCCACAATTCATTTTAAACTCCATCTAATATTCACCTACATGTGAAAAATGAAAACTAAATGTTTTACTAGTATCCGAAATATATAAAGAATTCTTACAACTAAATAATAAGACAGGCAGCCTGATACTTTTTAATGTGCCAAAAATTTGAAAAGACACTTTAAAAAGAATATGTATGAATGGCCAATACACACATGAAAACATGATCAACATTATTAAGAATCAAACAAATATAAATTAGAACCACAACGAGATACTACTATTAACGCGTTAGTGCAGCTAAAATTCAAAAGAGACACTACTGTTGGGAATCTTAATGGTATGACCACTTTGGAAACTTTTGGCAATTTTGTAAAAGAAGTTTAGTATATCCTTGTCAGCCATTATACTCATATATATTTACCCAAGAGAAATTAAAACATAGGTCTCCACACAGATTTATATGTTAATATTTGTAACAGCTTTATTTCTAATAGCTAGAGACCAGCAACAATTTCACTGAACATCAACAAATGAATGGAAAGGCAAATGGTGTTACATTCATACAGTAGAATACTGTTCAGCAATAAAATGTGAATTAATTATTGACATAAGCTACACCTTGAGTAAATCACAAAATCACTATGTTCTGCGTGAAAAAAGCTAGATACAAAAGCCTACTTCCTGTATAATTGCATTTACATGAAATGTGAACTAATCCGATTAGATCAGTGTTTGCCAGGGATAGAGTGAGGAAGATAGAGTGAGGAAGATAGAGTGAGGAAAGGGTGTTTTGAAATGGTACCCAGTGGAGGTGATCTATCTTTAGTGTAGTTGCTAATTTATACAATTGTTAAAAATCACTGAATTGTACACTTTAACTGAATGCAGTTCATTGTATGTAAATTATCTCTCAATAAAGCTCATGAGGGAAAAATAAAATCAATGGATGACAGTCCAGTGTGTGACTAATTTAGACAATATGTCTTAGAGGGACGAATAATCAATGAGAGCTGGTGGCATCTCATACCAGCTCATGAGAGCTGATTGTATGCATCTTTTCCTAACTGCACAGTCAATGGACAGTCAATGACATCATATTGGTAGATTAAAACTAGCCATGATAGGAGTACATACACCATTGAAATAGACAAATGTTACTTTTTCGTACCTACCCCTATTCCTCTAAGTACCTGTTGTTAAACATTTACTAGCAAACTACTGACTAGTGTAATCTATAACATATATACTTTATGTCCAATGTTTATACTTATGTTAGTTATGTGCTTACCTCAGCTTTTAAGAATTTTATAATAAAATGGGAAATTCATGAACTGAAAGATGAACAAAAAATAACTTTCTAATTAGATTCTCATTCTAAATTTGAAAAAGAGTGATGGGACAAAAATTATGTTAGAACTGAAGTGGAAAGAGCACCAGGTTAGGAGTTAGCAGACTTAAGGCTCAACTAAATTCTGCCCACTTAACAGGCTCTGTGACCTTCATACTTCTCCTTTCTTCCCTCAGCCACAGAGTTCTCATTTCTAAAATGCAGATTATAATACTAGATGAGCTTAAATCACATGGTTGTGAGCATTAAATAAAATCATATGTTTAAAAGTGATTGGCATTATTGCTTAATTTGATGTTTCTAGAAAGTTCAAATGTCTCTCCAAATATATTGTAAACATTTTGAGTGCAGAGAACATAATAGTTGAATTATTATTTATGGATTATAGAAAGCATTTTAAAATATAAATACTAAGGGTCTTATTTCTATTTTGAGGAAGACTAGGAATTTCAGCTAGTTCCATCTTTTTTGTACATGTATATTTAGATTGATTATGTCATTATGTGTGTGATAAAATCTTTTCTCTTTACTGTAACACTTCAGCTCTGTAACTTAAAACTTCCCCATCTTAAAACAGTTTCAAATAGAACCTCTCGAGCATAGCTATAAAACTGCATCCTGCTTTCTATGCTGAAATCTAAGTAGCCTACAAAAAGAAATTGCTGAAGCTTCTTTGAAATAATAAAAGAATTATAAATAACACACACACAGCTTCAGTGGCAGTTAGGAATAGAAAAGTCAGGGTGTATTTGATGCTTCCTGAATAGAGAGGAAACTCTTGTGGCACAGAGCAAATCAAAAGTAAGGTGAATGAAGGAGGCATTGAAAAACCCCTTTGTGTCTTCCTACCCTTCAAATATGGAGGGTAAACTCTATTGAAAGGTCTTTTTGATGGTATAATAGGAGCCAATGCAAGATTGGCTATATGAAGGCAAATAGGGTTATGACTACTTGCACCTGAAACCACAGAGAGTGATTGTGGAATTTCATCAGGAAGTGATTCCAAGTGGTCTTTTAGGGACACTTGCTTGGTGGCACTAATGTCAGTACAAATATTCAGGAATAAATGCAGGGTCCAGTACTTGGATTAAAAAAAAAAACAATTTGGAGGAGAACTGAATGGATAGCCAAAGACACAACTAAGAACACTCACAACAAACATCTGGGAGTTTCAGTCAACAGTAAGCTAAGTGTCAACCAGGCTACTCTGTTGTTGTAGCAAAAGCTCCTGTGCTGGTGGAGAAATGCATTCAGGGGAAGGGTTTTAAAACCCCTACGTGTGCCACTGGTCATACCACGTGTGAAGGATTGTATTCATCTTAACATACAGCATACTCTAAGACAGACTGGACAAACAGTAGCATATGAAGAACTGGGTAAATTCAAACTGGAGATGGGGAGATTGCTGGGGTGTGTAATGAGGGCTGAAGTTAAAATAGTTGTCTTCAAAACTAAAAAGTTTTGAAGTCTCCAATTTTTCTGTTGAAGATTAAATGGTAATATGACAACTGCTTTGAAGTTACCTTATGACTCCACTTCAGTCTAAATAGATGGGAGGTTATGATAATAATATATAGAAAGAAAGGGGATGTGCCAAAGGTCACACAGCCCGTAGGTGGGCAGAACTTTCAATTTGAAAATGTATGAATTCATGACATGGAATCAAAGTTAATGAAATGAACATATTATACTCTGTCCTTGTATACAAGATGATGGTGCTGATTTAAATTGTTTTATTGTGGTAATGATGTTTGCATTGATAGACTGCCCACTTAATTCCCCTATTTGCAATTGCATGGATTTTGCTTTAGAACATTATAAAGTCTGAGGCCATGGAACTCATGAAGGACTCAAGGCTCTGAGACTGTCTTCATTAGCACTGCTCTAACAAGACTGAGACACACTCATTTTAACTGGGATCAGAACATGGCATACTTGCTTGAGTAGTTGATTTTATTATTGAAAAAGAACAATTAAGTCATTATTAAAATAGCCTTCGTAGAAGATGAATATTCAGTTATCCTTTACCTACCAATGGCTAAATTAAAGGCAATTCTCTTTATGAATTGATGCATTATTCCAGGCTCAGAAATATTGGCTCATGCATTTAATATACTATAAATACAGGATGACTTTCAAGTTAAGATAAACTAGCTTACCTATTGAGCTCAAGCTGACTGCGTTATTAATGACATCATTAAAAGTAGAAGCAATATTTTATTAATTTAAAGGATGGATGACAATGTTATAATTAGATAACATAATTCAGATCAAAACTACATTTCCATTTCTACTTGGTAAAGTTAAGCATTTTAATCTATTTTTGTACTACTAAGATAATTGAATTTTATACTTTTTCAGACAATCAATAATATTTTCTACTCATTTAAGAAAATGACAGACAGACCTAATCATGTTGATGTGTCATTGGTGAACTTGGATTAGGTTCATACAGGAGTCACTTCATTCATTCTCTCACCACCTACCATCTGCCAAGTATTTGGAAATAATATAGTAAGAAGTCACTGTCCTCATTGAGTTTATTATACATAAAACTCCAAAATGTGCCTATAATATCAGATTTGCTCAAATATATATTTAGCAAAAATATCAACTGAGTGTCAGGGATATATAAAGACATTTTTAAACATCAATATTTCAAAAAACTAATTCTGATATACTCTTCAGCAGGAAGCTTCTAGGGGACATATGCCACCAAAATAAAGGAGTAAACATGAAAAAGAAAGGCTTAGGATTTAGGACCACATTTGTTAAATTGCACCAACATGCCCTGGAAAGCCAGAAAGGGTACTACAGAAAGTTTCAGTCATCAAAGGATATATACAGTGACATTTGTTGGACATCACATGAATTACCACTAGTATTTGTTGAGACCAAAGTACTTAGCACACAGAACTATTAGGTATTTCTTTTTGGCATAGAGTGTCATTAAAGAAAAAAAAAACTGATTCAAAGGGCATTATAAAATGAGAGCATTTGAAAATATTTGATCAAGTTTATGGGGTATCAAACAGAAGACAAAGGCAAAGTGAATCTTCAGGGGGATGATGAAAGGATGTTCTTCAAGACTAATGTTCAGCAGGCCTAGAGTTGTACCAGGCAACACTGAAGCAGGTCAGGTGACTCTGGGAGAGCCTTCTTCAAAAGGGGGGTGGGGAAAAGCGATAGAATGCCTGATGGATTTAAATGCTTTAAGAGAGAGGATCTGCACTGCTGAGAAGGTTGTGGCATGATTTATGACAAATACATTTTAAAAAGAAGTAAACTAACACGAGACAACTGCTAACACACAGAAAAGAAAAATATTAAAAAGGAAAAAATAGCCATAGCAATATACATGGCTCATTTGATAATAGTTTTTTATCATGTAAAAATAATGCAAACACTGAATATCTTTAAAAATTTGGCTATTCAATGTGGCAATTCCTCAAGGATCTAGAACTAGAAATACCATTTGACCCAGTAATCCCATTACTGGGCATATATACCCAAAGTATTATAAATCATTCTACTATAAAGACACATGCACACCTATGTTTACTGGAGCATTATTCACAATAGAAAAGACTTGGAACTAACCCAAATGTCCATCAATGATAGACTGGATATCCATCACCTCCAAATATTTATCATTTGTATATGTTGGGAACATTTCAAGTCTTACCTTCTAGCTGTTCTGAAATATACAACACATTATTGTTAATTATAGTCACCCTCCCCTGCTATTAAATATTAGAACTTATTCTCTCTGTCTACCCATATGTTTGTATCTATTAACCATCTTTTCTTCATCCCTCCCCATAACCCTTCCCAGCCTCTGATAATTATCATTCTGTTACCGAAACACCAGGAGTTTGGTCTAGATCCTGCTGCTCGGCACACTGAAAGCCAATAATTGAGATGACAAGTATTGTGAAGGAAGAAGGCTTTAATTGGGTGCTGCAGCCAAGAGATGGGAGCTCAGTCTCAAATCCATCTCCCTGACTGACTAAAACTAGAGGTTTATATAGCGTGGAGGAATTGTAACAGCGTGTAAGAAAGCAGGACCTAGGCAGGGGAAAGGAGGCATTTGGAGCAGTGACCTGGTGAGTTTTAGTTCTTTGATACTTTTTTTGAGAGGCTTGAAGGTCCTTTCCTGAGGAAGAAGCTCAGATAAAACAAATGTAAGTTTCAGGTTTTTACAGCAGAAGGGCCAATTTCTATGTTTATCCAAAAATAACTATCTATGGGTCTATTTCAATTCTACTCTTTACCTCCATAAAATTAACTTTTTAGTGGTCACATATGAGTGAGAACATAATGATATTTGTCTTTCTGTGCCTGACTCATTTCACTTAACATAATAATCTACAATCCCATCCATATTGCTGCAAATGACATTCTTTAATATGGCTGAATGTTATTCCATTATACATATGTAATATATGTGTATAAAATGGAATATATATGTATATATAATGGAATATGAATACACACACATTTTCTATACCCTTACATCTATTACTGGACACATGTACACATGTTGATCCATATATTGGCTATTACAAATAGTAACAACCATGGCACGTGTATACCTAACAAACCTGCACGTTCTGCACATGTACCCCAGAACTTAAAGTACAATAATAAAGAAAATTGGGTCTATTTTGAGAGAATATGAGAAATGTACAAATTTTTTAGCACACGTGTGTGTGTGTGTGCGTGTGTGTACAAGGAAGACCCTAAATCATGTTTCAGTTGGAAAATCCGAAAGATAACTTTTACAACTAAACACTTTTTAAGTAGCAATAAAATCATATTATAAAGTACCAAAATAATCAGCTAAAAGTGTTGAAGATGTCTACCTTTGGGGAAATAGTAACTGGGAGTAGGCAGTATGCATATTTTTAATCTATGTATCTATCTATATCTATCTAGAAATGTCATAGAATATTTGTTTCTTAAAAATATGACTATAATTATTTAATTAATATTTTTAAACTAAATAACTTTTAAAAACACATTTTAAGGTGTTGAAGCCTCATCTATTGTTGTATTGTAGCGCCAGCCTAGTTGTGATGAAATTCCCTCAGTTTTTGCTCATATGGGAAAGACATTTTCCCCCTCATTTATGAAGGATAAGTTTGCTGAGTGTAGTATTCTTTGCTCATACTTGTTTGTTTGTTATTCCTTTCAGCATTTTAAATATATCATCTCATTCTCTCCTAGCCTATAAGGTTTCTGCTACAAGATAAATTGTTAGTCTGATGTGGGTTCCCTCATATGTGGCTAGATACTTTTCCTGCTGTTTTTAAAAATATCTCTTGGTCTTTGACTTTTGAATGTTTGACTATATCATGTCTTGTAGAAGACCTTTTTGAGATATATCTAGTTAGGTACTACTGAGATTCCTATACCTGGATGTCTAAATCTCTTGCTACCCCTGGAAAGTTTTCAGTTATTATTTCGTTAAATAGGTTTCCTATGCCTTTGGCCTTCTCATCATCTTCTGGAACATGCAAAACTTGTATATTTGGTCACTTTATGGTGTCCCAAATGACATGTAGGCTTTCTTCATTCATTTTTATTCTTTTTTTTCTATTTTTTTAAATTTTTTTCTGACTGGGCTATTTCAAATATCAAAAGACCTGTCTTCAATTCTTTTTTCTGCTTGATCTAGTCTATTGTCGAAGCTCTCAATTCTTTATGCGTATTTGTTTCATTTGCTTGATTCCTGTTTGATTCCTTTTCATGATATCTACCTCTTTAAGTTCTCACTTATATCTTGAATTGTTTTCCTAAATTCTTTGAATTGCTTATCTGAGTTCTCTTATATTCACTTGAGCTTTTAAAATATCATGATTTTGTATTCTTTTTTAAGGCATTTCATAAATTTTTCATTTTCAATTTTTGTTGTTGGATAATTATTGTGTTCTATTGGAGGTGTCACATTTTCTTACTTTTCCATGTTTCTTATGTCCTCACATTGATATCTGTGCATCTGGTATAATAGTCACTTCTTCCAACTTTTGGATTGGCTTTCATAGGGGAAGACTTATCCTTGAAAATAGCTATGGAGTTGATTGGATAGGGCACTTTACCTTTAATCTACATGCGTGCAGTAGCATATTCTCTGTATGATTTATTCAACTTTAAAGAGCATCACTGTTGTCTGAAATTTCTTCATTGGCTTACACTATGGTTGTCATCTGGGGCTTTGGTCAGGCTTCCTGAGGACAGAGATGCCAGGGGTACCAGTCCTCAGGCCCTTGTGGTGGCAGTGGTGGATCAATCATTCCTGTTCTTTTCCCCTAGGCGGCATACATGGGCGTTGGTCTTAGCAGATTCAGGTGAGCCAATTCTTGGGCTTCCAAGAGGCTTGATGCTGTGCCAGCAGTGACAGTGGTGGGCTGGGAAGGCAGGTAGGTCCTTGGGTCCCTGGGCAGCATGTGTGACACAGGTGATGGCAATATCAGTGGTGAGACAACACTTGAGCTCCCAGGTAGCACACGTTGGTGTTAGCAGTGGCTGTGATGGGCTGGGCAGGCCAGTCCCCTGGCTCCCAGATGGTGCATGTGGTGCTGGTGGTTGTGCCAGGCTGGGTAGATCCATCCTGAGGCCCCAGGAGGAGTGTACAGATGCCAACAGTGGTGGACAGGACAAGGAAGTCCTCAGGCTGCAGGTGTCATGCTCAGACATGACACTGACAAGGGGATCAGTATGGAGCTGGGCAGACCTATCCTAAGGTCCTCAAGGGTTGTGTGCAGTTTTTATCAGTTGTAGGCAGGATGGGGTGATCCCCAAGTCCCTAGGAAGAGTGCTAGGTTGCAACAGCAGTGGTGGTAAAGTAGGGGGGGATATCTTCAGGCACAAGCAAATGTGTGGTGGTCCTACTGCTGGGGGGAGGTGGCAGGGTTGCTCTCAGTTCAGTTATCCCAAGCAAGTGGCTCTGGAGGTGGGTTGTTGCTATCAATAGCAGTGGAACCAAACAGGTGGCTTTCAGGCTCTTGGGGCACAAACTTCAGCTCCCTTTGTCCCAGGGTAACTTCCCTAGTGCACTGTACTCCTCATTCCACAGAATATAGAACACTGTAGGAGCTAGACTGCTGGGGACCCTGTCACATTGCTAGGTCAAAAACAATGTTGCACCACTGGAACCCTCTTAGTAGATGCGAGGAGATGTCAGTTGGGCCCCAGGACAGGATGTAGCCTGGTGGGGCCTGGGGTCTCAAAATGGTGCTGTGCTGCTCCTGCGTAGTTCTTGAGGGGTGTGTGGGACCTCGCGTGAACTTCTTCTCTCCAGGATCCTAGGAAATCCCGGCCAGGCTGGCTGCCTCACTTGCCTCTTCTTTCATGCCTCAGGTGTTCCCTGTCATATCTCTGCTGAATTCCAGGGTTCTTAGATTCTCTATTCAAATTATGATTATCCACTTGCTGTTTTGGTCCTTCTGGGTGGAGAAGGGGAGTCCTGGATGTGGCTAGTCAGCTCTCTCGAACACTCCCTCAACCATAACTTTTTATTTAAAATCCATAGTGATTTGAATTGTTATTGCCTTAGGAGTAGTGTTTCAGTTTCTGTCTTGGTCTATGTTGTGTTGCTATAAAGGAATACCTGAGGCTGGTTAATTTAAAAAGAAAAGGTTTATTTGGCTCATGGTTCTGTAGGCTCTATGGGAAGCATGGCGCCAGCATCTGTTTCTGGTAAAGACCTCAGAAGATTTCATTAGTGGTGGAAGAAGAAGGAAGAACGGGCATGTCACATGGCGAGAGAGAAAGAACAAGAGGGAAGGAGGTGCTTGGCTCTTTGTAACAATCAGATGTCATGGGAACTAAGAGAGCAGGAAGTCCTCATTACCAGGGAAATAGCACCAAGCCATTCATGAGGGATCTGCCCCCATGACCCAAATACCTCTCACTAGGCCCCGCCTCTAACACTGGGGATAAAATTTCAACAGGGGATTTAGAGGGTCAAATATTCAGGCTACATCAATTTTCCTCTGGCTATTTTTCAGATTTTTTTTTTCTGAATCTTAATTTTCAACAGTTAGATTATGATGTGGCTGGGCATGAGTCTATTTGGATTTATAGTTTTGAAGTTTTACTGAGCTTCTTAAATCTGTAAGTTCTTCTGTGAAACTTGGGAAATTTTAGCCATTATTTAAAAATATTTATTTTAGTAGTCTGATTATACCAATGTTAGATATTTGGTTTTGTCTCACAGATTCCTGTATTTTCTTTTTTGTTTCAGTCTATTTTTTCTGTTTTTAGATTAGGTATTTTAATTTATATATCTTCAAGTTCAATAACTATCTTTTTTGTCATTTCCATTCTGCTATTAAACTTATTTTATAATTGCCTTTTTAATGTTTTGTTTGCTTTTGTATGTCTTCCATTTTATTGTTTAAATTTTCTCTCTATTTAAGAGTATTTGCCCTTATTTCTTAGAGTATTTGTATGAAAGCTACTTTAAAAAGATTTAATAGATAAATCTAAATTATGGCTGATCTCTATGTGGATGTCCTTTTTTTCTCCCAGGCAAAGTGAGACTTTCCTGGTTCTTCATATGTTAATAAACTTTGTATTACTTTCTGATATTAGAATATTATGTTATGAGACTTTGGGTCTTGTTCAACTTTTGTGAAGAATGTTTCTGTTTTTCTTTTATCAGGCAGTAGATATGGTTAGGCTCAGATCACAACTTTCGAACAGCTGCTTCTGAGGGATACGTTTTCAATGACCTTTTTCATTTTCAAAGCCTTCGCAATGTTATTTGGATCTTTTCTGGGCATATATCACCCAATGTCCCATCTGGGACCTAGGTGGAGGTCTATCATGGGATTCAGTCCTCAAAGTCTTTGTTATGTTGTGTTGGAGCACTATATGCATATTTGAGGGTCAATCTAGGAGTTCATAAACAACTGTGTATATATGGTAAGTTTCTCTACCAACTCCTATGCACTATCTAATTTCTGAGACTTTCTTTTGGTTCTGTGATTACAAAGCTGTGGAATTATTTATTTTACTCTATAATGACTTCCCACCAGTATGTTTTAGCTTGAGGTCAAGCAGCAGGAGAAAAGAGAGAGAGAGAGAGACAGACAGACACACACACACACACACACACACACACACACAAAGAGACATATTTTCCACACCTATTTGTGACCATAGCTTCTGATGAGAAATTGAAGTTCATCTCCCTCAGAGTTTTAGGTAACTGTGGATTCCAGATGCTACCAGTTTTGCTTATAGGACCCCCATTTCTCAGTCTTTGAGCCTGAGCTATGTATTACCCAGTGTCCAGTCTCACTCTCTGAGCCTGAGCTATAATGCCTTTCTGAAGCTCTCTCTGTTCATGCCCATGACCACTTGTCAGTTTTTGGCAGCCTTGAGAGAAGGCCAGGGGATACTAGAGGATGAAAAAACAATTATCTCTGACTCAGTGGAATTTCAAATTCTACTCTTCTCTAATATGCCTACTACTATTGACTTTTCTGAGTCCTCAAATAGTTCCTTCATGCATCTGCCCAAGGTTTATAAGCACATTTCATGAGATAGACAAGCTAGAGTGTTCTGATTCCATCTTATTTAGAACTGGAACTACTGGTCGTTTCTTATTTATGTATTCATGCATTTAGGTTTGTACTTCCACAGTTAAAACTGTCTATATTTCCACATTGCTGGCTTCTTTCTTTTGATAAGTTTTCTGGGGCAGGCAAAATTTGTTTCTTACAACTCATCACACAATCCATAAACAATATATTTTCAGAAATGGTAATTTCAAAAGAAGTTAAAATTATTACACATTCACCACATCCCCTTCTCTTGTCCTGCTAATTGAATAGTATATATTCTAACACTGGGCTTCCATTGAAGTGCAGCTGTCATTAAGACAAAGTGGCTTTTTATATACAGAACATAAATTATTGCAATAGATTAGTAGGCATTTCAAATTATGGGAAACCCAACTGAGGGGCTAAGATTGCCAGAGTGAACAAAAATGAAAAAAAGTATGAAATACATGGTGAATATACACACATCATTCAATCACTGCAGTCAGATTTCTAAGTAGATATAATCGACTTTATTTTGTGGATGAGAAAAAATAGTGAAGATTTTGTCACCTACTCACACACTTACTCTGAATCAGGGAAGGAGAAAGGTACCACTAATGAGTCCCTTCACAGAGCACAGTCACTTCCCTGAACTTATATAAATGATGTGGTGACAGCACACTTCAGAAAACCATTTTCAGAGCCAACGTTTTTTATTGTTTTATTCTGTCATCTTTGCAACGGACCTTTCAGAGCTGAAGCTGACCGTGATGAAACTGTCACTCTTGCTTTATTGATAGTGTTTTTGTGGATCCTACAAGTGTCCTAAGGAACACTTGGACTTTTTATGCACATTCATATGCTTAATAAAAAGTGCTGAAGATTGTGGGCCTGAGGTCTAGCTTGGAGAGCAATAAGCATTGGCCATAGGTTTCAGAATGAGAAGATTTGGTGTTGCTGAAAGGGCTGAGCAAGCTGAACCAAACACTTTCACTGGATAATTAATTATTTTAAAGGCTAAGTTTCAAGGATTGTGTAGCCTTTGTTCAACGCATGCAGTACATGTATCTCCCAGTTTACCAATGACTAATAGTGTAAAATAAGACAAGGAGAAAATGGATAATAGCCTTTTGACAGACTTAGCCTAGATTACAGGTAAGCCTGGATTACTGGGAAACAGAACTCACAAATTAACATCCATATAATGTTTTCTTTTTTAACTTTTAAGACTCAGTTGAAAAATTATTGCCAAAAATAATACTCTCTGTAGTTGTATTTCACATTATAGGAAGGTCTGCCTGTTGGCACTCGATTCTTCTAGTTATCCTGTGAGACAGATGAGGCATGTTTTATTATCTTCATTTTATATATGAAGAAATGAGGCCACAGATAATATGGTCCAATGTCACATAGTAGTTGTGTAGCAGAAAAGGTTTCCAACAGGTAAATGGTGTTTCCATTTATGCACCTCCCACTTACTCTTCACGTCACTGTAATCAGGCTTTCACTCCTACCACTTCAGAGCAAAACTACACTTCCAGAGGTCATTGATCACCTCCATGTCTTTATAATACATGCCCTCCCAGCAGCACTGACACTGTTGCCCAGTGACTCCACACTGAAATCCTCTCCTGCCTTTTCTCCTATTTTAGTGGCCTCTGCTTCTCTCCACTCTCCTTTGCTGGAGAAGCCGTCTACTCCAAATTTTAAATCACAAAGTTTCTCAAGGATTGAAATTCCAAGGTCTCTTCTCTCTAACCATATATTTCTATGCATGCCTAGCAACTCCCATAGTGTAACCTTAAAATAAAGACATACTGACTTTTATTATAAAAGACAGTTTTCACCTTTCAATGCTTCTGAGAATTTATATCATTCATGCCTGAATATTCTCTTTTTAATGCATTTATTAATTTACTCAACAATATTTATTGATGGTCTATAATTTTTTGAAAATTCAGAATGCAACATTGCAAAGATTAAAAGAAACCCTGCCCTCATGGAATTTACATTTCAATGGCCAACACAAGTAATAAACCAACAAAACTTGATGTGTAATACATGTTGAGTGTAATAAGCCCCATGGAGAAAAAGCATTTGAGAGTGGTGGTGGTTGCAACATGGAAAAGACAGGAAAGTTCATTACGAATGAAAGCACTGGGTGACCCTGTAGAAAAAACTGTTACACCAGAAAGAAATGGAATTAGATAAAATAAAGCCTGTGTTGTTTTTATTTTTTTACCTTTATGTATTATCAAAATTTATTCTAAGATATTAAAGAGTATGTGCTTAGAGCAGTGGCTGTTTACCAACGAATCCTGTGTTTTATCATGCCTCTCTTTTCCGCTACATTTATTCATTTGTTTTTAAACTTTCATTTTAGGTTTGGGGGTACACATGAAGGTTATATAGGTGAACTCATGTTATGGGGGTTTGTTGTACAGATTAGTTCATTACCCAGGTATTAATCCCAGTACCTAATAGTTATCTTTTCTGCCCCCTCCCTCCTTCCATTCTCCAATCTCAAGTAGGCCCCAGTGCTTGTTGTTCCCTTCTTTGCGGTTCATGACTTCTCATCATTTGGCTCCCACTTAACGTGAGAACATGCATTATTTGGCTTTCTGTTCCTGTGTAAATTTGCTAAGGATAATAGCCTCCAGCTCCATCCATGTTCCCACAAAAGACATGATCTCATTCTTTATTATGGCTGCATAGTATTCCATGGTATATATGAAACATGGAATTGCCTTTATACAATCTGTTGGACATTTAGGTTGATTTCCTGTCTTTGCTATTGTGACTAGTGATGCAAAGAACATTCGTGTGCAGGGATCTCCATGGTAGAACGATTTATATTTCTCTGGGCATATACCCACTAACAACATTGCTGATTCTCCTTTTAGCTCTTTGAGGAATCATCATACCGCTTCCCACAACTAATATGGCTGAACTAACTTAGACTCCCACCAACAGTGTGTAAGTGTTCCCTTCTCTACGTAACCTCACCAGCATCTGTTATTTTTTTTGACTTTTTAATAATAGCCATTCTGATTGATGTGAGATGGTATCTTATTGTGGTTTTGATTTGCATTTCTCTAATGATCAGTGATAATTAGCTTTTATTATATGCTTGTTGGATGCATCTGTGTCTTCTTTTGAAAAGCATCTGTTCTTGTCCTTTGCCCACTTTTTAATGGGTTGTTTTTCTCCTGTACGTTTGTCTAAATTCCTTATAGATGCTGGATATTAGATCTTTGTCAGATGAATAGTTTGTAAAAATTTTCTCCTATTCTGTAGGTTGCCTATTTACTCTGTTGATAGTTTCTTTTGCTGTGCAGAAGCTCTTAAATGTAATTAGATCCCATTTGTCAATTTTTGCTTTTGTTGCAATTGCTTTTGGCATCTTTGTCATGAAATTTTTGCCCACTCCTATGTCCAGAATGGTATAGCCTAGGTTGTCTTCTATGGATTTTATAGTTTTGGGTTTTACATTTAAGTATTTAATCCATTTTGATTTTGTATATGGAGTAAGGAAAGGGTTCAGCTTCGATCTTCTGCATATGGCTAGCCAGTTAACCGAGCACCATTTATTGCATAGGGTCTTCCCTATTGCTTGTTTTTGTTAGCTTCATCGAAGATCAGATTATTGTAGGTGTGCAGCCTTATTTCTGGGCTCTGTATTCTGTTCCATTGGTCTATGTGCCTGTTTTTCTACCAGTACCATGCTGTTTTAGTTACTGAAGTTGGGTAAAGTGATGCCTCCAGCTTTGTTCTTTTTGGGTTGCCTTAGCTATTTGAGCCCTTTTTTTGGTTTTGTGTGAATTTTAGAATACTATTTCCTAGTTCTGTGAAGAATGTCCTTGGTAGTTTGATAGGAATAGCATAGACTCTATAGATTGCTTTGGGCAGTATGGCCATTTTTATGATGTTGATTCTTCCTATCCTTGTGCATAGAATGTTTTTCCATTTGTGTCTTCTCTGATTTCTTTGAGGAGTGTTTTGTAATTCTCATTGTACAGATCTTTCACCTCCCTGGTTAGCCATTATTCCTAGGTATTTTATTCTTTTTGTCTCACTAAATTTATATTGTGGGAAAAACCTTTAGCCTCTCTGTGACAAATTCTTAGATAATTTCTGAGAACATTTTTAGGTCTACAGTTTTATCAATTATCTTGAAAAAGATGAGTCAGAGACGGAGGAATAGATAAGAAATAGAGATATTGAGGATTATAGGCCATGTGTGGTGGTTCATGCCTGTAATCTTAGCACTTTAGGAGGCTAAAGCTGGTAGACTGCTTGAGTACAGGAATTTAAGATCAGCCTTGGCAATGTGGTGAAATCCTGTCTGTATAAAAAATACAAAAATTAGCTAGGTGTGGTGGCATGCGCCAATGGTCCCAGCTACTCGGGAGGCTGAGGTAGGAGAATTGCTTGAGCCTGGGAGGTGGAGGCTGCGGTAAGCATGTTAATAAGGGTCTGGGACCTTTGAGAACTATGAGGACATACCCAGTTATTTATTCTCATGACTTCTACCAACTCGCAAGAAAACAATAGGCATTCCTATCTTTGTTCATTCTTTTTATGTGAAGCATATGTTATTTCTCAATAATCTACAAATATGGAAATATAGAGAGACTCTTATTTGGTTGCTTTGTTTTCTCCTGCTTTTCTTCTTTCTAGTAACATAACAACCAACATATATATGGCAAAATTCAAGTTGCTGCAGTTTGAGGTTCAGTATTGTTTCTAGCCTCACATAGAGAGGCTTCTTCCATTAACTTCAGCTGATCTCATTTTCCAGCCTTCTAAGTTTAATCAAGTTAATTGTTAGTCTCAGGGAAACCAAGGTCCTCTCTAGCTGGTTTTGTTAGAATTCTGATCTATCCTATGTCCTCTGCATTCATATGATACCCCAGAGGTTTGTCCTCTTATCTCCCTAACCCTTTATATAAAAGCCCTTAAATCTTTCCAAGGCATTAAGTATGCTTTAAGCCCTCACATACTGCAGTCATGTAAGCACTTGCTTTTAACTGGTCAATAGAATGGTATTATCAGTTCCTTTTAACACTACTTTCTTATTTTATCAGAGTTCCCAACATTGGGCTATATTTCTGCTTCATCCCTGAAAGACTCTATGTTTTCTATTCTATGGTAATGTAATTTTCTTCTTGTCAATGTCTATCACATACAGATCTATATCACAATAACCATATTTGCTTGAGATAATTGTTTTAGCTAGAGGAATGAACTAGATATATGCACAACTGGGAATGCAGTTATCCACACTGGGCTCAAGTGACACAAAATAACATGATTTTTGTCTTTGGGAACCCAGGTTTACTCTGAGTCATTAAATAAATTCCAGAATCTTTCTGAAAGTGTTTACTGCATTGTTAGAGCCGTCTTAAGAATTCTGATAAAGACAATTTAAAACATTTAATATTCTGAGCTTACTGATTGAGAAGTCTTATTTTAAATATATTAATGCACCCATAAATAAGGAACTCAAATATAGCTACTGTAATTCCCTGAGTGCAGACTTTTAATGAACTAACAATTAATGTAAGGACAAATTCTCATCACAAAGCTCCCTCTGTTCATAACTGCTAAGGCTTAGTTTATGGTCTGTTGATTGGCTGAGGGAAGTTAATTGAAAGTAATTATGTACAGACAATTCACAAACTATGAAAAATAAAATAAATGTTAAAAAGTAAGCCTCTGTGGCACAATTCAGTGGGTCTTATGGCAAGAGCAATAAACTAAAACTTCTATATTATATCCATATAACAACTTTCCATGGTGTTGTTTGGAAAATAATGTAAACCAATGTCAGTATCCTTCTAAGTGGAGGAACCACTATCTAGGTTTCATCTCAAAAATCATAAATTAAATGCAAAGAATATTAATTATTCAAACAACATCTATTTATTTGCTATATGCCAGGCGATGTACTCAGTATAAGGAACTAAGAGAAAATCAAAGAATTTAGGCTGCTCAAAGTCCAGTAGGAAGACCAATATACAAAAAAAGTATAATGCTGTGTAAAAACAAATAATGCTAACAAAATGTTACAAAAAAGCATAAAGGGGCAAATAATTCTGGGAAAGCTAGGAAGACTTCCCAGAGGAGATTGCATTTTAGTTAGGCATTCAAGGTGTTGTTCCATCAGACCAAGAAGAAGAAAGGAGAAACAGATTCCTGTGTATCACACTTTATTCTCTCTCTCTCTCTCTCGCACGCACACAGACACACACAATGTGTATTGACACAGTTTGTTGAACGTGTTAGTAAACAAAAGATTTTGCAAGGTGCACAAATGGGTTTATCTGTCTCACATTAGACTGTGAAAATGTGTTCTGTCTGCTGGCTGTTCAGTTTGCAAAGCTTGCACGACTGGGCTGTTGGCAAGGGTTTCCAGACCATGATGAGTAGCTAGGAGACAAATCATAAAAGGTCAGAATTGGCAGGGGCCTTAGAAGGTCTTCATGCTTGAAGCCCCTGTTTTGCAATATGGCAATTGAGCCCCAGAGAGGGAGGTTGCTTGCCCAGTGACACTTATTAATAGAATCAATCAGCATACAAATTCTATAAATAGTAACTGATAACAGTGTTTGCTGTAATAAGTTGACAATATGGGGGAATCAGCAAAAACATAATTTTAAGTGCTAATTCTCAGATACCACAAAATATGTTTTGGTTGGTTTTTCAATCTATTTTGTTCTTTTACCAGTACTTCTCAACTCGAAATCTTCTGAATTATCGATCTAACTTGGAATATCTTTTCAGGTTCTTTGTGGAAAAAACAGCATTTATATAACAATTACTTCTATTCTCACCAGTAGGAAATTTATTAGAAGGTTTTTTTTTTCTTTTTGCCTTAAATATGGATGTAAATCAGGAAATGAAATACTAGAAGCCCTAAGCTGGTTCCCTCTGAAATGTTACTACTTCCCAGAACAGCCTTTAAGTATTTTGTTTCTTAGTGCCAAGAATAGGACTTTTACCTCGTATTCTTTCTTAGTAGATGATAGACTAAAATATAGAAGCTGGATAGACATAATCCTATATGCATAAGAGACATATATATCTGCATGTGTACATCTATGTACGTACACATATCTAACGTACATATCAGGTCCTCAAAAAAGGTTGTTTCATCTAGCATTGTTTCATTGTAAGGATCATTGATGAGAAACAAAATAATCAATTCCTGGCTGAGGCCACTGTGTTTGGGGAGTTTGCACATTCTGCCCATGCCTTTGTGGGTTTCCTCCAGGTACTCTGGCTTCCTCCCACATCCCAAAGATGTGCCTGTTAGGTGAACTGGTGCATGTAAATGGTCTTGGCCTGAGGGAGTGTGGGTATTTGTGTGAGTGCACCCTGTGATGGAATGGCGTCCTGTCCAGGGTTGGTTTCTGCTTTGCCCCATAAACTGCTAGGAGAGGCTCCAGCCACCCATCACCTTGAACTGGAATAATTGGATTAGAAAAATAAATGAATGAATGAATACAAATTATTGTAAAATAAAAATTTTTTAAGTATACAATCATACAAATGCATGATAATAAACAATGCAGTACAGAAGAGCTTAGTAAGCCCGCCATATTTGTTAATGTTGTTCTTGAACTGTTTGGTGGTAGTGTGTGCTGTTTACAATTTTCACTTCACAAACATTTGTTCCTCAATCTAAGCCACAACCACTATGACCACTGTCACTCACTGATTCACCAAAAGTTAGGTATATAATCTTACTTGTTTTTATTAAACTTTAAAAACTTTATGTATAGTTCATATTTATTTCAATGTTTAATATTAGAAGCATTTTGGATCTTTATTTAAAATTTGGTGATTTTTTTGTGACCAGAAATATGCCATAGGAACTTTACTCCTGCTTCTATTAACCTATGGGAAAATCAGTTTTATTATTATAACCATTTTGCTTACAGTCACAGTTTCCAAGAACCTATCCATAACATTAAGTGAGAACTTAACTGTGTGTGTGTGTGTGTGTGTGTGTGTGTGTGTGTGTGATTTTTCTCGATAAGTGACGGTATCTGACATATCATATCCAGATTTAGAGAGGTAGATCACAGAAATCTGAGCTGGGTATAAAAGTTACAGGTTTTCTAGTCTGTCTCATGAAAATTGAAAGCAATGTTCAGGGCTGAATCCTGATTCTGGGGAAGCAAAAAGAAAGCCAAATAGACAATCAAAGTGAAGCAGAGTAGGGGCAGAACAGATAGGTAGAACCATTATTGTGTGGAAAAGGCCAGAAACAGCAACCAAGAATCTGCAATTTCCACCTGCCAAAAAGTTGGGGTAAGAAGTCAATGAGCTAAATCTTATTCATGGTGGTTCCCCAAAATGAATTTTAACCTTGTATATGGATAGAGAGAAAGATGTTAAGGACTGAGAAGATTATGTCAAAATATGCTTAATGTGGACAATGTAAATGAGCGAGAGCTTTTAACCCTTCTAGCCCAGAGGAGATTTCTCCAGGAAGGAAGGTTTCAGAAGCATAAGAATTTGAGGTATTTTACTTAATTTTTTTCATTTTTTTCTGTATTTCTTCAGTTTAAAAGTACTAAAATTTGCATTTTAATATCTAATTTTTTAATGCAAAGAAAGATTTACTATAATACATAATTTATGAAATTCCAGGAGATCATGCTAAAACAGTGCTTTATGATTCAGGAAATGTTGAGTGAATTGGCACCCCAAGTACCATAGCCAGAATAGATAGAACTCAATATTCAAAAAGACCAGATCCTGAAATAAAATGCTTCTTTGGCTAAATATTAATAAAAAATAAAACAGAGTACTTTAAATAGGAAAAGATTACTAAAGTTTTGAAGAAAGCAAAGTTCTCTGGTGTATTAACATAAAGAAATCAGAATTTTCTTAGAGTGAAATAGTAATTTACTAAGAATTTTTTTTTTTTTTTTGAGACAGAGTCTCGCTCTGTTGCCCAGGCTGGAGTGCAGTGGCACGATCTTGGCTCACTGCAAGCTCCGTCTCCCAGGTTCACACCATTCTCCTGCCTCAGCCTCCTGAGTAGCGGGACTACAGGCGCTCACCACCAGGCCTGGCTTTTTTTTTTTTTTTTTTTTGTATTTTTAGTAGAGACAGGGTTTCACCGTGTTAGCCAGGGTGGTCTCAATCTCCTGACCTCAAAAGAAATTCTAAGCCAATTATATAGTTTAGATATTTGTCTACTTCAAATCTTATGTTGAAATTTGATCCCCAAATATTGAAGGTGGAACTTGGTGGGAGGTGTTTGGATCACGGAGGTGAATCCCTCATAAATGGCTTGCTGTAGTCCTCGAGGTAATGAGTCCCAGAGATAACTGACTGTTAAAAAGAGCCAGGAAATTCCCTCCACTCTCTGGTGCTTCCTTCCTCTTTGCCTTCTGCCATGATAGAAGCTCACTGAAGCCCTCACCAGAAGCAGATGCTGGCCCCTTGCTTCTTCTACAGCCTGCAGAACCATGAGCCAAATAAACCTCATTTATTAAATAAATTACCCAGTCTCTATTTCTTTGCACCAACACAAATGAACTAAGACAGCCAGTAATCAAATCTATTTAAGATATATGAAGGGGAGATGATAATTCTAATGTAGAAGGTGCTTTAGGGATGGAGAGAAGATTTTCAGGAAAATTCAGCGGTTTCATTATTACCAACTTCCCTGAAGTTGTTAGATGCCTACATCTAGTTTATTCTTTTAAGTAAATAGGTCAGAGGATTAAGGATACTATCTGTTTTCTCACAGGGCTTTTCCAGATCTCCTGACATTCTACACATGAAAAAAGATCCAAAAATAAATAAATCTATATACATAAATAGCCATATTACTCAGGTGCATCCCCTGGAGTCAGTAAAGTGATGTTACTGAAATGATGGATAAAATGTGTAACTTATGAATTCAGATGCCACCATCCCCAATATCACTAGTGCTATCTACATAATGAAAGTAATGTAAATCTAAATCTAAATCATTCTAAATCTTAAGATTGACTTAAGAATAACCTATAGATATAAAACACACCCAGGAAATTATTATATGCTTATGAGTGAAACAGGGATGTAAACTCAGGACCTAGTGATTTGTCTGTTGGAGGTTTTAAGAATTCTGTTCTTCACCAGAAATTCTTACTATGTAGTGACGTCAATGGATTCAGGAGGCAATGAACACAAAGCACAACTACTTTGTGGTTGTTTTCAGAATCTCTCTCAGTAACTGTTTTTGTTGCCTTAATGAAGGCATTTGATCTTGGCACCCCTTTTTCAAGAGTTCAGTGATATGATGAATGGATGATTTTTTCCACAGCTGGCTGATTAGGCTTAAAGCCCTAATATTGGGGAAAAAAGTCTATTGAGAGTCCGTGTGTGTGTGTGTGTGTGTGTGTGTGTGTGTGTGTATACACACACACTTTTTTTCTTAGAATTATCCAAGACATACTACACTATACTATACTACACTACACTACACTATACTACACTACCCTATAGCCTGAAGTGTGTTGCTTTGTGCAATTTGACCTATGATTACATTATGATGTAACTTGTTTGCAAGAATTTATAGAAAAACTTGTACAGTAGTCCTCCCTCATCTGTAGAGGATATGTTCTAAGACCTCCAGTGGATGCATGAAACCACCAATAGCACCAGATCCTATATATACTGTTTTCCTATACATACATGTCTATGATAAAGCTTAATTTATAAATTAGGCATAAGAGATTAACAATAAATAAAAATAAAATATAAAAATTATAACAATATGCCAGCATCACTACTCTTGCTCTTTGAGACCATTACTAAGTAAAAAAAGGGTTACTTGAACACAAGTACTGTGATATCACAACAGTCAATCTAATAACTGAGATGACTGCTAAGTGACTAAAGGGCAGGTATCATATAGAGTGTAGATATACTGGACAAAGGAATGATGCATGTCACAGCATATAACTCAACACTTATGAATTGCTTATTTCTGGAATTCCCCATTTTAATATTTTCAGACTTCAGTTGACCACAGGCAACTGAAACCTCAGAAGGTGAAACTGTGGATAAGGAGGAGCACTTTATTTGGATGCCTCCTAATTTTTTATGTTTGTCTGTTTTGAGATTGGACAAAATGAAGTAAGTTGAGTTGTCAACTTAACTCAGGACCATGTTCTTTCCTACAAAAAGCCAGTCAACTAGATTTTGAAAAGATGTTCTCTGCTGTTCATAGTGGGGAGAGTGGTGGCTGTAGGGTATGGAACCTCTATGATATATTTTATATTATGATATCAAAGTGTTTGGGATGGTTTATCATCATCTTAACTTTGACTTTGTCAGATCGAACCACAACTTTAACATTATTAACATGTGGCTTTTGTATTTCATTAAGAGCTAAACAATTAAGTTTGCATTTTTGATGCACCATAATTGTAATAGTGTGACATTGTTCTGATGATAATGTTCATTGATCATTCATAATGCAGCTACTCACACCATGAATCAAATATAAATCAACACCTTTTTAAAATTTTACATACAGAAACACACTTTATTTTCAGATTGATAACTTGCATTCACGTTTAATTTTCAACTGTCAGAATTTTTGGTGTAATTTTCATCTATTTTCTTATCATAGATCTTTAAACTCTTATTAAAAATGTTTTAGAAATAAACCAAATACTAAGGCAAAGATTGAATAGGGAAAGCTTTTAGCATTACTAATTTGAAGTTTATTTAATGGCTGAGTTAAACAATTGACATTCAGATATAGGACAGACTGCAGATCAGTGTACTCCTTAATTTTATGCAGGAAATGGGGGTGCATGGCTAACTCTCCCAGCAACATTAGAGTAAATAAATACTTGGTTATTTGATCTCAATATCTGTGAGGTTCTTTCTGCTCCAACCCACTTTGAATCAATGGAGACACTGTCCTAAGGATCTATTCCAATGCCTTTCCAAGTTTTTTACATTGCTAAAAGTATCACAACTGCAGTGATTTTATATGGTGTCAACTTATCTCAATTAGAATTATGATTTTATATGGTGTAAACTTACCCAGAATTGCTTTCCTTATATGGTTCTGGGACAAACTGGGCAATGGATAAGTTTGTGCAAGATTTGGAAGGGAGAAGATAAGTAGTAGTCATTAAAGGCTGAAGCATGACACATGCCACTGAAACTTGCACACAATATCACTGATCTGCTACATCACCTGACTGGGGAGGAAGAGCAGTCTGGCTTGGAGTTCTTCCGGGTTCTTCTTGCACTCCTTCATCTTCTCTGAGCCCTAAGCCAGGCATGTGTGCAGCTTAGGGATGAAGGACACCAGCTTCTTCTCCAAAATATTACATCATTGAGATTGGATGCGGATGTGGGTTATGTCCTCCCAAGTTCCAGTTTGTTCTCACTCTCCTTTGCTTCATGTCCCAGTTTTCTTCCCAGTGCTCACTCTGCTGACTTACAAAACTTCATGACCACCACCACATACAAGAGCTTATCACAGACTTTTTTATCACCTTCCACAATGTGTACTTTTTAGTCCCTATAATAAATTCCTTTTTCCACATAACTCCAGGTGGTTCTGCTTCCCTGATCAAACCTTCACCAATACAAAAATAGAGACTGAATTCTAAGCCAGTGATTCTCTTTCAGCTGATAATTGGGGGAGGAGCATGAAGTATGCATTCTTCTCTCCATGACTTTGCAGCATATGCTGACATGTTTCTATGTAAAAAAAGGAAAAACTTTAATCTTCATGTATGTATGTATGTATCCTTTTTAAAATGCAGAAAGCAGCCTCACATCATCCAAGGAATTTTCTAAAAATGAAGTCATGGAACCTTGTCTCACTATGGTCAGAATCTCTGCTGCCCTCAGATTATTGCCTTCGCTATTCTAAATCTCAAGTGTGCATACATTTCTGTATAATGATGAACATTTTTCCTTCACTAAATGGTCTTCTCTCATTGTCACCAAATAAGGACCTTGGTAATTGCTGAAATTGAGCAATTACTAAAGAATTGTATCTCTTCTCTAAGAGTTCTCCTTCTTCTCTTGGCCTCTTGTTCTTTCTGGCTCTTCCCCTCCCTAGGAACTGTCCTGAGAAAATACAGTTGATCTCCTCTAGACGCTTGGCTTCCTCAGCTCTTCTGTTCACTCATTAAATTTGGCTCTCTTATGCCAGTTTTGCTTTGATTGTATGTTTAAAGTTACTTAAAGATAGAAAGGGGCTGTGAGGGTGGAGAGAGGGCCTGTAGCTTTACAGAAATATATCTTATCCTTATGGATTTATTGATCTAGACAATAGATAAGGCAGATGGTACTGCATGCTCAATATTTTATGTTTGGAAGAGAAGGTAGCGATCAGCATTCACTGGGAGAGGCTGGAAACTAGTTTCATCCAATGGGATAGGATCAATGCCAAAGGAACACTCACATACAAGTTACAAAAGGAAATTAATGCAGATGGCTGGAAATTGGTATCTTCCGAGTTCAGAGCCAGTTGAGCCCAGTAGTCTTGGCATTTCTCCAAAGAGTGTTAAGATTTCCCCAGACATAGATAGTCATGGGAATCTTAAATAGAAGAAAATTGTAGAGATTCTGATGACTGATGATGTTGTTTACTGTTTACTCATAATGCAACCAGGTCACCCATGGGTGGCTAGCCACATAGGAACCTTTCGAGAAAATGAATGTAGTTAATCAGACTACACGTAAGAGGCAAGATTCCAGTTTCTGAAGAGAAAAAGTGACGAGAAGATTCTTCAGCAAGAACAATTTGGCAAGACAGTTCTTTATCAAGATCAATTCAAGACCCAGTCATAGAGTTATTCCATGATTTATGCATTCACTCAATGTTTATTGAGTGTATAGTATATTCTGCAACCTGGCCTTGGCATTAGGGGTGCAATAATTTTCAAAAATGCATTTCCAGGAACTAGTGGTTATGTATTAGTTATAGTCCTTGAAAAATAACTATGTGAGTAAATATTTTGCCTATTATTTATTTCCTACAAAACTGCTAAGAGCTTTTATAAGCACATTTATGTTGCTAATGTGTTTTTGCAAAGGGTTATATATAGTAGGTTGCATTTTTCATACACAACTTGTTTAATGTACATCCTTTAGGAAATGCTGGCACGATAAAGACATGCCATGCTGGCTTTCAAAGACCTTATCTTCTATTGAAAGCCAATAGTGGAAAAAGTGATCGATATAGATAAATAGAACACTACAGTAATAGAAGTAGAAGGTGAAGAAAAGAAGCTGTGCCAACAGTTCTTCATTTGCTCCTTTAGATTCATCATTCAGCCTTCTCCTTCTGCTCTCTGTTCCAGTGATGTGGTGGGTATTGGCAGCATTATTTGGGTTTCCTTGTCTTCTAACTTCCAGTTGGGATCAACCAATGAAAGAATCCAGTAGTACATCAGAGGGTATGAAGATAGAGAGACTGGGCTATTATTTCTGCCTTCATCTACCCTTCCTGTACCCCTGGCAGGGGAGATTTCAGCAGTAACTGCTTTCTTCTACTGAAGGCCACGGATCCTGTCAAGAAGCCCCTCACACATACGTATAGCTCTCACTCTCTTTGGGGACAGGATCCTTCTATCCCTTTAGGTCTAGCATTGATAACACTTGCAGTTAGTTCCTGTGTGTGTCACCATCTGCTTTTCATTCCTTAACTTCTGTATAAAGCACCTTAATTAAATTATATCTAATTAGCTTTTGTGTGCATAATCTATATTGTGCCAGAACTCTGAGTGACAAAGGAACATTTATTGTCTATTATGTCCCAAACAATTTAACATACATTATTTTATTTTCTTATCACAAACACCCTACAGCGTATGAATAATTAGCCTCATTTTATAGAATCTAGAAAGGGGAGAAATGAAGAACCAGAAAGGTTAAGTAACTTGTTCTAAGTCACACCTCTAAAATTAGTAGATTTGAGACTTGAGCCCAGCTATTCAATAGTCATATACTTATCATATACTATTGTTAAGCAAAAAGGACCAATTACTCAAAATAGATCAGAAGGTTAGAACCATACTGGCAATAAGTTTTGCTTGATAATAAGCCAACTAAATAATGAAATGATTTGGTGCCAGAAGGCAGAAGTAGATCAACTAGATTGAGCGTGGAGAGAAGAGGCAAGGGACACGACAGCCGTTTTTAGAACTGCACATGTTTTTTCCTCAATTCTATCAAAAAGATTCAAAAGACACAATTACACTCAATACACACAGCATTATAAAATCATACATCCCGCCACAATGAAGAAGGTCTGAATTCTTCTGGAGCTGTGTGCATTTGGTAGTTTCTTAACTGATCACTATTCCTGTAGTGATCTAAATTAATCTAAATTAGGAAAACAAGAACAACAGCAATGCCTTATCTATGGTTCTCTGTGCATCTGGGTGTGGAGGCATGAAAAAGGTATTGCTGTTTTCCCTAACAGTAGGGAAATTTGGGTACTAATATATGGCATTGCTGTCCATATTTACATTAGAATATCAAGTCCCATACAAATGTAATAAATCCGGATGGGAATAAAAAACATTTCCTTTTATTTTTTCATATATTTCTTAGATATAACTTTCCTTAATGCTCTGACCCTCTCTGAAAAGCTAGAGAATCTGAGAAAATGAAATAAGACAGGTGCACATCTAGACACTGGCAAAACAAATGTACAAGTTGTCAGACCAATGTAATTCAGCAACAAAACAAAAACAGCAACCAACATCTGCAAGAATTTCCAAAGCCAGCAATGTATTATTATTTATATAGACAAATATAGTGTATGGGTTTCCAAACAGGAATGACCAGTCTCAGAAGGGTTAAAACAAGGCAGACAAAGGAAAGATACAAAGCCTTATGACAATAGCTTTATATAACAAATATAGCCAAAATTATTATGCACTTTCTAAAATCTCAGGATGATGATGATGATGATTTCATTAATCTAAAAACTCTTCTGCTAATTATCAAATTGTATGTTTGTTTCATTTAAGTAGGCTATTTTTCCCTTTATTTTACTGGAAATGTTTTTACCAGCTGGAATGGATCTCATAGTGGTGATAAGGTGGAATTTCTTTGACATAAAAGGGAATTTTTGCCTGCAAGGCAAATATCGCAAGGATCAACGATTTTTGATTAAAATACATATACCAAGGAGGGTAGCTATGATGTTTTTGTGTGATATTTGGATTTTGTAATGAAACACAGCAGGGAGAATGTGGACGTTAAGGTAAAGAAATACAATATGCCTGAAATCTGTGTAAGATCTTTCTAACTCCTGGTATTATGATTAATTTTCTCTGGGAGGCAGCCAACAGTGACATTATGCTGCTGTTGAGAGATCTTCTTTTAAGGGAGAATGTCTGGTGATGCCAGTCTGAATAGCTGCACAAATGATGATGTCTATGTCTTTACTAAACTGGGATTGTTTGATGAATCTAAAGAAATTTTAGAGCTATGTGGAGCCCAGGGTAGAAATTTGGTTATTTTTCCAAGTATTGAGCAAATGTACCTTTAGAGGCCAAACAATATGAGGTACAACAATATGCGGTAAGGTCTCATGAAAAGAACGTGGGGTCTAGTGTCAGAAAATCTGATTTGAAGAAAAGCCCTGTTGTGTTCTGAGAGTGGATTGAGGGTAAGTCACTCTCTTTGGATGACAGTGTCCTTACCTGTGTGATGTCATTAATGACATCTATACATAGATAATCATGACAATCAACTAAAGTAATATACGTGAAAATCACTATATACATCTGTTTCTTGAAGTCAAGAGGTCTACAGATTCTTCCCAACTCTTCCCTTAAAAACAACTAAACATCATGGAAAAAGTATTTTAAACTCTCTTTTAAAAAATATAGTAAAGGGATGGCAATAAGAAAAAAGAATGTAAGCAATCAAAAACTCAGTAAACCTGAGAACCTAGAGGGATAAAGAGGAAAATGAATTTGAGTTTCACCCTGAAGACACTTACCAAGTCTAAATGAACTTAGTATTGGGCTTTCACAGTCTCCCAGAAGACATGAGACAATGCCCAGGACCAACTTCAGGTAGGATATCTAAAACAACATCACTCTATCTTGGCGTTAGGCTAGAACTTCCAATGGGTGTATTTTGGCATAAGGTCATCTAGAAATAAACCAGACTGCTTTTCTTCCCAGGAAACCATTTAGAAAAATCCCTTGTCTCAAACCATTTTTTTTTTTTTTTTGCAGAGGAAAGAAAAAAAAATTGCTTTGGAAACCTACAACTACAACAAACTCTCACATAGATTTGTACACCAAATTTACACTAGCTACCAAATTTACACTTAAACCAGCAAAAGCTGGTTTAAGATACAAGGATTTTAATCTCAAATCTTCCTAACATAGTAGTGCTCCAGATGTATGGTGGAAGTAAATGCCAACCATTTGTGGAGTAGACAACCCTCAGCCTACATCTCAAAGGAAGGCAAGCTTATAGTAAGAAAATATTAAATGGGTAGTCTGGGGGTTGGTCAGGGTAGGTCTCCATGATCAAAAGAGAGCAGTCAAAAACAAAACAAAACAACAATATGAAAATTAGGCCCCCTAAAAGTATGAATATTGAAATTATTAAACAGAATATAAAATAAGCGGCCGGGCGCGGTGGCTCACGCCTGTAATCCCAGCACTTTGGGAGGCCGAGGCGGGCGGATCACGAGGTCAGGAGATCGAGACCATCCCGGCTAAAACGGTGAAACCCCGTCTCTACTAAAAATACAAAAAATTAGCCGGGCGTAGTGGCGGGCGCCTGTAGTCCCAGCTACTTGGGAGGCTGAGGCGGGAGAATGGCGTGAACCCGGGAGGCGGAGCTTGCAGTGAGCCGAGATCCCGCCACTGCACTCCAGCCTGGGCGACAGAGCGAGACTCCGTCTCAAAAAAAAAAAAAAAAAAAAAAAAAAGAATATGAAATAAGCCTGTATGTCTAAAAATAGGAGACTATAAATGTAAGTAAAGACAGAGTTCTGTTTCCAACTATGATGGAGTAAGTAACTTGTATTAAACTAACCTCTCTACTGAGAAAAAAACAACCTGTAAATGTGGAATAAATTTAGAAAACAGATATTTGGAGGCATAACAGAGCAAAGGAGGTAGTGAGGGCTTGAGGGGAGGATATCCTGGAGAGATGCGGGCATGGTGGGGCTATGTGTGGAGGTGATGTGAATGCTGTAACTTGCCTTCACTCTTTTTCTTTTCATAACATTTGCCAATATACAACCAGCTCTATAGAAGCCAGACAGGAGTGACCTAAAGCTTGGGACAGTCACTCTGGGCTGAGGAGACAAAAACGGACACTTAAGCTAGAACTTGAGAATCAAGATCACAGAGAAAAAGGAACCAAAGAGAAAGCAGCCCACATTTAACTATGTAATTTCATCTTTGGATATTTACTGACTCCTGAATTTAGTATTCACAGTTTAACACAGGAAACCAAGTGAAACATATGATGTTCCCTCTAGTACTCATTTGATAAGAATTTTTTTCATGAATGGATGTAGAATTTTACAGTTGTTTCTGTATACAATTTTTTTCTGTACATTTTTTTCTATATCTATTTAGGCAATTGTATGACTTTGTTTTTCTTTTGAAATCTGCCAATACAGTGCTTTGCATGGCTTGATTTTTCAAATGTAAAAACAATGTTGCAATCATAGGATACATCATACTTGATCATATTTTTAGTCATAACTAGATTTTCTTTTATTTTGGTAAGGATTGTTTTATGCCTATTTATTAATGATACAGTGAATTTTATTACTTACAAATCTGTCTGGTTTCAGTGTCAGGGTAATGCAGGCTTTGTATACTATGTCAAAAAGATTCCCTGCTGTTTTCTCTTCTAGAAGAGCTCATTTAGAAATGGTATTATTTGTTCCTTAAGTGTTTTAATAAAGTTTACCAGTGAAATGCTCTTTGTGGAGACAATTTTAATCACACATTGTCTTTGATACAGGGCTACACAGGATATCTATTTTTCCTGAATGAACACTGGTGATTTTGTATCTTTCAATGAATTTCTCTAACTAATCTAAGCTGTTAAATTTATAGGCATAAATTTTTAAATATTCCATTAATATCCTTTTAATTTGTAGGATCTTTAATGAGTCCTTTCACTCATAATATCGGTAATTCATATCTTATTTTTTTCCAATCACTCTGTCTCTCTGGCTGGAATTTTTCTTTCTTTCACTGACAGTCTCAGTCTCTCTTTCTGTGTGTGTGTGTGTGTGTGTGTGTGTGCGCGCGCGTGTGTGTCTGTTCACTGATTTCTGCTTTTATTTTCTTCCCATTGCTTATTGAGTCTAATTTACTCTATTTTATTATAATAGAAACTTAGATTACTGATGTCAAATAGTCTTATTTTTTAATATAAGCATTTAATACTATAAATTTTTATCTGAATGCATTTTAGCTGTATCTTCCAAATATTGATATGTGTATTTTTATCTTTATTGCATATCAAATATTTTCTTTTCTTGAGATGGAGTCTTGCTCTGTCACCAGGCTGGAGTGCAGTGGCACCATCTCAGCTCACTGCAACCTCCGCCTCCCGGGTTCAAGCAATTTCCCTGCCTCAGCCTCCCAAGTAGCTGGGATTTTAGGCACGCGCCACCATGGCCTGGCTAATTTTTTGTATTTTAGTAGAGACGGGGTTTCACCATGTTAGCCAAGACGGTCTCGATCTCCTGACCTCATCATCCGCCTGCGTCGGCCTCCCAAAGTGCTGGGATTATAGGCATGAGCCACTGCGCTCGGCCGCATTCCAAATATTTTCTAACTTCCCTTCTAATTTCTTTTTTAATTCAACACAACTGTCTTAGAATTTACGCAATTCTAAGAAAAGTACAAATGGCTTAGAATTGTCATTTGTGCTTGTGTTAATTATCAACTATTTAGACATTTTCCAAATCTCTTTTTTGTAATCAATTTCTAGTTTAATTCTGTTATGTCAAAGAGCCTAACAGGGATATATGACTTCAATTATTTTAAAATTATTAAGACTTGTTTTCTGATGCAGAATATGAGTCACTCTTGAGGCATATTCCTTATGCACTTATAAAAAACATGAATTTTGCTATTGTGTAGGATTTTCTATGAATACCAATTATGTCAGTTTGGTTGATAGGGTGGTTTGAGTCCTCTGTGTCTCTGCTGATTTTCTGGAGTTTTTATTCTTTAACTGATTGAAAGAGATGCTGAAATTTTCAGCTATAATTGTGAATTTGCCTGTTCTTCCTTTCAGTTCTACTGATTTTTGTTTTGTGCATTTTAAATATATGTTATTAGAGGCAGATATATTTAGGACTTCTATGTGTGTCTTCTCAATGAATTAACACTTTTATCATTTTGTGATGCCCTCTGTATCCCTGGTAATATTTCTTTCTTTGAAGTTTACTTTCTCTGATTTTAATAGAGTCAAAGTGTCTTTAATCAGTGGTTTTACATTACTTCATTTTTCAGACCTTACTTTCTCTCTATTTAAAATACATTTATTGTAGATAGCATGTAGTTTTGTCCTACTTTTATTTGTATCCAGTCTGCCATTCTTTGTATTTCAAATAAAGGTTAGTCATTTACATTGAATTCATTACTGATAAGTTTACCATATTCCTGTTGTTGTTTTTTATTTGTCCCATCTGTTCTTTGTTCATTTTATCCCACTTTTTTCCTGCCTGATTTTGGATAGAATATTATCAATTTTTCCATTTTATCTCCACTAGGCTTAGTAATTATAGTCTTTCTTTTTATTTGCTGCTTTAGAGGTTATAGTCACATTTTTAACTTATCCCAGCCTATCTTCAATAATATTATGCCATGTGAAATATAAAGCATGTAGAATAGCTTGTCTTCATTTGTTTGTTACTGTTAACATAAATTTTACAACTAAATATGATTACCAAAATACATCATTAGTATAGTCACTTATTTTTTACAGTTATTAAATATAAAGAAACTATCTTTTAGGTTTATTTTCTTACTTTCACTATTTGCGGCATTCTTCATTTCTTGGTATAGATCCTAATTTATTTTCATTTGGTATCATACAACTTGTCTCTGAAAAGCTTTCTTCAGCATTTCTTGTCTGCTGTGGTGAAATGTCTCATCTTCTGTTTCAATAAAAAAAGTCTTTATTTTGTCTTTATGCTGCCCAAATGTTTAATTCTGGGTTAACAGTGTTTGTTTGCTTTTAAATTCTGCAATATTTAAGATATAACTCCATGTTTTTCAAAAATTCTGAAAGGTGTGCTATAATTTTTACTTTTACCCTTCTGTATGTGTGTTTCTTTTTACCTGGTTGCCCTAAATATTTTTTTCTATTTCTGCTTTTCAGCTGTTTGATTATGATATGCATGAGTGTGTATGTGTGTTTCAGGTTTTTTATCCTTGGGATTCCCTGGATTTCTTGGACATGTAGAGTTTTTTCTTTTTTAATTGGTCATTATATTTTAAAATATTTTTCTGCCCTATTCTCTATTCTTGTTCTGCAACTTTAGTTACACATAGATTAAACTATTTGATATTGTACAACAGCTACTGAATACTCTTTTCCACTATTTCCCTTTGTGTTTCCATTTAGATGATTTTTATTTTTATTTTTTATTTTTTTAATTTTTTTTATTATTATTATACTTTAAGTTTTAGGGTACATGTGCACAATGTGCAGGTTAGTTACATATGTATACATGTGCCATGCTGGTGTGCTGCACCCATTAACTCGTCATTTAGCATTAGGTATATCTCCTAATGCTATCCCTCCCCCCTCCCCCCACCCCACAACAGTCCCCAGAGTGTGATGTTCCCCTTCCTGTGTCCAAGTGTTCTCATTGTTCAATTCCCATCTATGAGTGAGAACATGCGGTGTTTGGTTTTTTGTCCTTGAGATAGTTTACTGAGAATGATGATTTCCAATTTCATCCACGTCCCTACAAAGGACATGAACTCATCATTTTTTATGGCTGCATAGTATTCCATGGTGTATATGTGCCACATTTTCTTAATCCAGTCTATCACTGTTGGACATTTGGGTTGGTTCCAAGTCTTTGCTATTGTGAATAATGCCACAATAAACATACGTGTGCATGTGTCTTTATAGCAGCATGATTTATAGTCCTTTGAGTATATACCCAGTAATGGGAAGGCTGGGTCAAATGGTATTTCTAGTTCTAGATCCCTGAGGAATCGCCACACTGACTTCCACAATGGTTGAACTAGTTTACAGTCCCACCAACAGTGTAAAAGTGTTCCTATTTCTCCACATCCTCTCCAGCACCTGTTGTTTCCTGACTTTTTAGTGATTGCCATTCTAACTGGTGTGAGATGGTATCTCGTTGTGGTTTTGATTTGCATTTCTCTGATGGCCTGTGATGCTGAGCATTTTTTCATGTGTTTTTTGGCTGCATAAATGTCTTCTTTTGAGAAGTGTCTGTTCATATCCTTTGCCCACTATTTGATGGGGTTGTTTGTTTTTTTCTTGTAAATTTGTTTGAGTTCATTGTAGACTCTGGATATTAGCCCTTTGTCAGATGAGTAGGTTATGAAAATTTTCTCCCATTTTGTAGGTTGCCTGTTCACTCTGATGGTAGTTTCTTTTGCTGTGCAGAAGCTCTTTAGTTTAATTAGATCCCATTTGTCAATTCTGGCTTTTGTTGCCATTGCTTTTGGTGTTTTAGATATGAAGTCCTTGCCCATGCCTATGTCCTGAATGGTAATGCCTAGGTTTTCTTCTAGGGTTTTATGGTTTTAGGTCTAACATGTAAGTCTTTAATCCATCTTGAATTGATTTTTGTATAAGGTGTAAAGAAGGGATCCAGTTTCAGCTTTCTACATATGGCTAGCCAGTTTTCCCAGCACCATTTATTAAATAGGGAATCCTTTCTCCATTGCTTGTTTTTCTCAGGTTTGTCAAAGATCAGATAGTTGTAGATATGCGGCATTATTTCTGAGGGCTCTGTTCTGTTCCATTGATCTATCTCTCTGTTTTGGTACCAGTACCATGCTGTTTTGGTTACTGTAGCCTTGTAGTATAGTTTGAAGTCAGGTAGCGTGATGCCTCCGGCTTTGTTCTTTTGGCTTAGGATTGACTTGGCGATGCGGGCTCTTTTTTGGTTCCATATGAACTTTAAAGTAGTTTTCTCCAATTCTGTGAAGAAAGTCATTGGTAGCTTGATGGGGATGGCATTGAATCTATAAATTACCTTGGGAAGTATGGCCATTTTCACGATATTGATTCTTCCTACCCATGAGCATGGAATGTTCTTCCATTTGTTTGTATCCAAGATGGCCTAATAGGAACAGCTCTGGTCTACAGCTCCCAGTGTGAGTGATACAGAAGACAGGTGATTTCTGCATTTCCATCTGAGGTACCGGGTTCATCTCAGTAGGGAGTGCCAGACAGTGGGCGCAGGACAGTGGGTGCAGTGCACCGTGCGCCAGCCGAAGCAGGGTGAGGCACTGCCTCACTCAGGAAGCGCAAGGGGTCAGGGAGTTCCCTTTCCTGGTCAAGGAAAGGGGTGACAGATGGCACCTGGAAAATCGGGCCACTCCCACCGGAATACTGCGCTTTTCCAATGGGCTTAGGAAATGGCGCACCAGGAGATTATATCCCACACCTGGCTCGGAGGGTCCTATGCCCACGGAGTCTCGCTGATTGCTAGCACAGCAGTCTGAGATCAAACTGCAAGGGGGCAGTGAGGCTGGGGGAGGGGCACCCGCCATTTCCCAGGCTCGCTTAGGTAAACAAAGCAGCTGGGAAGCTCGAACTGGGTGGAGCCCACCACAGCTCAAGGAGGCCTGCCTACCTCTGTAGGCTCCACCTCTGGGGGCAGGGCACAGACAAACAAAAAGACAGCAGTAACCTCTGCAGACTTAAATGTCCCTGTCTGACAGCTTTGAGGAGAGCAGTGGTTCTCCCAGCATGCAGCTGGAGATCTGAGAACTGGCAGACTGCCTCCTCATGTGGGTCTCTGACCCCTGACCCCCGAGCAGCCTAACTGGGAGGCACCCCCCAGTAGGGGCAGACTGACACCTCACACGGCCGGGTACTCCTCTGAGACAAAACTTCCAGAGGAACGATCAGACAGCAGCATTCGCGGATCACAAAAATCCATGGTTCTGCAGACACTGCTGCTGATACCCAGGCAAACAGGGTCTGGAGTGGACCTCTAGCAAACTCCAGCAGACCTGCAGCTGAGGGTCCTGTCTGTTAGAAGGAAAACTAACAAACAGAAAGGACATCCACACCAAAAACCCATCTGTACATCACCATCATCAAAGACCAAAAGTAGATAAAACCACAAAGATGGGGAAAAAACAGAGCAGAAAAACTGGGAACTCTAAAAGCCAGAGCGCCTCTCCTCCTCCAAAGGAACGCAGTTCCTCACCAGCAACAGAACAAAGCTGGACGGAGAATGACTTTGACGAGTTGAGAGAAATAGATGATTTGTATTGATCTATCTTCAAGTTCAAATGATTTTTTTATCAGATACCTCCAGTGTTACTTCTGCACACTGAGAGAATTATTTATCTTTGATAATATTTTTATTGCTATATTTTCATTTGTCCCTCTTGTAATTTCTCTGTGTGTGTTGAAATTCTGCATCTTATTATGCATGTGTCCACCTACTCCATGAATTACTTTAACACATTAATCATAGTTTTTGTTTTTAAGTCTCTGTCTCCTAGATACCATACCAGGGTCATCTCTGAGTATTTTCTTATGCTTTATTTGGTCACAACATATTTTTTTCTTCTTGATTTTTTGTGAGTCTCATAGTTTTTTATTAAATGTTTCATGTTGTACATAAAGGAACATCAGAGTCTGAGGTAAAGGCTATTTACACAAGGAAACGGGCCATTAGGACATTTGTGTGTGGTGGTGGACTTGACCTGGGTTTGGGCTTTGTTGCTCCTATCAACACGTTCATGCATGACAGTGGTGGATTGCTGTTATCCTTTGTTTTAGAATGCAGCCTATGGTGTCACCAGCTGTCAGCCACCTTAAATCTCATTAGCCCTTCTATATACGGACATTAGAGTCTGCCCATACTATTGCTTCGTACACAAAAGGAGACTGCTGTAATTTTTTACTTGGCACTGTACTCATAGTGGCTGTGGTCTCTGGTGTTCTCTGTTCTCCTGGTTCAACCTCAGTCTTTTGCCAGCCCTATGCAACCAAGTCTTGTGGGTTAGGGTTTCATAGTGTCTTCGCTTCTCCTTCCCATGGCTAATTCTGCTCTGCACTGTATCTGTGGTGGGTGTGGTACAGGAGAGCATTTTCTGGCTCTCTCCAGCCTAAGCAGACCTCAGCTTTGTAGCCGCTTGAATCCTGAGTTTTCTGCTCCTCAGTCAGGATCAGAGTATTTTTTCTTATATTATTCATCCAAAGGCAATGGATCTTTGGTGTGACTTGATAGTGGGAAAGTCTTTATCCCTCTCCTAGAGGCAGACATACTTTGCTTCTATGCAATTCCAGAAGCAATAGCTCTTTATGCTGGTCTTTCAGTGGCAGCCAGTTATCTCCTACAGGTTTCCATCACTAAAGGGTACTCTCTCTGGACCTTGTCCTCGATCTTTTTCATGAGAATCCTGTTAAGACACAGGGAAAAGAACCTACAGTTGAGCCACCACTATTTCTGAGGTTCTCAGGAATGCTAGGCCACACTCAACCTTGAAGAGTTAGTTAATGTATTAGTTGTTTTTTGCTCATTTACTTTTATGGCTCTTACTTTTCCTCCCCTCGTTCTGACAAAGGCAAAAGAATGCATGAGTCCTGTCTCTCCTCACAGGGGCTCGTCGACCTTTGAAATTTAGTCTTCCTTGTCATCATATTCTCTGATGGACTCAGAAAATGTTATGATTTTGTGTATTACCCAACTTCTCCTGGTTGTTAGGATAGAGGCAACATTTTCTTTTGGCTTTCTATATCCTATGCAGATATGGAACAATCTGGTGTATTCTATATTGCTTTGGTAAATGTTGTATTCTCCAGGCCCTTCTTTGAAGCACAGTCCTCTGATGGGATTTCTTACATTCCACATTGTATCTCCCAGAGCATGCCATTCTCTCTCAGCCTGAAAATGTTTTTTTTCTACCATCTTCCATACCAATTCTAGAATTTCTAGTTCAGTTTGTGTGGAATGTCACCTTTTTTGATACTTCGAGAACCTAGCCTAGCAATATGGCTATATCATCTCTGACATCCTTGCCTGGGTATTAAGTCCTCTATCCCAGGAGAGTGGTAGAAAATCAATAAACTCTCCCTTTTCTGACTTTATTTTTCATTGCCCTTTAACCAAAGCACCTTCAGAATCCAGGATCATGACACTCTCCTGGCTCCTGCAGGTGTCCTGCTGAAGTCCCGCCGTTGCTTTGTCGAACACTTCCTTTCCTCCTGTATGAGGCCCAGCACATCTCCAGCTGGATTATACCGCAACTTTAAACCAAGTTATAGTTGTAATATCTTGAAGGGGAAATAGAGACAGATTTGGGATGACTGCTTTCAGAATTAGCTTTTAATTACTGATTTGTCATATTTAGCCTTTATTTTTTTCAAAGCATCAATCTAGTTAAGGAATAGACAGCTAGTCCATTGTCTATCAGTGACTGTTTATCCCACTATTTCTCAATTACCTGATATATCACAGAGGAAACAGCATTTCTTTTTGCTGATATAGCATTCTAGTTGACTGCTGGTGAACATTTTAACATAATTGGAATACCATCTTGTTCCAGGGGCTATCTTTGCTCTACCTACCACAAGAGATGAATTCCTTATTGATAACCAGACAGTAGGTGATCCAGCTCCAAAATCACATCATACCTTCAGCTTTTGCAGAATATTCTGCATACTAACTATTGAAGGTTAGGTTCTCTGCTATACTTGCAGGAGGTTTATTTGGGAGTCCTTTTGGGATTCTTATGTGGGGAAGTGAAAGAAAAGAAGCAGAATTGGGTAGGGATAGAAGTTGAGCTTTGATATGTAGTCTCTGTGAGATGCCTCAGCCAACCCTGTATGTGTGAGGAAGGGGGAAATGAAGACAGAATGGGCTTTCAGACCTCTCCATACATACTCATATAGGTTATTGGATGTGGACCTCCATGGGAAAGTGATATAACCTTGGCCATAGTGACGCTCTTCAAATGGGCTATCTCCCAAGATGACCTACATATTGGGGGGGTCTGCTGGAAGGAATTAATATGCCCTGTATTTCTGAAAGGTATCTTAGAAGCATATCAAGCTTAAGAAATTCAAAGAAACCACATCCAGGCAATCATAGTCAGACTGCTAAAAAATAAAGACAAAAGAGAATATTTTTAAATTAACAAGTGAAAAGGGACCTCAAATAAGCAACAATAAGATATAGAGCCAGTTTTTAGCGATGTCAATCAAAACTTTAAAGCAAAAGAGAAAAATAATTGACAATCAGGAATGGTATTCCCTATGGAAAGCGTAAGTGTGACGGCAACATAATGACATTTTAAGGCCATAATATAAAACAGAGTTTTGTTGTCATTGTTTTGTTTTTTGTTTGTTTGTCCCAGCATAATTGCACTAATAGTAATACCAAAGGTGACTTCACTTATGGAATGGGGGTTGCCTAGACATTTAAAGAGTGACTGGAGGCCAGGCACGGTGGCTCATGCCCATAATCCCAGCACTTTGGGAGGCTGAGGTTGGTGGATCACCTGAGTCAGAAGTTCAAAACCAGCCTGGCCAACATGGTGAAACCCCGTCTCTACTAAATATACAAAAAATAGCTGGGCGTGGTGGCGGGTGTCTGTAGTTCCAGATACTCGGGAGGCTGAGGAAAGAGAATCGCTTGAACCCAGGAGGCAGAGGTTGCAGTTAGCCGAGATCACACCACTGCATTCTAGCCTAGGTGACAGAGTAAGACTATGTCTCAGTAAAAAAGAACAAAAAAAACCTAACAAACATTAGAGGCTCTAATGGGGAATCAAGTAACAGATGGAATCATGGATATATCTAGCTTATAGTGGGTTCACTTTGTTTGCAGAGTCACCCAGTGGTTATTGCCTAGTCCCCAAGAGTATAACTGAGGTTAATATATTTGTAATTTAAAATAACCACTACAGACAGTTCTTGGCTTGTTCTAATACTGCAAACACAAACAAGTTGTAGCTCTGCAGCAGCTGCTATGCCGGAAGTGGTACATTTCTTGGTTAACAAGCCCTCAGGTAGGTGGTATATGCCCACTGATTTAGCAAATGCATCTTTGCTATTCAGATTAGAAAAGAGGATGAGAACAGCTTGCGTATAAGTAGAATGGATATTGATATTCATTTGCAGTTTTGTTTCCTTTTGTCATAATGTCTAAAGAGATCTTGACTGCCATAACATTGCTTAAACTCTCTGTTTCTTGTTGTTATTACACTGCCTAAAGAGATGTGAACTGTCTGCATATCCTGTGTAATATCACATTGACCCATTATGTCAATGACAGAAAACTCACTGGGTAGGATAAGCAACTGATTGCTAATATACTAGAGACCGACGTAAGACACATGATCTCCAGAGGTTGGAAGATAAACCCTATGAAATTTCAGGTTCTTACAGCTTCAGTGAAACATATAGCCCTGTGGTAAGCAGTGTGCTAACATATTTCCAACAAAATAAAAGGCAAAGTGCTCTATCTAGCATTCTTTACCATAAATAAAGAAGCACAGTGCTGGAAAGGCCTTATTGGGCTCTGCAGGCAATATGTTTTACATCTAGGAATGCTATTACAGCCCATAATCTGAGTAACATAGAGGTTGCTAATTTTGAGTAGAGCTATGGGTAATAAGAGGTGCTATAGTAGGTCCAGACTATGGTGCAATCAGCTCTGTCCCTTTGGGTCTTTGTATCCAACCGACCTAATAAAGCTGCAGGTGTCCATCCATTGTTAGATGGAAATGGTGTCACTGAGAATGAGCACAAGCCAATCTTGAGAGCATGACTAAGCCATATGAATAGGTAACCCTATTACCTGGTGCAAGTTTAAGTAAACTGGATAGCCACTTGGCACCAGAACCTATCTATGCCTCACTTATAACCAGTGATGAGGTTTTCACTGTCAGCTGGCAGCAAATGAAGTAGCTTCCAAATCCCATCTTACATTTTGATATTTTTAGTATCAATTGTTGAAGGGAAATAAGCTGTATTAATATGTATTATGTTAAATAAATTAATAAGGCACTGGAGGTTTACCAGACCTCCCTACTTGTGCAAGGGAAAGGGAGGAAACAGGCTTGGGCAGAGGGGGAAATCAAACTCAAGTGCAGACTAGAAAGAGTTAGCCAACCTGCTGGAGCTCTGGATCATATGAGACCTTTCAGTGTTGTCTCACATTAGATAATAATGGTAAGATACTTCAGTTAGGTAACAGTTTACAGAAACAGGCTTCTAGAATGGAATGGAGGCTGTCTTTCATTTAATTATTCACTTATTCAAGAAACTATAATAGAAAGAGGTGTCAAGAAATGAAAGTAACTAGCTAATAGCCTCTAGATTTAATATGTCTTTTGTGTGCAATACTTGGTAATTCAGGGAGCTAGTCACATTTCTGACCAGTTGCTTCCTAAGTGTATTACAGTTTTTTTCTCCCATGGAAACATATTTTTAATTACCTAATGGAAGTCAGTAGATAATAAGATTTACATGACAAACATTTCCATTCAGTCACCTTTGCTATAAATCAAAGGCTTTATTTCTAATAAAATAGTTTTTCATGCAATCAACAAATTGAGTATGTGATGTGGTTTATATACTGTGTGGCATGTGAAATCAAAGATGAATAAGTGCTAAGTCTTTTTTTTTTTTAAAAGAATGTCTGTTCTATTGGGAGAGATGAGAGGTGGACATAAACAAAATATAAAATAATATGTATTAAGTATGGGATGACAAGCAAAGTGATGTCATAGTTCAGAATAAGGTAACCCCCATTCAATAGACATGGGATCTCTAAAAGGAGCAGGAAGAAAGTGCATTCTAAGCAAGAAACAACAGCACTGTAATCAAGAAATGAAAGAAAAAAGAAAAGGCAAAATATTTAGGGTAATGCTTACTTGTCCAGGTTACCTAGAACAAAGGTTACTTGTAGAAAAATGAATGAATAAAAGTTTGGCAAGGTGGTTTGAATTTTGTGGTTTCTGAATGCTGATCAAATGACTTAGGACTTTATTAAAGAGACAATGTAGATACTCCCAGGCTTGTTAAGAAGGAAAATGTTGAATAGGTTTAGAACCAGTCTTTAAGAAAATTATTTGCTTGCTTGGAGCAATTTGGATTGAAGTGGAGAAAGTCTAGATGTTTGAGAACTAATTACAAGAATTTTAAAATAGAGCAAGTGAGAAATAATAAGGGCCTAAATGAAGTATTGTCACACCATATTGCAGTTATTTATCTATTGTTCTATCTTATTTGAATTTGAATCTAAATTCCTAACACAGTGTTTAACACGTTGCCTTTTTAAAAAATATGCTTTTAATAAGTAAACATATGAGTCCATGATAAGTTGGAAGGGCTATGCAAATGACAATCAATGGCACCTTTTGAATGATTTTATGTGAGAATTTAAACAGAGAGATTTCAAAGAATTTGAACTTCAGTAGTTGGAAGAATGGTAATAGTTATTACAGAAAAAGCTCAGAAAAAAAGCCCAAGAGGAAGCATGGGTCTGAGGGGCAGTACGGTGTATTAGGTGCAAAATGAGGGCCATCCTTACTTGAGCCAAGAAGGAGTGTGGCTTTGACCACAGTCTCAGAAAATGGCAGTGACCTGCCTGTTCTTCACAGAATGCAGCATGGCTCCAGGGCAGTGAATACTGAAAGAAGGTAGCATCATTTTGACTTTTTAGATGTCTGCTGTTTTAAGATGTCCTGAGGGTTCAATACTCAGGGCACTTAGTGTTTTTTTCAAAGGAATAGCAGGATCCTGTGTGACCGAGCTCCAGAGGATATTTCAGGGTTTGGCAAAAGGGGTAAATGTCCAACCACCAGAAGGAACTCCCAGGAGCAGCAGAAGCTGTACTCACATTGTTGGACATAGGTGGACACAGTCTGGAGATGCCCAGACACTTTTGGGGTGGATAGGAAGTACTTTGTAGGATCCTGAGGCTTGCCAATAATGCAGATGAGTTATTGATCCACAGAACGAATGGACATTATTGTTAATTTAGCCACATTAATGGTTATAGGCTGTGGGTACTATAGACAGTAAAGCCACACTTCCATAAAAACTATCCCCTCCCATGCCATTGGCTTCGAAGAACCAATTTTATACTCACTCAACATGTCTTATTGATGGGCATAAATCAGTCTGGAACAAAGTTTTAAAGCATTTATGATTGGTTTTGAAATTGAAAAAAATGTGCACATATCCCCAGAAAAGCTAGGCACAGCTTTTCATCCAAAATGAATAATTATGCATAGAACTGATTACTTAAATACACAGTTCATGATTATGAATGAAATTACCTGTATTACACTGCAAATACCTTGTTCTGCATGGATTAAATAAAGTAAAACTTGATTGCAGATGTTGGAAATTTTAGATCTTGAGATTTTTCAGTTACTCTCAAAATATATCACTTGCCTCTTATAACATTTCCCTTATAGAAGTAATTTACAAGTTGAAATTAAAAATGAACTCTTGGTTATAATGGATTTCACAGTGGGGTGAAATTCTAGTAGCTGGACCATAGGAAATAAGTGGACTGTTTCTCTGTTTTCACACCTAGTTCAGACACTTTCTGTAAGATGCAGATGCACAGGCCAGGTAGATCTCTACCTACTTGTTTAATCTGGGGGATTCCAATAAACCCTTAAGCCCCTGACAGTTTCTTCCAAAAGCCTGCGTATGTGCCTGAAATCCTATCTTTATTACTTTACTTCTGGTTTTTGCTTGTTAAAATGCACATGTTCCTGAGGAGAATAATCCATGAAACTGTAATCCATCAAAGCAACATAGTGTGAATCAGCCTGTCAGTTCCATTCCAAAGCGACAGCTTGGGAAGAACAGGTTTATTTTCCTATGTTGTTTTAGCAACCTCATTTTTCACATCTTTTTCCACTAACCAGATTAGACCCTCTGTGTAGGCATAGGCTTTGGTTTAGCCTTTTATCTGATCATTTCATGTGGACTCACATCCTGTTTTGGGGAATTCACTTGCTTTTCTTAGATTTCTTGGAGGTTTGTAGGAGACCAGGATTTATTAATACGTAGTGCTTAAATGCGAGGAGTCAATATTGAAATTGTAATCCTGGATCAAAAATAACTTAGACTCAGAAACATTTTGAAATGTAGGCAAAATACAGCTCACTTCCTTTGGTGTATTTCTTTATGTTCATCAATCACAACATTATTTTAATTAAATTTCATGTTTCTCAAAGTAGTATTTTTGATACATGTACAAAGTAACTCAAAGTTTTAAAAGAAAACTGTAAAAGGTTTCTATAAAGAAAACAACAATGCCTTACCCAACCCCTTTGTCCCAATCTTAAAGGGAAAGCCTTAGGTATAATATTAGTTGTAGATTTTTCTCAAATATCCTTTATTGAGAAACTATTCTATTTTTGTTAGTTTCTTCAGATTTTTTATCAGAAATGTGTGTTGCATTTTCTCAAATTGTTTTCTAGATCTATTGAGATAATTATATATTTTCTGTTTTAGCCTGTTTATATGGTTAATTAAATAAGATCAAATTATTAAAGTATTAAATATTAATGGATTGACTTTTTGAATCTTCAGCCCACCTTTTATTCCTAAGATAAAATCCCCTTGGTCATGATATATCATTCTACTTTGTATTACTGGCTTTGGTTTGCTAATGTCAGTTTCCTGAATTTTTTTCAAATTATGGCAACATCCTCCCATAGCTTCTCATAGGTCAGAACAATTGTCTATATCATCAAACTATCTAATTATTTGTCAGTTTCATTCCCTCAGCAGCCTCACCCAAACAATTCAAACTAATTGCTCTCAAGGCTTCTTTTTTCTCTAATGAGTTTTGATCTTCTGTTCCCTATTTCATGCTCTCCTCCTCTTAGCTTTTTTATTTATTTGTTTATAGAATATCCTTTAGTAATTTCCTTTGAAAAGGTAAATTTTTGAGACACTTTTCATGTCTTGAAATAACTTTATTTTACTTTCTTCCATGACTGGTAGTTCAATTGGCACTAAAATTTATCTTTACAGCACTCCCCATCTATAATATTTTGTTTTTCATTTTTCTCTGACAGAGACCAAAGTAATTTTAATTCCTGATCCTTTTTTATGTGATATTTTAATTTCTTCTTTCAGGGAAGAAAAAGATTTCTAGGATCTTCTTCTTATCCTTGACATTCTAAAATTTCATAAAGCTCATAGTCTCCGCCCAAAGGCTCCTAGAGCTGATAAACAACTTTGACAAAGTTTTAGGATACAAAATCAATGTACAAAAATCAGTAGCATTTCTATACACCAATAATGTCCAAGCTGAAAGCTAAATCAAGAATGCAAGCACAATAGCCACAAGGAAAATACAATACCTAGGAATACAACTAACTAGAGAGGTGAAAGGCCTGTACACCAAGAAGTGCAAAACAATGCTGAAAAAAATCAGACAATACCAGCAAACAGAAAAAACATTCCATGCTAATGGGTAGGAAGAATCAATGTTGTCAAAATGGCTGTACTGCCCAAAGCAGTTTATAGACTCAAGGCTATTCTTATCAAACTGCCAATGTTGTTTTTCACAGAACTAGAAAAAGGAAACTATTATAAAATTCACAAGGAACCAATAAAGAGCCTGAATAGCCAAAGCAATCCTAAGCAAAGGAACAAAACCAAAGGCATCACACTTCCTGACTTCAAACTACACTACAAGGCGACAGTAACCAAAACAGTATAGTATTGGTACAAAACAGATACATAGACCAATGAACAGGTTAGAAAACCCAGAAGTACAGCTGCACACTTACATCCATCTTATCATCAACAAAATTGACAAATATAAATGAACAAAAATAGGGAAAAGGACTCACTATTTAATAAATGTTGCTGGGATAACTGGCTAGCCATATGCAGAAGATCAAAAGTGGACTAATTTCTTTCAACGTATACAAAAGCCAACTCAAGATAGATTAAAGACTTAAATGTTAAACTCAAAACTGTAAAAACCTTAGAAGAAAACCTAGGAAATACCATTCTATACATAAGACTTGGCAAAGATTTCATGACAAAGTCTCCAAAGGCAATTGCAATCAAAACAAAAATTGGTAAGTGGGACCTAATTAAACTTAAAAACTTCTACACAACAAAGGACATGACCAACAGAGTAAACAGAAAACTTAGAAATGGGAGAAAATATTTGCAAACTATGCATCCAACACATGTCTACTGTCCAGAATCTAGAAGAAACTTAAAAAAATTAATAAGCAAAAAACAATCCCATTAAGAAATGGGCAAAGTACATGAACAGACACTTTTCAAAAGGGAACATACACACAGCTAACAAGCATATGAAAAAATGCTCAACATCACTAATTAGAGAAATACAAATCAAAACCATAATGAGACATCATTGCACACCAGTCAGAATGGCTATGATAAAAAAGTCAAAAAATAACAAATGCTGGTGAGGTTGCAGAGAAAAGGGAACACATACGCTGCCGGTAGGAAGGTAAATTAATTTAGTTACTGTGGAAAGCAGTTTGGAGATTTCTCTAAGAACTGGAAACACAACTACCATTTAACCCAGCAATCCCATTACTGGGTATCTACCTAAAGAAATATGAATTGTTCTAACACAAAGACACATGCACCTATATGTTTGTCGCAGCACTATTCACAATAGCAAAGTCATGGAAGCAACCTTGATGCCCATCAGTGGTGGTCTAAAGAAAATGTGGCATATATGCATCATTGAATACTACACAGCCATACAAAAGAAAGAAATTATGTCTTTTGCAGCAACATGGATGCAGCTGTGGGCCATTATTTTAAGCACATTATTATTGTAAGCATGGGAACAGAAAACCAAATACCACATTCTCAGTTATAAATGGGAGCTAAACATTGATGATATGGTTTGGCTGTGTCCCCACCCAAATCTCAACTTGTAGTTCCCATAATCCCCATGTGTCATGGGAAGGACCCTGTGGGAGGTAACTGAATCATAAGGGCAGTTATCCTGATGCTGTTCTCATGATAGTGAGTTCTCATGAGATCTGATGGTTTTACAAGGGGCTTTCCCTGCTTTTTCTCACCACTTCTACTTGCTGCTGCCATGTGAAGAAGGACATGTTTTCTTCCCCTTCCACCATGATTGTAAGTTTCCTGAGACCTCCCCAGCCATGCTAAACTGTGAGTCAATTAAACCTCTTTCCTTTATAAATTATCCAGTCTCAAGTATGTCATTATTAGTAGCATGAGAATGGATTAATATAGTAAATTGGTACCAGGTAGTGGATGCTGCTGTAAAGATACCCAAAAATGTAGAAACAACTTTGGAACTCGGAAATAGGCAGAGGTTGAAAAAGTCTGGAGGTCTCAGAAGAGGACAAATGTGGGAAAGTCTGGAATTTCCTAGAGCCTTGGAGGGCTCAGAAGACAGGAAAATGTGGGAAAATGTTAGAAACTTCCTAGAGACTTGTTGAATGGCTTTGACCAAAATGCTGATAGTGATATGGACAATAAAGTCCAGGCTGAAGTGGTCTCAGATGGAGATAAGGAACTTGTTGGGAACTGGAGTAAAGGTGACTCTTGTTATGCTTTTGCAGAGAGACTGGTGGCATTTTATCCCTGCTCTAGAGATATGTGGAACTTTGAAGTTGAGAGACATGATTTAGGGTATTGGGCAGAAGAAATTTCTAAGCAGCAAAGTATTCAAGATGAAGCAGAGCATAAAAGTTCAGAAAATTTACAGCCAAATGATGTGATAGAAAACAAAAACCCATTTTCTTGGGAGAAATTCAAGCTGGCTGCAGAAATTCACATAAGTAATAAGAAGCCAAATGGTCATTTCCAAGCTAATGGGAAAATGTCTCCAGAGCAAGTCAGAGACCTTTGTGGCTGCTCCTCCCATCACAGGTGTGAAAGCCTCGGAGGGAAAAATGGCTTTGTGGGCTGGACCCAGGGCACCCCAGTTCTATGCAGCCTTAGGAACTGGTACCCTGCATCCCAGGTGTTTTAGCTCCAGCCATGGCTAAAAAGGGCCAAGGTATATAGCTCAGGCTGTTGCTTCAGAGGGTGCAAGCTCCAAGCCTTGGTGGATTACAAATGATGTTGGGCCTGCAGGTGCATAGAAGTCCAGAACTGAGGTTTGGGAGACTCCACCTAGATTTCAGAGGATATATAAAAACTCCTGGATGTCCAGGCAGAAGTTTGCTGCAGGGGTAGAGCCCTCATGGAGAACCTCTACTAGGGAAATGTGGAAGGAAAATGTGGGGTCAGAGCCCCCATACAGAGTCTCCTCTGGGGCACTGCCTACTGGAGCTGTGAGAAGAGGGCCACCATCCTCCAAACCCCAGCATGGTAAGTCCACTGACAGCTTGCATCGTAATCCTGAAAAAGCCACAGACACTCAGTGCCAGCCCATAAAAGCAGCTGGGAGGGGGGCTGAATCCTGCAAAGCCACAGGGTCAGAGCTTCCCAAGGCAATGGGAGCCCACCTCTTGCATCAGCATGACCTGGATGTGAGACACGGAGACAAAGGAGATCATTTTGGAACTTTAAGGTTTAATAACTGCCCTATTGGATTCTGCACTTGCATGGGCCCTGTGGCCCCTTTGTTTTGGCCAATTTCTCCCATTTGGAACAAGTGTCTTGTAGAACAAGACCCTATTTTGTCTAGGAAGTAACTAACTTGCTTTAGATTTTGCAGACTCATAGGCAGAAGGGACTTGTTCTGTTTCAGATGAGGCTCTGGACTTGGACTTTTGGGTTAATGCTGGAATGAGTTAAGACTTTGTGGGACTGTTGGGAATGTATGCTTGTGTTTTGAAATGTGAGGACATGAGATTTTGGAGGTAACCAGAGATGAAATTATATGGTTTGGCCACGTCACCACACAAATGCTATCTTGAATTGTAGTTCCCATGATCCCCATGTGTCACAGGAGGGACCAAGTGGGAGGTAATTGAATCATGGTGGCAGTTACTTTCACGCTGTTCTCATGATAGTGAGTTCTCATGAGATCTGATGGTTTTATAAGAGGCATTTTACCCTTTTTCTTGCCACTTCTCCTTGCTGCCACCACGTTAAGAAGAACATGTTTGCTTCCCTTTCCACCACGATTTTAAGTTTCCTGAGGCCTTCCCAGCCATGCTGAACTGTGAGTCAATTAAACCTCTTCCTTTTATAAATTACCCAGTCTCAGGTATGTCTTTATTAGCAGTGTGAGAACAGACTAATAAAATTGCGAACATATAGATACAAAGAATGGAAGAATAGACACGAATGTCTACTTCAGGATGGCAGGTGGCACAAGGGTGAGGATTGAAAAACTACCTATTGGGTTCTATGCCTATTATCTGGGTGACAAAATAATCTGTACACCAAACTCCCATGGCACCAATTTACCCATGTAAGAAACCTGCACATATATACCCCCTGAAACAAAAATATTTGTTTGAAACTGACTGTTTGAAAAATAGTTATGTGATTAGTTGGTTGGCCTCTTGAATGTTGAGTTCTGGGAAACTGCATAAGTTCTGGAAATTTTTCATCTGTAATTTATTTTGTTTTTATGTCAAGTATTATGTTGCACATTTGTTTGTTTTGAGGTATATGTTGAAAGGAGAAGATAATGGAAATATATTTACAATTGTAAAGCCAGAAATCTGCTACTTTCTTCAGTTTATAACTTTAGTTGAACATATTAATTGGACATTTGTTATATGACCAGCATTGTGCTAGATATAAGGAACCAAAAATGAATTCACTTCCAGACACTGACTTTTAATTGCTTTATATCTAGTGGGAGAAATAAACATGAAACCTGATAATAGCACTCTAATGTCTAAGTGCTGGTAAATAATATGAAGGGAATCCTCAAGAAAGTTCAGGAAAGAATCCCTGGAAGAGATGATACATAAGCTAAAATTTAAAAAGGTGTAAGAATTAACCAAATGGAGAAATAGACGAAGGATGTTTCTGGCCGAGAATACAGCATTCATCCATTTATTCACTAATTCTTTTACTAACTTATTCAATAAGCATTTATTGAATATCTTATTCCAGCCACAATTCTAGACATGAGGATCAATAATGTATAAAATAATCAAAGGCATAAACAAAATGACATATATTTTGTGTGCTTGTGTCTTTGTGTGCTTGTGTGTTATAGAAGTGTTTCAGGACTTATTGGCATGTGTAATAAATGACAGGGGATATTGCAGGAGAGAATTTTGAGAAACAGGCCCTTTTATTAAATGACTTTATATGGCATAGTAAGCCATTTGGATTTTTTCTTGTTTGAGTGTCATCATAGGATTTTTTTCTGTTTTTCTTTTTTTTAAAATATAATATACTCCTTTTATATGTATTACTTGTATTCAATTTTTAACTTACCAATGAGATGTCATTTATAGGTCAGAAGTTATCCTCATGTTGTCATTGATTTAGAACAGATAATTATTGATATCTACATCTTTATATAGGTATCTATCTAAACTCTCTCATTTTCTTCCACCTTTAGTTTACTTATTAACTTATTCAATAAACAATCAACCAACTCACACCTTTTCTTCTACTAAATAAGTTGACATGTCTAACCAACTGGTGTGTATTTTTCTGGAATTTTATACTTGCTGAAATAATCATGTATAAAAATACATTCACCTTTTTATAATTCTACATTCATTTCTAAATCCATCTATTCATCATCTATTCAAGTTCGTCTGGTCAATTAAAAGAACTAGATCCAATTGTACAATTTCTCTGCTAGACTTCACAAAGATCCTTTCGAGTTAACTCATGTAGCTTTAATTAATTCTTCTTAATGGCTTCAGAATATTCCATCATGCGGATTTACCATAATTTATTCAACCATTCTTCTACTAATGGTGGTCTTTGCTTCCAGTTTTATGTCACAGTGAAAACTGCTGGAATAAAGACCTTGTATACATATTTTGCCAAGCTGTTTTAATTTTATGAGATAGGTCCCAGAAGCAGAGTTGCTGGGTTGAAAGGTATGTGTATTTTCAAATTTAGTAGGTTTTGTTGCTAAATTATTTCTTCAAAGACTGTCATATGTTCACCAGCAAATTAAGAGAAGGTTATTTTTCCCATATTCCAACAAGCAACACCGATTATTGCCTTAATTTGTGCCAATTGAACTATATGTAAAATTTTATTGGCATCATACTTTTCATTTATCTGACTACTGGTTGGTTTAGGGACACATTTATTGGTTATTTGGGTTTACTATTTTGTGAGTTTTGCTTGTTTTCATTAGTTTTTCATGTGAATTTTTAAGTGGTCTCATGTTAAATATTACTATTTTCTCTGTCATGTATAATTCAAATGTGTATAATTTAACTAGGATTTTATATAGTAAATATTTGTCATACACTAGTTTATATCATTTTGTAGAAAAATATTATCATTTTATAGCTTTTATAGTTTCTTAATTTTCTGTCTTGATAAAGGTCTTCTCCTTTCTCAATTTTTGTACATACAGTCTCAGAGCTTCTTTTCAGTTGTCTTTTTCAAGTTCTCAATTTATCTGAATTTTTTCTTTTACTTATAGTTCAAGGTAGCATTCCAACTTTCTTTTCTTTTCAGACGTACCGTCCATTGTGGAAGCACTTTTGAAAATATCACGCTTATCATACATTAAATTTTCACATGAATTGTGATTTGTGTCTGCATTTTTTATTAGATCTCACTGGTTTCTATGTCAGCATCCAACTTTATGTCACAGAATATTTACAATGTGTTTTAATATTTATTAAACTCTTATTCACTATTATTGCTTTTGCTTTTATTGGCATAATTCTTTCTCATCAACTTAAGAGACTTTTGTCAAGTTCCAAAACCAAATTTAAATCCTAATCCCCATAAATATTTTAATTGGACTTGAAGTACATTTATTTATTAATATTAGGAAGACTGACATTTTTATTCTATTAATCTTTTCCATCTGAAAACATGGTATGCTATTTCAATTTTTTCTTTGTTCATATTCTTTCAATCAGATTTACTCAGTTTCTATACCTTTCTTGTTGAATTTATTCCTAAGCATTTTATACTTTTGTTATGATTGTAAAGGGAATATTTTCACCACTTTCATTTCTCAGTGCTTATTGCTAACATGGAGAAAACCACAGTAGTGTTTTTTGTTTGTTTGTTTGTTTGTTTGTTTGAGATGGAGTCTCGCTCTGTGGCCCAGGCTGGAGTGCAGTGGCGCGATCTCGGCTCACTGCAAGCTCCACCTCCTGGGTTCACGCCATTCTCCTGTCTCAGCCTCCCAAGTACCTGGGACTACAGGTGCCCGCCACCACCCTGGCTAAGTTTTTGTATTTTTAGTAGAGACGGGGTTTCACCGAACCACAGTAGTATTTTAAACAGTGCTGAGAAACAGCAAACAAATTTTAAGTAGAAACGTAGTGATATTATGGAGAAAAGATTTTAAAGAAAAGAGAATGAGGACTGAGAAGCCAGTTAGAAGGCCATTGTTGCAATTCAAGTGGGAGAAACTAAATACCTGAATCAAGGTGCAGTTGTCAAGCTGGAGAAAATGGAGCATGAAGGAATGATTTTGAATAAAATTGGTAGAACACGGCTGTTGACAATATGGGACACATGGGCAGAAGAGGTGTTTAAGTTAACTGTGAGATTTCTGGCTGTTTCCTGAAATGGCAGATACAGGAAAATACGCAGGTTTAAAAAATCCACAGTAAATCTTAGTTCTGCTTATGTTTCTAAATATGTTATAAAGCAGTGTTTCTCAAATTTTTGGCAATCCAATAACCACTTAGTGGGTGACTAGTGCAATTATAGGTTATCACATTTTAGTTAAATAAGTTTAAAATAATAATGGCTTTAAAAATAATTACTCAGTAAACATTATTTTGATTGTTAAAAAGAATATTACTTATTTCATATCTATGCCAGATATCCTATTCATTCTAAGGCTTTATTACAATGTATATGTGGCTCAGTGATGGACAATGTAGCCAAGTGGCCACATTCTACATGTAGTGGGTTTCTATTGAGGTAAAACCCTCTGACTTTCTATTGAGTTAAAACCCTCTGACTTTCTATTATATATTGTGTGGAAATAGGAGCAACTATTTACAGCTTCATCAGCTATGTACATTAATTTCAAATATGCACATAGATATTATGAGACAAAAACTAATATATCTCATTAAAGACTATTTTCAGAGCTACATCAGATGTAAAATAAATAAGTGTATCACACTATAAAGTTTGACCTCAAATGTTTCAACTTAGACCACAGAGCAATTGGTTTGCTAATCTACTCTAGTTGTTTGGGTGATAAATAATAAACTCAATAATCTATCGCCAATTTCTATCCCCCAAAAGTGAAAATATGTATTAAGAAAAAAGTTAAATCCTTCACAAGGAAGCCATTGATACCACTGTTTGGATTTCTAAAGGAAACTTGGTGCCCTACCCTCAATTTAAAAATCATCATCTTTTCTCTTGAATTTTTAGTGTCATACTATTCAGACCATCTAAAGTCATACAAATGCTATCTACTGGTATCATCAGTGTAATAAAGATGTGTTTTTAACTTTATTAATGCATGAACTCAAATCTTTCCCCCTCAGAGAGCAAGGGAACTTATGAGGAAAGCAGTCTTTGACTTGAAGCGCATTTCCTCACATTGCATATGAAAAGATGAACTCACTATAGTTGTTATTTCATCATACTCAAATATGTTTACTATTTCAGAGAAATGTGCTAGTACTGTAGTCCTTAGATATATGTTAATAGTTAAATTTAAATTAAAGTTTAAAAATAGAATTTCTCAGTTGCACCAGTTGCATTTCAAATGCTCAATAGCCACATGTCTTTAGGGGCACCATGTTGGACAGAGCAAATAGAGAACATTTCTATCACTGAAGAAAGTTCTTTGGGTCAGTGCCATTCTAGGACAATGGATCAGGGAATATTATTGATCACCGTCTATTCTATTGTAATGAATAATGTTTGGACTGACTTTGTAGACACCCTCTTTTCCTGTGTCACATATTTTTCTTGCTTCACACACAGCTAAAGGTCTCTTACCATGTCCCAAAGATGCCTGCTACAGTCTATACCACACCTCAGAAGATAATCATTAATTACTCTGAAAACAAAAATCTTTCTTCTGATTCTCATGAGTTTTGTGAAAAATAGAACAGGAATCACTAGGCATTTTTTTTTCCTACCTGTCAAATACATGTGCTGAAAACACACAGAATTAGTAATTCTATTCAATTGTAGTATTAACTGTCTTGGCATACACATACACAGACAACAGACACACATGTGCGTGCACACAGGCATAACCCCCACACCCCCACATGCCAATATAGACATGTTTTAATATTTTCCTGACATATTTTTATCTTTGAGATCCAACAGTATCATTTCATAAATAAATTTTATCAGTAGCTTATTATTTTTTCTGGTATAATATTTCTTTTTAATTTGCTATTGGTTTTGTAGCCTTTTCACCAATAGTGTAACCATCATTTGTATCTGTTTTTTACTCTGAACAGTGTAATTCTGGATAATGCTTCCTTAGTTTGTGCTCTTGTCTTTCTTCAGTGGCAAAACATCAACAACTTTATACTAAAAAGCCTTTTTAATTATATATTGAAAAACATTTTGTAATTATTTGAAAATTCAATAACTTTATGTTCTCATTTGTTAAATTTTGTTAACAGCTAATTCATTGTGAAGTGAGAGAAAATTGTTCCATGGCCCAACAGAATCCAATTTTTAAATAATGATGTATTTTAGAGTTCTACATTTCTTTGGCTGACTTCATTATACTTAAAGATCCAATTTCCGAGAACACATCCGTTCACATTCTGTTTTACAAATGAAGTCCCATTTATTATTTCTACTAACAAGGCCATTCAGAAGGGGCCGTTGTTTGTGTTTTTATCTCCATCACTGTTTTATGCTTCAACAACCATTTTTTGGAGCTATTAATTCATTTATGTCACTAGGGTATATGACAAATCAACAGAGTTAAAACAAAAATGCAAATTTGATATGCAGAATATAAATAGTATATATACTACATATAAAAATTGGATATACATAGAAGGAATATACACATATATATGATGCGAAATTATGTTAGCTGTGATAAATTACATACTCCTTAAAAATGTGCACAGCTTTTAGGAAAGCAAAATAATTAAGTAGATTAGGATTTCTGTAAAAATCACAGTTAATCTCACATTTAAAATTTTTGAAATATATACCAAAATTATTTTCCTTAGAATTTACCCACCTCAGGAAGATCAGTAGTTTGACCATGAAGTTTTGAGGATATTATTGGTGGGGTCAATCAGGCTGCTAGTGTCTCTAACCTGTGTATGCTTTTCAGGAGGGACTTTTAATGTTTTAGTTTTTAATCCTCAGGAAGTCATCTCTAAGGCATCCAGGGCAGGGTGTCAATGCTGTGCAAAATGCCTGCATTTGGTGGTGGTGGGGAGGGGGGAATCTTGGATGATGTCTACCACACCTCCTTCTAGGACTGAGGTAGTTGGTGTCTCAGAAGTGAAATAAAGTTTACTAAAGTTTTAACAAGTCCATTCAGAAATGGAGCCAGAGTCACAGGAAGGAACAGGATTGCAGCCACGACTACAGCTCTCTAAGAATGTAAGTGCACGTAACAGGCAACACGCAGGAGTTATTTACCAAGGGAATAGAGGGCTACTTCTTAGGACTGACTCTCCCCAAGACGAAATGAACTTTTCAGGGTCACACAAAGTTCCAGGCTATCTAGCTGGGAACATAAACTCCCTGAAGTGCTGACGCCCATTCCCACCCACGCTCTCACCCATCACCACAGAGGCAAATAAATTCAGACCAGTGATGTGTTATTTGCTCATCTTAATTAAAGAGAATATAATTACAACATGTTTATGCAACTAACTTATACAGTAGTTATTTGCTTTCTTGGCATTGTCACAGAGGGAAATGTTTCATATAAAGGGACTTTGCATGTAACTAATTCAAGTATAAAATCTCTTTAAAAATTTAAACATGTCATTTAAAAAATCTCTCTAAAGTTTCTTCTACATCCCCTAACCTGCTAAAGCAGGATGTACTAAATATACTTTTTATCTCCCTAATGACATTACATGAAGAACATCGATGATTTTGCTGTGCTGTATAAACTGAAGCCTTCAGAGGCTCTTAAAGCATGTGAGACTTCTTTCCTCTGCACTAAAGGGCCTCAAGCTATTCTATTTGTGCTTTTAAGTTTTCAGACTTCCCCTGTAGAAAAGTAGGCTTCAGTTGAGACTTCTCATTAGAGGGCCTGCTTCAAGTATTATCTTCCCGCCCTTCTGTTTTTTCCTTTCATTCCCTTCTACTATCTCTTTAAAATTGGTGTTTTCTTCCTTTTTTTTTTTTTTTTAGGCTGGAAAACAGGTATTCATATGAGTATGCTATAAGAGTCCATAGGTTTCCAAGTGGATGGTCAGTGGCTTTTCATGGAGTAAAGTAACAAGTGTAGGGAGCTGGTTCTTTGACAGCTGTCTCCTGGCATTTTTTTCTTTCTTCTTTTTCTATGTTCCCAACTGTGTAACAGAGGACTGAGGATACCCTACACTTGATTTCTGATAGGAGGCATAGTTTTGCAATTTATGAAGCAGAGTTTTTTGTTATTTCTGAACATCTTAAATACGAAATGAAAAATCAGCACTGAGAGAAAAAGCACATAAGTACATGCCTTTTAACCATGTGATTTTTGCAATTATTGATTTTCTTGGCATTTGTTTCAGTCCATGTTTTCTGTTACTGGTGTCAGATACATTTTACTTAGAAATGCTACCTGATGAAAATCCTATAGTACAGAACTCCCTTTCCTCCCTGTGTTTTTATTCACAGTGTACAGTATCTTCTAACTTTGAGGAATCACTGCAGCAAGTTGTAAATGATATATGGAGTGACAAGTTTTCCCTACTGAATTAAAAGAGAAAAAGTACTGAGCAATGACTGCTGTGATGCACTGTTTCCAGTAATATTTAGTTTATACAAAGCTTTGGAAACCCAGCAGGCCCTGAGCTTTCTACACAGTGAGACAAAACCCAGACCAAAATGCATTTAATGTGCTCATTTCTTTTTTCTTTCTCTTCAATACATTTCCAGTTGAGCAATCAGTTTCATGCCCCAGGGTGCACTGCATGCCTATAACCCTAGCTATGCAAAGAGCTTGGATTACGATTGGATCTGGAGGTAGGAGTAGGAATTGCAGCTTCTTTGGTCTCTTGCCAAATACCATTAGGAAGAGAAATGGATCTACAAAAAAATTCTGAGTGTGTGTGTTGGTGGTAGGGGAAGGGAATATGTGTGCATGCATTTAAGGGAAAAGAATAAATAGCTGGCCTCGACCATTAAGCCAGTCTCATCCTGGGTGTCCAGACTTCTGCTGGGCAGGGAGGAAATGCTCACATCCTGGATCAATGGGCTGTTCACAACACCATCCCTTCTGGGACACACTTGGAAAGGGACATAGATGATATCAACACAGATAAAGGTATGAGGATAGAGACATCTAGAAGAAAAGCCTCCTTTTGAGTGTGCATTGAAAGATAGCTTTTTAAAAAAAGATGTGTGACCCCAAACTGCCACGGGCACTGTTTTAACTTAGAAATATTTATACATCTATCCTAATTAGAATTATTTTATAGGAAATTTCCAGTATGAAATCTACTGAGATACAGTGGTGGAGAATGTCTTTTGACTTTTACTTGATACTGGCAAGCCAAATGACTTATTGTAAAGAGGATCAAACACAAGCAACACTGCCAACTCACATGGGATTTGGCTCCATCTGAGGTCAGGACCTCACTGCTAACCTCAAAAGGTTTGACTTAATGCTAAAGTGTTCTTTTCCTGCAGTGCTTGCTTACCTAGTGGTTCTCAAGCATTTTTTGGAGAAAAAGTGGTTTGGGCGTAGCCTAAGGATAAAGCTCATATGCATGATATTTTCCCATCAGATGGGTGGAAAGATTATATAGATAAGCTAGGTTTTGGATTAAATTTCTTGTACTTTTTCTATAGCTCTACCTCTTTTCTTTCCATTGATGCATAACAGACCTATATGTAACAACACAATTAAGAATCAGCGCATGGCCCTTAATACCTATTTACCGGTTGCTCAGAGATTTGAACTTGATGATCATTAGTATTGTTCAGAAAAATTGTATCCATGAAGTCCAAGTTTAAATATCTACACAGAATTAAATAATCACAATATTTATAAATATAATAGAGAATTTGAAAAGGATTTTAAAAAGTGAAAATATATAAGGCTTTTAAAAATTACATTTATATCATAATCACACATTCACATTACCTTATAATAATTTATCCTTTATCCTCCATTATACTAAGTCCTGTAATGTTTCAAGTTTAAAAAATATCAAAATTCAAGTTAAAAATCACTTTTCTATCTCTCTCTTTAATAGAATGTCTTTAGGCACTTCTTCATAATTCCAGGAAAAAATTCAGATTGACATCTTAGCATCTCAGATCAACTCTCTGAATGATCATGTTTCTGGTAGCTTTATCTTCCATAATCAGAAACAATAAAATGAAATTAAAATAAAATTTAGGTATCACAAGTATATTACTGCTTTTCTTTCATGCTTGCTGTCACTGCCTTTTTTCTGATCAAATATATTTCTTACCTTACTGGTTCTCATTATTTAATATTTGTTCAATTTTGGTGATTTGTTTTCTTTGCTTTGAAGTTCAACTTTGTTGATTTTCCTATTTCTTCACTTTAATTATCATCTACTAAACATCTCTAAGTGAAGACTAAATACTGAGGCCATCTACTAAATTGAACTTTCTCTGCTTTTAAAAAAAAAGTTGATTTGATGCAACAAAAATATTGACCAATATTTTTAAATAAATTTTATACAGGCCCACAGCCCTGATTACAACTTCTGCCACCTAGATCCTGAATCCATAGATGCCATCTCTGCTCCGAAGTCTGATGACAAGAATAATGATGATGACTGATGATGACAAACTGTTCTAAATGCCTTCTGTGTATTATCTCATGCGATCCTCAGAGCAACCCTTTGAAAGTAGATACACTACTATTCCATTTCACAAATGAGGAGGCTGAAGCCCGGAAAGACTTAGAAAATTTCCAAGGCCTTATCAATATTATGTCTGAAGTAGCTTCAGACCACTTGTCTTCATCACTCCCCATTAAGCCTGCTGGGTTTTCCCTCTGAAGTTCTCCTAAAGAACATATCCACACTAATTATTCTGACAGTTTTGACAGGAAGACAGAGGAGGGCTTACACTATGCACCAATAGCAAACAACTATTAATAAAGTTTCATATTAATTATGTTCTCCAAAATCCCTTCTTGACAATCTTATCCCTTCCATGGCATTTCTCTGTGTTGCCTCCATCCATAAACCTCAGCAGGTTGTCAGTTGTCAGCAACTTGAGAATCCCCTGCAAACTTTTGGTTCTCTTTCCTCAATTCTATAGAACATTCAGCTCTATTCAGTCCTTGCTCCTTGGCTAGCCTACAATACTACCCAGGTGTTCAGCTACAAACTGCCTTCCCCAGAATGAATACCACATACTCAGAAGGTAATCATGGTATATGGTGCTGAGATATGGTGTTTCTATTAGAATTTGTTTCTATGTGCTTACAAAGCCTTTATAATTATAATTTTAATGGCTCACTAAATTATCTCCTGCTCATGTTACATAGTAAGCCATTTTTAATTGTTGAATATTTTGGTGGTTTTGTTTGTTTTATTTATATATCACAACAAACATTTTTATTCATTTGGACTTTGTGTATGTTGAATTATTGCTTTAAAATAAATTCCCAGAGGAGAGAGTACTCAGTCAAAGGATATGAATATGTTTATGTTGCATTATTTTACAAATCAGTTGTATCAGCTAACAGAGTTGTGTATAAGTTAAAAGCCATACCAAAGCTTTGTCAACACTATTTCTATTTTCTTACTATGTAGAAGCATGAAAATATTCCCTCATGTACAGAAGATCCCTGACTTACAATGGTTCAACTTATGATTTTTCAATTTTGTCCTGGCTTTATGGGGTATTGAATGCATTTTTGACTCACATATTATGTTTATCAGGAAACCCATCTGAAGTCAAGGAGCATCCACGTTTGTTTCTATTTGTGTTTTATCTAATGTGAGTGCTTTTTACAAACACTTTGATCTTTACCTATATGGTGAAACAATTTTTCTTTGTTGTTTTGTTTCTGCATTTCAATACTGTTTCACACAAAGACCACTTTTGGTCTGCTATACTTGATACAAGTATTTTAACTTCAGTTTTACTGCTTTTTCATTTTTCTACAAGTTTTAGATTTCAAGTATATTTCAAATATACTTTGAATTGGTCAGGCTAAACCTTTGCAATTACTGTTTTTGCTTCAAAGGTGAGAAATCCACCATTTCCAAAGATCAGATAATGATTCTATTTTCTCCTTTAAAACATTGTTTTATGTTTCCCACTTTCATAGACATGGCCTATATTTTGGAGTCTGGTAGTAATATTTGGTGTTGGGCAGGTTTTCATGTTTCCAAATTTTCAATAAGACTGTTTTGTCAGGGCAGGGTTGGTAAAGGGAAGAGTGCAAACACTGTTTTCCCAGAGCCAATGACCCAAGAAGGAAGGAGTGGTGAAGGCAGAGCACACGGGGGGTGCTGCAAGGGCGGGAGGCAGAGCATCTACCTTACAGTCTGGTCTTTGGATGTCCCTGTGCTGGAACTTTCAGTTAGGCATGAGACCTTAGTTATGACCTGTGATATGGGAACTAGATTGATGGGTTTAACTGCTTCAAGGTAGTTTAGAAAAGCCACTTGAAGACCTATCTTTTACTTTAGCATGAATATTTTTGACCAAAATTTGCAAAGAAAGGGAATTTTATTTAAGCCAGGTATAATTGTACCTGGCTTAAATTTATAATTTTATTTACTTATGCTCAATGTGAGCATAATTGTAGGTTTAAAGAAGAAAATGGAATTTTAGTTTTTTTTCCTTTTATTAAATGAGGCCATATAAAAGAAGCAAAAAAAAAAACTGTGGTAAAATTAAAATAAAATAAATTTATATAAAAAACAAAAGAACTTCATTGTGAGTTTTCTGCTCCCTTTCCCTAATGATATCCTGGGAACAAGACTAGTCACACCTCATTTCCCCACACCTTTGGGGCCCACAGAGGAAATGAGGGTCTTGGTCCCAAAGTTTGAGGGAAGTGTTTCTTCTCTGGGCCCAAGATTAAGTTGGCCCCTATATTCCAAGTTCAGTAACAGAAGCATGGGGATCACACTGACCAGAAGATGGTGGTGGTCCCAGGGCAGGTAGCTGCAGATTTTCCTCTTTTCTCAGTGTCTTTTTTTCTGATGTTAGCTTTCCTGCTTGGTTTTACTTAAAGCCAGAATTTCTTGACCAAAAAAAAAAAAAAAAAAAAAAGTAGGTAACTGAAGAAAGATAAGGTTTACCTGAAAATTCAGATATTTTATATAACTGTAATTCCTTAACCTCCATTTAAATCCCCAAATTCACAGAATATAAATACTAGGCTAAAATACAAATTGATTTTGTCAATGGCTTGATTCTTCTGTGAGCAGGTTTTCTGTTACGAAAAAATGTTTCTATAAAACAATTAGTCAGGTGTATAACCAGAGAGCCACAGTAACAATACTGCTTTCTTGTACATAGTACATCTTGCTGGCTGGCACGTGGGAAGGAGAAACAGAGGGAGAGGCATAGAACATGCATCAGGAGTCTACTTCTCAAATATTCTCTAGACCTTCACTGACTAGTCCCACATCAGAGAAAAATTTGTTCTTCACCTCTACTAAAGCGAATTCCTTTTTTTCCTGTAATTCTACTCCCTCCTGACTTCTCTAAATTCACCAGCCTTTTAAATATATATATATATCTTATTTCTGATCTTTGCTTTAAAACATATTGGGGAATTAGGGAGCAAAAATTAATAATAATTAAAGAAGGGGAGAGAGAAAGTGAGATTTATTGAGTACATGTTATGGGCCAATCAATTTATGTGTGTGTTCTTATCTCGACATCCCTCAAAACTATCAACCATCACATCAGAGCTGTGAAATAGCATTTTTAATTCATTTTACACATCAAAAAACCTGAGATTCTAGGAGCTTAAGTAACTTGGACAAGGTTACACTGCTAATATGCTACATCACTGATACTGAAATTCAAATCTATTTAATTTCAGAGCCTGTGCACTATACAACTCTGCCAAGCTACAAACATCCTCTCATTAAAAAAAAAAAAAAAATCAAAATCTTTTGACCTTGCAACCCTTCAAGCTTCTGCTTGCTGAGTCTAAAGATCTTTTGACAAATCCTGATTGTCCCACAGCCAGCACATGTGCCTGACCCCTTGATGCTCCTTCAGGTTTCTGCCCATAATTATTCTAGCGCCATCACTGGGTAAGTGATGGACCTGTTGCACCTGTCTCTTTCACTGGGTTCCAGCACGGCAAAGCTTTTCGTTTGTTTAAGTTCAGATCTCAGTTTTGGACTGACTAGCGAGTGAGGTTAGGCAAATTATTTATCCTCTTTTGCTCTTCATAACTATATAAAAATGAAAAAAATTTACCTCATAGGGTTATTATAGGCAGAAATAATCTTGAAAATATAGTGAGAGTTCTTGACTACTTTTTTAGGCTAATAAATTACAGGGTGGAAATCATGTGATTTCAATTCACCTACTGCATGTAGCATGGTGTCTATTTCATAAGAATTTAATAAAATTTTGTTAAGTAAATGAATATAGTTATGAGAAGACTATACTCATTGCTTCTAACTCTTCTTTTAAAGCCCTTGTAATCTGGCTTCCACAACCACCAATTCACTAAAATTACCGAAATAATAAGTAGTATCTTAATAAATCCAATTCAAAGTTTCCTGTCTTCGTTTATTAAATATTAGGCATCAGTACTAGTACCCTATTTCCAAAACTCTTCCTTCCCCTGACCAGTGGCATGGCACTCAAGTGGACCTGTATATTTTTCATGGCCAACTCTGTTGATTTTAACTCCTATAAAATCTCTGCATCCACATTCCTCTGCTCCTATGCACTGCTATGTATCTAATTCTAGCTTTTATTACCTTACACCATGACATGCAGAGGGACTGCACATACACTAGGGCCAGTGGGAAGAACTGACTCATAAATGAACCTAGGAAAAACTGGTATGGTCATAGATTAGAAAGCAAAAGTAAGCCTGAGTGGAAGGTAAGCCCTGCAGGAATGGCTCCTAATTCATCATCTTGCACCCGCTTTTTCCCCGAACCATCCTTTTTTTTTCCTACACATTGGCAGAGTTCTTTTTTCAAAATACAAAACTGATTATATCGCCCATACATAAAACCTGTCAATGTCTTCCCTTTGCTCTGAAAATGAAGAACACCATCCCTAATGCAGCCCATTTGGCCAAATATGATCCCAGCCTTTTCTCACTGCTTCAGCCTCACATCCGTGAGTCTTACTTTTGCTTCCTGAGCTGTGGCTACACCAGTTTTTCTTAGATTCGTTTACAATCCCATTCTCCCCACTGGCCCTAGTATACACGAAGTCCCTCTGCATATTTCCCCTCTTCTTGATTTCATCAACTTCCATTTTATCTTCATATGTTAATTGTCACTTTCCCAAAGAGTCTTCTGTGAACTCCCTGACCAAGTCACTCACCCCATTAAACACTCAGAGAACAACATTCCTCTCCTTCAGAGCCCTTGTCACAGCTCCAATTTTACATGTATTTGTCAGATTATTGGATTAATGTCTGTCTCCCCTACTAAACTGCAAGTTCCATGAGGCTAGCAGTGTGTCTGATTTGTCTCCTTTTGCACACCTGGCACTTACACCAGGAACTGGCACATTGAATGAGCTCAGAATACTTTGTTAAATGAATGAATGAACAAATGAATGAGTCAATCTATCAATAATGGTCATACAGTTTTTTCACTTTTGAGCATTTCTTCTCTGCCATTTTGCTACCTCCTTTTAGTTTTCATGCCCCAAATGTAGGCATTCTCAAGGTTCTTTACTCAATCATTATCTTTTGTTTCTTCCTAATTTTTCCCATGGAAATATCATCCTTTCCCATAGCTTTAACCACCAAACCTGTGCAGTTAAGCACATCGACTCCTCCATGGTTTCCTAATGCAGTCAATAGTCTCTATCAATATCTCCACAATGTTGCTTACTTTAAAAAATTCTTTTATTTTTGACTATCATCCTTAGGTTCTATGTATGGGGATTGAGTATCAAAAAGCAGTAATTCAGCAGACAAATATATTTGATCAATAACAAGCAAATGAAAGGACTGAGAGGGACAAAGCAAGGACCCCAAATACTATCTAATAGCCATGAAGAGGACCTTTAGACTTAAGCATCCCTTTAACTCATATAGGAGTATTTTTATTTTTATTTTTTTTGAGACAGAGTCTCACTCCGTTGCCAGGCTGGAGTGCAGTGGTACGATCTTGGCTTACTGCAACCTCCGCCTCCTGGGTTCAAGCGATTCTCCTGCCTCAGCCTCCCGAGTAGTTGGGACTCCAGGCACATACCACCATGCCCAGCTAATTTTTGTATTTTTAGTAAACACAGGGTTTCCCCATGTTGGCCAGAATGGCCTCGATCTCTTGACCTTGTGATCCGCCTGCCTCAGCCTCCCAAAGTGCTGGGATTACAGGCATGAGCCACCACACCTGGCCTCACGTAGGAGATTCCATATGCTTCCTGGTATGGCAGATACCAATCCTTGAAAAGGGAAGGCAGATGGACATAAGGCCATGCACTGCACTATCAGTGCATGAAGAAGCAGGAAACAGCACAGCTTTGAAGGGGCAGGTCCTTCCAGGGGTCAGATCTAATACCTCTCCGCATAGAACCCTGTGTTTAAAGGTAATCATGAAAACAGGCTTCTACCTGCTCTGCAGCTCTGTTTCAGTAAGCCTATTCTTCATAATTTCCAGGTTGTGGAATTATCCACCTAAATTTCCTTCACATAAATGGTGCTTGATGAATAAAAGTACAGTGCAGATTATGTCCCTTGATGGTACCTCTAATCTTCTGTAATAATGTGGATGATGATTACTGTTTATGTTATCCAAGGTAAAAATGGATTTGTATGTGTATACGTGTGATTTTTGATTTAGAAGTGGAAAGGGAGGGGAAATGGAACCGCTGAGTCAGAAAGCTAGATTGGAGAAATGGATTAGCACTGATTATTTCTGATTATTTCAATCCTGTACATGAGGTAAATGCATTAGAAAACCACGTGATTTTCACATTTTAATATTTGATTTCTGAATTTCTGCAAGTGATAAGTAAAAAAAAAACAGCATGCAGCAGATGTTATTTTATGTTCTGTTTATCAAGTGGAGACAGTTCCAAAGAGCACAGGGATTACTGGCATAAAAGTGGAGTGTTAAGTTTCAGTTTCTCTTTCAGGTTGCCACCTTCCAGGTAACAGAAACAGAAGTTCTATCTTCAGACATTTACATCCCTCATTTTCTGTTTCCAAAACTCATCCATGTCTACCCTATTCCCTGTCCATTTCTGTTGCTGTTAACCATGCTGTTGATTATAAAATTGTGGATACTTGAGGTATAAATAATGGATTAATGGTTTGTAGACCAAGTGCAGTGCTGGTTTTTTCTAGTGACATCCTGGCACCTCCTGGGAACCAGAGTGGGAAGGATTTCTTCTCTGGGCTTCCACATGTATGAAATATTCCTTTCTATCATAGATACCACAGTGTGGCTTCTACTAGTATCCATTTTAAAGTGTCATTTACTTTCTGAGGAAAAAGTGAGGGAAAAAATCCATGCACAATAGGTGCAATACCTTTATATTTTTTATTTTTACGTATATATTCATTTAATATCTCAGAGTCAGTTGGGTTCAGCTAAAATCTTTATTCATCGGTTTGTCATAAGCCTTAATTATTAACCTTTACTCTTAACATGTAGTCATTCTGGTCACAGATATACCTACCACGATGGGTTTTCTTTCTGTTTTTGTAACTATTGGTTTCATATTATTGCTATCTTCCTTTGAACTTTTTATAAAGAGCATCTCATGTGGGAGATTCTGTATGTTTCTTGTTAAGGCAGATGTCAGTCCCCTTATGTGGGTGGCTTCAAGAATATGTGAATATAAGTCCACATATTTGATGACAGTGGGGAATAAAGGAGCAACAAGAGGATTTCTTCTAAAAGGCACTTCTTCTCAGGAGTTGGTCTCAAAATTAATCTGTGTAGGACTGCATGCGTTGGTGGTAATCATAAAAACAGGCTTTGAGGACTCTTCTCGACACATCCAGATGAAGCAGCCTCCTTTTTCTGGGCATAGTCTGCCTCCCTGCAGCCTTTTATGACCACACCTCTCTAACCAACTCTTTTGTGGGGTACTTTTAAAATTAAATGTACAAGACTCTTTAGTCTCTGGTTTGTAGCCCCTCACAACCTCCTCATCACGAGTTGCAGAATTAAGCCCAGTGAATCCATATTCTTACTTGCATTAAGGGGATGAATGAGTTACTTACCTGCAGTGCAGATTACCCTAAAAACGTGGATTTAAATAACTGAAATCCACCAGAAAGGGAGGAAAGACTTGAAAAGCTTACAGTATTCACAGTTCTTTCTTTTCTGTATCCTCTATCTCACTCTCCACTAAGAATTCAGAGTGAAGAAAATACTTAAAATCCAGGTATATTCTGCTTGGATGAGATCTTTGTGGGTCCCATTTTGGGGTGTTTCTGATTTGAAGCTTCATAGAAATGATGGGGAGCCATGAGGTCATTGTCTCCCTAGTGAAACAGTGGAGAGTAAACATAGTGAAACTGTAGACTAAACCTGTTTGTGTGCAACAGAGAGGGCATATGTTGCAGTAATGTCAGAAAGCTATACATTACGCAAAAACAGCTAATGGCCAGGTGCTGCATTACCTTCCTAGTGTTATGGTTGTAAGGCCAGTAAAACGAAAACCTCAGCTGACAAGCGATCTTTATAGCTCATCTAGGCCAATGCATGGTATGCTTGTATGTATGTGTGTATTTGTGCATGCACATGTGAAAGACAGAGAAATAAAGAGCATGTTAGTAAGGGAGAACAGAAGGTATCTGAAAGACAAAATAAGCATATTTATAAAATTGGAGACATAATGGGATTGGGTCAGTGTTTCCATCTCTTTACTAGTGGTGCATGTCTGTAGAAATGTATTTTGCAAAGGTTCTCAATTTTCCTTGATTCACATGACTTATACAGACCTTAAAATGGATAATGATGGATCATAATGAGAGACAGAAGGCGAGTCAGACAGGGAAGCAGCTGGAGACTAGAAGTGATGGAAGGGCACTGATCCTCAAAGTGCTAAGGCATTTTAATCACCTCAGACTTGGTCTCAAGTGCTAGCACCTTCAGAGACTAATAACTGTGATCCTTAGCAAAAGAAAATTGGGCTTGTGACATCTTGAATAGGGGAAAAATGACACTTCTTGTTTTTAGGTACAAATGAGACACTTAGGCAGTCCAGAGCAAGACAGCCCTGTAGGAATTTCCTCAGGGGGTAGGTAATAGATCAATGTACTTTATCACTGCCTGGGTCCTGAAACTAGTCTCCTTTTCCCACATAAAGAGCTCATGAGGAGAACAGTGCCAGAATATGCCATTTTGGGAGAACTGAAATTGAAATTTTCCGGTTAAAATTCATTTAATAAGCTTTTCTCATAGACCTTTTAAATCTCAAATGTTAAAAGGAAGGAAACAGAAAGACAGAACTGCTAATTCAGTGGCACTGTATTATCTAAGACATTCACTTTAACCTATGACCAAAGTCATTCATTCTACCATTTTTGTTCTCTTCATGTAAAAGGAAAATTCAGTTAGAATATAACAACCTTCTGGGCTTTTCTGTCCGTTTTCTCTCTCTTCCCTTGATCCTCATGCTGGATAAATGCTTCACTAGAAGATATCTCCCTTGGTGGTTGAGCCAAGTGGACATGTCAGTTTTGTGAATTTACATGATTCTTCCAGGAAACATGATAATGATTCTGAAAATAATACTTGATCCAAACTTTATAACTTAAGACTGTTTTTCTGGCTCTGTAACTTAGAGCAAGAAAGTCTTTCAGTAGTAATTTCAGTTAATCAAACAGTTTCATGGATGAAATGAATGTTCATGTAATACTGTTCACTTGCCCCAGACCTGCCTGTGTGTGTATGTCTGTGTGTGTGTGTATGTCTGTGTGTGTGTGTGTGTAATGCAAAGTGAATGAAAATACACTATAACCTGGATAACTGGCCAAAAGACACAAATGAAATTCATTCAGACTAGAGGCACAGGAAATTCAGTGCCTAAGAATGAGGGGATACATGAAATAACAGACAGAGATATTTAGCATGGTACTATATCCCTGTTTCTACAAACAACTGTCACCTTCAATATAGGAAAGCTTTCTGAGTGTGTCTCTCCTACAACCAACACTGCTGAGCAGTCATTCTTGATGCAACACCGCCTACCTCCACCCCAACTCATTAATTCACTGCTGCTATAAGTTTTGCAGGTAACAACTCACATCTGTACCCTTCTCCAGAAGCTTGCCCTTTGGTGATTGGATCTGCCTCACCCTGAGGCAGCCAGGAACCCAAGACTGAGTGGTCTGAGTGTGTGAGTGGGTGGGAGGTGGTGGTAATAAAGCTCTACCACTTTGTTGCCACAAGGCAGGCAGTCTTGACAGTACAAATGTTTATGTTTCAGAAGTCCTGTGGTATCAGGTTGAAGCTAGATATCACCTGAAATCACATCTTTACTTAGCCTCTCTCCTCCATCCTAATTTTCTCACTTCTTCTGAGGTTTCTCCCAAGAGTACCCTCTGAATAAATCATTTACATAAGAATCACGTCTCAGGCTCTGCTTCTGAGGAAGCCAGATATAAGACAAATAGTTACAAATGACACTCAGAAATGTTCCTAAATGCCATTATTTCATGTTCTAAATGAAGACATTTTGTTCATCAATTCTTTAACAAACATTTTCAGAGTCTCCTAGTGGTACTGACTGCCAGCCAGCAGTTACACTTGAGTATTAATTACTACCTTTATTGGTAGACCAGTGTTTTTACAATTGTTTGAATATTGTATTGCTTTTCACTCATATAACTTTATGAGAATAGGAAATTAAAAAATTAAAGTACTCATAATAAAAAGAAGGGATGTAGCCCTAAAAGAAAAAAACAAACAATGAAATTAAAGCAAAGATGAAAATCATCAGGGCTGCACTCAAATGATATCTTTAGCTTCAAACCTTCTAAATCAACATAAGTGAGCAGAATGTGATCCACTGTGAAGGAAACGGACAAAATAAAAAATATGTGCAAAAGGCTGGAAATAGGGCATTGGATATTTTGTCTAAAGGAAAAAGGGTAACTATGGATTTTATAAAATCACTATACTAATCTTAATTATCTGAGAACACAACTCTTCATTATAGTGTCTCCCTTTTTGAAACTTTTTAAGAAGTTTTATGTGTTTTAGAGAGACATTATAGATGAATATAGATAACTGCATAGCACTAGGCCATTAAAATTTTGAAGGGTCAAGGGTAAGAAATCCAGTGGATAGCGAAGGGGGATGTAAGTTTGGCAGGCCTAGAGGTGTACTACACAGATCTCACTGCAAGTACCTGCTACAGGGCATACTGACAAGTGGCCTCTGTCTGTGGCACCTTCAGCTCTGTTGCAGTGTCAGCACTGAGGCTGGGACTCAGCAGAGAAGAGGCACCAGGGCTAGGTCATTTCTGCCCCATGCAGGTCTCCTCAAATATCACCTTGATCTAGAATTCCTCATCAGCCTGGCCAAGGCTTTCTCAGAAAAGCATTCAGTCTGAAGCTCCTCCTGCCCAATTCTCCCCGCTTTCTCTCTTCTTTCACAGATGCCAGACCTGTATGATATTCTGAAGGCTTTTCTAGCTTTATATTTGTTCCTTCTTCATCCACATTAGGTGTTTCTCCCAGTAACTCTCTTGTGATCCAATCTGTCTTGGCACATTCTTTTCTCTAAAACCAAAATCGGCACAAAGAGGTATGATTGGGGGTGGAAATACGCATTATTTAGACACCGAGTCCTCTCAATGAAAAGCTTGGAAAATGATGCTGGAAGGTTAGTTTCCAAAGGGTTGTGTAGCTGCTAGGCTTTGTAGTTTTCTGCTATGAACCTATAAGGCTAACAAATAAAGCAAATAGAACAACTCAAAGAATCAGTGTCTTAATTCAGACTTCAGACCGCAAAAAAAGCACTCAAGCAGTAAGAACTCATATTTGAATTCCATGTGCTTGGAGTCCATTTTATCCCACTTGGCTTTAGTTTCTTTACCTAGAAAATCATATATAATAATGTTTATGTTGCAAAGATGTTGCAAAGATAAAATGACTTAATATATGTGGAGATGCCTAATAAATAATCAATAGATAGTTTCCTCCCAGCTAAACACTCAGCTACTTGACATTATCCACAGAAAATATGTAGATCATTGTCCATACTTTACAATTAGTGGAGATAAAAGGACAGAAAAAAAAACCCACAAACAACAATATTTGAATATATGGAAATCGAAAGTTATTTTCCTGTGTTACCATAACCAGTGCTTTTCTCCCTTATGTCTGAATCCCAAAGGATCTGGTTGCAAAAATGAATATATATTGTATGTTTTTAAAAATTTTTCATATGTGGAAAGAGATGATTGAAAAAATATTTTTTATTATGCTAAGCTGTAAATGAAGAAACAGGAACTATGTAAGTTCAAATGCTAATCCTCCCACAGATGTATTACATTTCCCTAAATTACCAAAACCCCTAAATTTGGCAAAGTAGAAGAATCAATGACTTGTAGCATTCTGGATATAAATATTTTAAAAGGCAATAGAGCAGGGGCTCCAGTAAATGTGGAGAGCTAATAGAGAAGATATAAGTATTCTAGGCTGCACACAGAAGGAAATTAGAAAGGAGGTGGAAGACCTTGGAGCAGAAGAGAGTAGAGGGTAGGAAGCTAAAGATGTTTGAGAGCAATGGTAATAAGCTATAGTGGGTGTCATGGTGCATTACCCAAATTTCCACCCCCCTTCTCCCAGCTAAAGCTTTTATTCTTCACTTGCTCCAGAGGTGTGGTTGCTGAACCAGCAACCCTCTCTCTCTAAGGCTTAATATGGAGTACCAAATGCCTGGCTGAAGTGACTTTAGCTGGTGCAATTCTGAAGGGCTGCCCCAGCTCCAGAGCTCTTTTTAGGAATAGCTAAGGCCTTGGTCATAACTGCATTATATTCACCTTCTCCTTCTGCCCATTCCTGCTCCCAAAACTCCAGTCAAGGTGTTGATGCTAACAGTGTTCCCCATAAACTTGCCACATGCAAATATGCCTTTGCTTCCAAGGAACCCCACCTGGGATAGCAGCCCTGTTGAAAAGCATCAAGAGATAGAATGAATAAAGTCAGTTGAGTATCAAAGTCTTCATAATCCCCCAGAATATGTGTGAGAACAGGTTTGATCAGATTTCTTGTGGCCAACAGCAGTAGCCATTGACACATCAGGATTTGAGTACCCTTAAGGGTACAGGTTTCAGTCTGAAGACGAAATATATCCTGGGGCTTAAATTAAAAATATTTTTCCTCCAATCTATAGGGCTGAGTAAAAAACTCACTCTAGCTTTAAAAATAAATATAAATAAATAAAATCAAATAAATATATGGAAAACAACCCAAAAATAGACTTCAAAGAAGACTACCATGAAAGGCAGACTCTATGCTTATTGGTCAGTTAAAATTGGACCCAAAGAATGTTTATTCCAGTGCCTTCCAATTGTCTAGAGCAATTTTTCTAATTTTAAGTTTGCACATTTTTAAAGCAAAAACTCAGCTTTCTGGGCTGCAGATACAAAATTTATGTCCTTCCTTGTCTATGTTATTTATCTTAAAACTCCATTTAATTCCCTCATTTATTCCTTTTCTCTTACCTTACCTTCTATTAAAAACAAAACAACACTTAACCATAATTGCCCATAGCTAATTACTACTGAGAATATGTATTTATTTTTTTATTTGGTTTTATGTACAGCATATTTAAAATAAGGATGCAAATTTTCACTTTAGATTTGGTCTTTTGTCTTTGTCTTCTTTTCTCCTCTTTATTGAATTTTGTTAACACTGTAATTCTTACGGAATGCCCATAGTGTGGCATGATAGCAGGGATGTAAAACAATGAAAGTCCAGTATGTTAAACACTGTTCTCTCTGCAAGAAAATAATTAGTAAATCATGAATAAAACTGCACAGTAACATCAGATGTGATACCCTATATTCCTGGCCTATTCTTTGAAGTTTCAACTTCACCAATCTCAGCACAGATCGTCGATGTGTCATTGGCTTCAGCTAACTATTATTATTTCTGCAATTGTTTTCATATTTGGCTAATGACACTCCTACTTTCAGAATGGCCCTTTGGCTGATGTCAAATTATAACACCCTAAAACAAAAGTGGTATCTGTTGAGTAAGCATCCCTTTTTCCAAATTGCAAACTCATAAAAGATAGTACAAGTAAGCAAAAATGGTATTCAAAAGGGTATGGGAGGAGGGTGCAGGGAAAAGGAGGGCACCAATGCTAAAATTAATTGTATGATTATATGACATCAATTTTAAAATGAAAAATTTTCACATATTGCATGTATACATATTAAGTATTTGGAACCAAGATATAGAGAATGTGGGTAGCTAACATATGATTTTTCTTCCAAAGGAAATGTTGCTGAAAATATATAAAGACAATTCTGAAAATCTGCATAATTTGCAGGAGAAACAACATTGCAAGTGAACTTGGACCAGGGAAGAGATGGAGCTTTGTTTACTTGGCTTATAAGCGTGGACTTATATTTATTGAGCACGAATTACATGTCAGACATTTTATGTATTAATTTACTTGTTCCTTCTAATAACCCTTTGAGGAATATGTCAGTATTTCCTTATCATATAGATGAATAATCAGGTACTCCAACGCATAACATAACTTGCCTAAAGTCACACAGTTGTTAATTGTCAGAGCTGACATTTGCACTTAGGCAGTTCAATTCCAGTGCCTGCTCTTTTAAAAACAATGTACTGCAGAGACAAAGGCAGTGAGGCAAACACACATGCCCCATTAAACAGAAGGCCAGGGGGCAATCAGCACATTCACTAACCTGAGTTCTCATTTGTAACAGGGAAAAACCAATAGATACTGCTTTATTATCCAGTCTCTTATCTCCTCAAAGATTGCAAGCTCCATTAAATAAGGAATCATATCTAGTCGAGCTTCATCTCTAGTACCTGGACAGGGCTTAAAACATAAGAAATAGCACATACATATCTAACAAATAAATGAACTTAATAAAAGAGAAATACCAGAACAAAATCCTGAAATTTTATCATTCGTCTCTCGTTCTTGTACTCTGTGTATAGTTTTCCCTGTTTTGGCAGAAGTATATATTGTCTCAGGAACAATTTTGATTGTAAGTGAGAATGCCAAGGGAAGAAGTCAATGTTAATCATATGACTTTCAAACAAGGCCCTTGAAACCCAAAATTGAAATGAGAGCTTTGAGAGAAAAGTATTTTTTGAGGCTCAAAAAAGGAAATCCTAGCATAATTGATTTTTCTGGAGCACTGAGAGGCAATAAAAGTCCTTTCAAAGTTGAGTTGTGGGGAAAATCTTCAGAACCAGGATAAGACAGAAAAAGAAAAAAGCAAGGATATAAAAGGAAAAGTAGACAGGGTAGACTGAGGCGTTTCAATACATGTGTAATTAGAATTCTACCGTGAAAAATCAGAAAAAAATAAAAAAGGAAGGAAAAAAGCCAGAAGGGAAGGAAAGAAAGCAGAAAGGAAGGAAGGAAGGCAGACAGGCAATATTCAAAGAGATGATTGTTTTGAATGAAACTCTTCTAGTTTCTATTAACTTAGTTGGTAACTACTGTCCCTGGCAGCCACCAAAGGTCCGAACAGAAGAGCAAGAGATCTACCTGCATGAGTCCCTTCAAGGGAAGGATTGCAGGCATGACTTCTATGACATAGCCACAGTGCGAAAGTTTTAAAGTTTTTTATTACTCTCAGATCCTCATGCTAGGAATGGTCACTAGATAGGGGCAAACAACAGTTCTCTGTCCCAGGTCTCCTGCAGCTGCAGCAACAGCAAGTGTGGGCATGTGGGAGCAAGCTTCCCCTATTTAAGGGTAGTCTGGGATGAGTGTCTTAATTTTGCAGGGTTACTTTCTATTGGATACTTCAAACAACTCTGTCAGCAAGAGCAGTTGAGCAGTTCGGCACAAAGCTGGTGTTGAATCAGGGCTCCATAGAAGGACTTCTTATTTATCATGGTCAGCCTACCCAGGCGTAGGCAGCAATCAACTATGGTTTCTCAATTTCTTTTAATACTAAGTTGACTGAGATGTTTTCTGTATGGATCAGAACTGCCAGTGCTTAGATTCAAGAAACCAAACAACAACAACAACAACAAAACCAAATCCCATGTATAGTAACTTCAAAAAAAATCCTCAAATACATAATAGAGAATCTAAAGAATATCAAACACAGATAGGAAAATCATATAAACAGCCGAAGTGAAAATACCAGTTATCTATAAAGAAAACTATTAATTTGACAGCTGGCACCTACACAGCAAGTATGGAAACCAGGAAAAACAAACCGGAATGGATATCTTCAGTAAGTTAAGAGGAAATAACTGTCCAGTTAGAATTCTAAATTCACCAAACTAAGTTACAAGAAGGCCAAAATTGTGTTTTTCCTATCAACAGATATGCAGAATGTCTGTCCTTCAGGTAAAGTAAAAAAATAAATTAGGTATTGGGAGCCAAAAAAAAAAAAAAAGGTAAACATGTGTATTAATCTAAATACACCAGAACTATACTGAGCAATTAAAATTTGGAAACTTCAATGTCTAATATGGAGTTTCAAAATCACATTTTAATTCATTTGGTCTTGTCAAAGGTGTATTAGTTTCCTATTGTTGCTATTACAAATGACCACAGACTTGGTGGCTTAAAGCTACACAAATTTACTATATCGTAGCTCTGTTTGTCTTAGGCTACAATCATTGTGGGCAGGGGCTGTGGAACACTGTAGGGAATGTCTGGGGGAGGATTCATTTCTTTGCTTTTCTAGCCAGAGGTTGCTCCCTAGAGGTCACCTACCTTACGGTCAATTCCTCCACCTTCAAAATCGGCAAAATTGGGGTAAGTCTTTCTCACACCATCTCTCTGGTTCTCCCTTTTCTGCCTCCTCCTTTCACTCCTAGGACTCTTGCAATTACATTGGGCCCAAGTGGATAATCTGGAATAATCTCCGTATCCCAAGGCCAGCAGATTAACAACTTTAATTCCATCAACAACTTTAATCCCTCTTTGCCATTTAAAGTACCATATTCACAGGTTCCAGGGATTAGTACACAGATATCTTTAGAGATCCATTATTCTGTTACTATAATAGGCTTCTAATTCTCTTCACCAGCTTTTAATATACACTAAACCATTTCCAATCATGCAGAATTTTTCTATTATGGTAAACTTTGCTTATAAACTAAACTTTTAAATCACCAAAAATACTAGTGAAAAAGTAATCATTAAACAGAAAAGCAAACAGTTTTAGAAACTGTTTGGTGTTTTTTTAAATAGAGGTAAAAATGTATTTACATTATGGTCTAGAAATTCCTTTACTAGATATTTACCCAAGAGAAATGAAAACATGTTTACAAAAAGATTTGTACATGAATGTTTATAGTAGCTTTATTAATGACAGCTGAAACTGGAAACAACCCAAATATCTATAAACAGAAATTTAGATAAACAAATTGTGATATATTTAGAAAAAGGAACAAATGACTCATGTACTCAACAACACGGATAAATCACAAAATCATTATGCTGAGTGAAAGAAGCCACATCAATAGACACAGGAATCCATAATATATGACTCATTTACATGAAGTCCTGGGCAGGCATAATAATGCATGACAGAAATCAGAATGTCTCGGCCATGGGGGAATTGGGAAAATTATTGGGAAGGGTCAAGATAGAACATTTTGGAGTGTGTTTGGGTGGTGGTTACACAGACATATACAATTCCCAAAGCCAATGAACTTAAGAATTGTAAAATTTAAATAATCTATCACAGCTCCCTTGTAACTATCCAGATAGCATCCATTAACTCCAACCTCTAGCTCTCCTGCATTGATGGTGTCAGTCCCCTTACTTATAAATTTATTCCCAAACATTCTCACTGTTCTTAAATTTACTTTTAGAGCTCCAATTGAAAACAAAATCGATTTGATTTTGGATGGAAACAAAGTAACCAGACACATACATTGTCCAAATTTAAACATAAATGTATTCATGGAACCAATGCCCTTGCCTGTCTCTCACGGACTGATGCTTTATGTATTTCTCTTCTGAATTTATAATTGGAAATGACTGTAGTCAATGCCTCAGGACAGGAGTGCATTATTGCAGGCTCATTGACTTTAAAAAGGTGTGTAGATATTTCCCATTAATTAGAATAAAATAAGATCAAATAATAATAGCCCAATTCGTGATAATTTCGTTCTTGTAATTGACATCATCATACAAATGAGTTCTACGACAATGGAATATACTCAGTTAGAATTTCTTCAACCTTATTTACTTTAATTTTCCCTTATTAAAGTTTAAATTCAATCAATTTTTGCTTACTAAAGTATATCTGAGAAGTTCACATTAGGTGGATGTGAAGTATAAAATTTAATTATATAAGATGTCAGGTTAAAATCATAGTAAAATTTGTCAAACTTCAAATTACAAGTAACTTTCAGATAGTTTATTGTCACACGCTTAAATTTTCTGCATCAAAAATCTTTTCTATAAGTGATTTCAATAAGCTAAATGTTTTACATGTTATATTATCTTATCCTTATCCATAAATGGAACACTACCTCGCTTATTTTGTGCAAAAGTAAGGTGATATGTTAGCTTTGATGATCACTCCACTAAGTGTAAAAACGGTATTTTTCCAAATAAAAAATTTCCAAATAAATGCTATTTTTTTAACTTTATTTTTCTATTTTAATTTTTTAAACATTTAATGTCATTTGGAGTCATCCATATAGTTTTAAACTTTGAAATTAATTTAGAAAAAAACATGGCCTTAATTTTCCATGAGGTATTAAAAATAGTCATATTTTTCATGTCAAATTCATCTTTATATGAATGAACACAATTAAACCAATTAAACACTGCACATCTGCAATTATTGACAAATAGGGGTTTTTTTGCTTCAGACCCATGACAAAACTAAAAAAAAGTCTTAAAATCACATATCCTTGAGTGTATTTGCACTATCTTTCCACATAAAACATACTTTGTACACAATAAGTGTTTGACATTTGCTGAAGTGCTATATTTTAGACACTATTGAATTTAAAAACATTAAAGAGCCATCTTCAGATTGAGGTATTACATATTTGCCAGAGGAAAGATACAAAGTCCTTCAGAGAACTAGAAACTCCTAAGTCTGTTTTCTTTGCTGCCCAGTTTGGTACTTCCTGCAATCTTTTCTATATCTGCACAAATCTTGGTTGGTAAACTTAGACTCCGTGGTTATTAGGAAGGATTCAGCTTTTGTCTGGGGAAAACCAGTTTAAATTTGTATACAATAGAAAAGCTTCTCACTAGCTTCAACTGTTAGCACAATTTGCTCCAGGATTAAAAAAAGTTAAAAAAAATACCTCATGGACACTCTATATTCTACTTTACTAATTAAATTTCTTCTAAGTCATATTTACACGTTTTTATCATTTTGAATGACATTTACTTAATTTCCTCCAGGAGGTTCATGTGTTTAGTAAATTTCTAAATAAGTTCAATCTGACTTCTTTGTCTCTCCTAGAATCCCTTTAGTTAGCCAGTCACTGCTGACAATCAAGATAGTTGTCATCATATCCATTGTTCACCACCTTGCTTTAATGTTTGCATGTGAAGCAAACACTCTCTCTACTTGAGTCCAGTCCTTTATCACATAAGGCTCATTAGGATTTTCTGACTTGATGAAGGGAAAACATTAGGATTACCTGGAAAGCCCCTGAGGATCAAGCTCCCTGATTCTCAGTTATTCTACTCTAGATTCTTCCACTGTTAAGGAGAAGGTGCCTAGGATACTTGGAGTTGAAGCTATTATTTAGGCCTGAAAGTTCCCTGAAACTCGCCATTTAAATTTCACAAAGGCACTGATATCCCTCTGCCTGGGCTCAGTGACCCCAAATTGCAGTTTATTCTGTTGTACAGATTGCACTTCTCTAACCCCACCCATGTTTAGCCTGAATCTATGAACAACCTTTGTGTACGTGGCCAGATGCTGACAGATGAAAGTAAACACAGAAGCCAAAAAATAAAAAGAAAAATCTCATCAGCTCAGCTGAGAAAAGGGTGTGTGTGTGTGTGTGTGTGTGTGTGTGTGTGTGTGTGTGTTTCATTTCAGGCCAATTCAAAACTAACAGAGATAGTCATGAGGTAGTTTACATCATGATATAACCTCATGGGTTCTGCAACCATGGTTTTTGTTCAGTAATCACTAGTTGAGTATTTACTGTGTGCCAGGCACTGAAATAGGCATTATGAAGGATACAAAATATTACAGAGACAAAAAAAGGAAGTCCACAACTGACTGTTACCAATTTAGTCTTAAAGGGAGTGGCAATTTGCCACTTGGTCGACTGTAGCAATGGGGGTAAAAGTTGAGGTTCAGGGTCATGTACAAAGGCTGCTGATTGTCCCTGAGTAACTCTTCTTCTTCTTGAGGAGGTCTGTGATGAGGAAATAATCACAGATTGCTTTGTGGAATGAATGAATGATTGGAGGAGATCACCTTTCAGTGGCTTCAATAAGCAGCTATAGTTCTCATATGCTTTCAGTGACTTTTCTCTGTTATCTGACCCTCCAGATAGAATATTCAAGTACAGAGTTATACAGCATGCAGTCAGCACACCTTTGTTCTTTGTACCATTTTTATGAATCTACCTGTTCTCACAGTGAGAGTTGTGTCTTTAAATTGTGAGTTTGTTCATGTGTCATCCTAATAGGTTTATCTCTTTTGCTGGTGGGTCTTCCTCCTTTATCTGCAATAACAAATCTTGACTGCTTTATGGATCATTTATGCTGCTTAATCTCAACATAATGTCTATTCTCTTGCTTTAACCATGACACGTGGACCAAAGTCTTGCTTTTGAATTCCAAGCCATTCTCTACCCATCCTCAGAAGTACTGGGAGGATCTGCTTGGGGCTCTGTATATTGGACTAATCTTATCTGAGGTCACATAGCGTGAGCGAGATCATAAAAAGTGGGAAGACCCAGCGAGGTGAGCTTTAGCTATAATGCTAGTGGGGCAATTCAGAGGCCAAAAGTTTGCATGTCAAATGTAAACACAAACTACAGACAACATGGGGTCAAAATGAATATCCAGAAGACAGACAGACTTGAGATCAGAGAAGAAATAAAGTGGGGAAAACAAAGGGTCTTTGGCTTCAGATTGTTGTACTATTAGTGTGATTGACTGCTGCCTGCTATGTGGATTTAGATCAACATCAATTCTAGGTATTCCTTCTCCTTTTATGCTTTAGAAATACCCACACCTAATCCTTCACTACTTTACCATATCTGAATTTCAGGTAGATCTTTGAAGGAATCTCCCATTTCTTGACACACATGTGGCAAATAATTAAATGCTTGTCAGCAACGTAATTTTACTGTAATGCTGGAGAGAATCCTGGGTAATGTTCTGTCTTGAAACTCTGGTGATTTAATTGTACTGCATTCCTAGCATTTATAGTAAGTTTTTGTGGAGCCCTGCTCCCCAAGGTAAGCCCAGTGTTTGAAGCAACAATATTAAATTTTACCACATTTAGTTAGTCCAGAGTGTAGGATGACTTTCCACTTTTACAGCTCTTCTCTTGTACACAGATCTTCCAACAACTCATTCAGGGCCATGAGTTCAACTTTTACATTGACTCCTCACCTACGATATGTTCTTTAGTTCTCCCCAGTAATCACTAAGTTTCCTCTCTGGAAGGGCAACATGTCTGTAATAATTTGAAAGCAATTTTTGTTGAAGTCTATTTTTAGGAGGTAAAATGCATTTAGCATTGGGAAAATAAGTATGCAGGAGACACAGAAAGGCAGCTCTCTCATCTGTGGCTCTGTTATAGACACTACCTTTGTGAATAGAAAAAGATAATTGGGAGAATCATCTTCAGTTTGTTTCTCTGGGAATCCATCAGCCAAAGGCCAAGTTTTGCTGTTAACAGTAGATGCTCTGTCAGTTAAACTCAAAAAATGTTTATTGAGCTCTATTACTTGATTCACAGTGTTAAGCATGCAATTAAAATGTATAAACAAGTAAAAGACATGATTCTATCCTTCAAGGAACTTGTAAACATGTTTTTGTAAAAAACAAACAACAACAACAAAAAAACAAAATAAAACAAAAACAAAGCCTAAGAAACAAATCAGAGAAAGGTAAACGGACTGTAAAAACATACATACTAGATTGTGTGATATAAACAAGTGCTACATGCTTTGCAAGAAAGGAAAATAATGTTAATTGGGGAAATTATGACAGATGACCAGGAAAAGTTCTGAGTCATACTTGTCCTTAAAGGGTAGGTCCAATAACACAAACCATAGTGAAGGTAACTGGCATTCTAGGTAGAGAAACAGCATTATCGAAGGGATCAACATGGTATTCTATTTTACATCTCTAAACTAGTATTATTTCAAATAAAATTTTAAAACAACTTGAAAGCAATAACATTATTCTGTTCTTTGAGGATGAATGAGATGCTTATTGGCATCCTTTTCCTTTCCCAAAACAGGACTACACATGCTCAGAAGTGCAGATAACTCATGCACAAGTGGAACTGAAACAGACAAACAGACTGCTATAGATTGTGAAAAAAACCAACATAGAAATGGAGGACCTAGAATAGTCTATAGAAACATCCCCACCCTGCTCAGTGCTTCATGGTACAATAACAGAAAGACTTTAAAGCAGTTAGAAGCAGCTAAGAGGGTGTGGAAGAAGTAAATTTCCTTAGTTCCAGTATCAATTTCTGGCTGTCTACAATCTGATTTAAAAACAGAAAATAAAGACTTTACAAAATTATAGCAAAACTGAAGATAGTTTTGAAATGTGCAAACAAACCTTATGATGAGGAAGTTATTGTTCTGACACAGACTGGTATGGGATAGAGGAAGAATCATAGGCAGATGATGAAGACCTAATATAACAAAGAAAGAGAGAGTCAAATCAAAACCAGTGCTTGCTCTGCAGCACATATACTAAAGTGGAAATGACACAGAGATTAGCATGGCCAGTCCACAAAGATAACATGCAAATTTCTGAAGTGTTCCATACTTTTCTGCCATCACAAAAAATATGAAATTATAGAACTCATTGGTAGAGCAGATACACAAATGAGAAAGAGAAAGGAATCAAATATTATCACAACAGAAACCCAAAAACCTACAAAAGTAAACAATAAAAGAGGAAGAAAGAAACAATGGATATAAAAAAGAACCAGAAAACAACAAAATGACAGGAGTGAGTCCTCACCTATCAATAAAAATCTTGAATGGAAATGGCTTAAATTACCTAATTAAAAGCATAGACTAGGTGAATGAATAAAAAATAAACAAGACTCAACATTTGCTGCCTACAAGAAACCTACTTCACCTGTAAAGACACAATAGACCAAAAGGAAAGGAATGGAATAAGGTATTTTACACAAATGGAAGCAAAAAGTGAGCAGGAGTAGTAATTCTTATATCAGATAAAATAGATTTTAAGTCAAAAGCTGCGGAAAGAACAGGGAAGGCTATTATATGAGGAGATCAATTCAGCAAAAGGGACATAACAATTGTAAATACATATGCACTCAATGCTGGGGCACCCAGATATATAAAGCAAATACTATTATAGCCAAGGGGAAAGATAGTCCAAAATACAATAATAGTTGGGGATTTTAACGCACCACTTTCAGCACTGAACAAATTATCTAGACAGAAAATCAACAAAGAAATATTGAAGTTAAACTGCACTATAGAATATATGGACCTAACAGATATTTACAGAACAGTTCACCCAATAACTGCAGAATATACATTCTATTCATCAGCACATAGAACATTCTCTAGGATAGACCATATGTTGGGCCACAACACAAGTCTTAACAAATTGTAAAATACTGAATTTATATCTAGTATATTTTCAGACCACAATGGAATAAAACTAGACATTGATAGTAAGAGGAACTTTGGAGATTGTACAAATCCATGGAAATTAAACAACACACTTCTGAACAACCAATGGGCCAATGAAGAAATTAAGAATGGAATAAAATTTTTGAAACAAATAAAAAGAGAAACACAACATACTAAAACCTACAGCATAGAACAAAACTGGTACTAAAAAAAAGTTTATAGCAATAAATGCCTACATCAAGAAAAGGTATCAAATAAATAACCTAACAATGTGCCTCAAGGAACCAGAAAAGCAAAAACAAATCATCCTCAAAATTAGTAGAAGAAAACAATAAAGATCAGAGCAGAACTAAATAAGAGAGAGACTTAAAAAGTACAAAAGCACAATAAAAGAAGTTAAAAAAAATAAGCAAAGTCACCAAACCATTAGCTAAAGTAAGAAAAATAAACAGAGAAGACTCAAATAAGTAAAATAAGAAACAAACAAAAACGATGACAACCGAGACTATAAAAAAAAAAGGATCATTACAGTTTATTATAAACAACTATACACCAACAAATAGGAAAATTTAAAGGAAACGAATACATTCCTCAACACATGCCACCTGCCAAGATTGAACCAAGAAGAAATGGAAACTCTGAACAGACCAATAACAAGTAATGAGACTGATCAGTAATATGACTCCCAACAAAGAAGAGCCCAGAACCAGATGGCTTTACTGTTGAGATCTACCAAACTTTTGTAGGAGAATTAACACCAATCCTTTTCAAACTATTCCAAAAAATTAAAGAGGAGAGAATTTTTCCTCGCTCATTCTATGAGGCCAGCATTACCCTGATATTAAAACCAGACAAGGAAATAGCAAAGAAAATGAAAACAACAGACTGATATTCCTGATAAATAATAGATGCAAAAATCCTCAACAAAATAACAGCAAATCAAATCCAACAATACGCTAAAAAGATAACATACCAATATCAACTGGGATTTTTGCCAAGGATGCAAGGATAGCTCAACATACACAAATCAATAAACCTGATACATTACATCAATGCAATAAAAGACAAAAAACCATGGTTCTTTCAATAGATACAGAAGAAGCATTTGGCTAATTTCAACATCCCTTCATGATAAAAACTCTCAACAAATTAAGCATTAAAAAAACCACAACACATTAGAAGCCATGTATGACAGATTCACAGCTGGCATCATAGTGAACAGAGAAGCTAAAACTCTTTTTTCCAAGAACTGGAACAAAAGAATGCCTATTTTACCACTTTTATTCAGCTTACTATTGGGAGTTCTAGCTAAAGCATTTAATCAAGAGGAAAAAGTAAAGGTCATCCAAATTGGAAAAGAGGAAGTCAAATTGTCTTTGTTTGCAGATGACATGATCTTATATATAGAAAAACTTAAATACTTCATCCAAAAAACTCTTAGAACTGATAAATTACTTAAAGTTGTAGGACACAAAAACAACACACAAAAGTGAATAGCATTTCTATATATAAATAATGAAGTAGTTGAAAAAGAACTCAAAAAGCAATCTCATTTATAATAGTTTAAAAAATATCTAGGAATAAATTTAACCAAGGAGGTGAAAGTCTCTACAATAATAACTACAAAACATGAATGATAGAAATCAAAGGAGACACAGATAAATAAAAATACATTTCATGCTCATGAATTGGAAAAATTATTATGGAAAAAATTAGGAAAAATGAGCAGGCTACCCAAAGCAATCTGCAGACTCAATGTTATATCTATCAAAATGCTATTGACATTTTACACAGAAATTTAAATAAATTCTAAAATTTGTATGGAACCACAAAAGACTCTAAATAGCCATAACAATACTGAGCAAAAAGAACAATGTTGAAGGTTTCACATTACCTGATTTCAAAATATACTACAAAGTTATAATAATCAAAATAGCAAGGTATTGATATAAAAACAGAAACATGGACCAAAGGAACAGAATAGGAAAATGAAAAATAAATCCACATATTTACAAAGGTGCCACTGACATACATTGAAAAAGGACACCCTCTTCAATAAAAGGTGCTGGAAAAAGTGGATATCCATATGCAGAAGAATGAAACTGGATTTTTATCAGTATACACAAAAATCAACTCAAATTGTATTAAAGACTTAAATGTATTACCCGAAACTATAAAACTACTAGAAAAAAATACAGGGGAAACACCTCAGGACATTGGTCTAGGCAAAGATTTTATGGCTAAGACTAAAAGCACTGGGAACAAAAACAAAAATAGACAAATTCGGTTTTATTAAACAAAAAAGCTTCTGCACAGCATAGGAAACAATCAAGACTGAAGAGAAAACCTGAAGGAGAGAATATATGTGCAAACTATTCATTTAACTGGGGACTAATATCTGGAATATAAAAGGAACTTAAGCAATTCAACAGAAAAAAAATTTAATGTGGACATAGGATCTGAACAGACATTTCTTAATATAAGACATTTGACCAACAAATAAATATATGAAACAATAACAAACCTCACTAATCATCAAGAAAATTCAAATCAAAACCACAATGTCATCTTATCCCAGTTGTTACGTCTATTATGAAAAAGACAGTAAATGCCTATCAGGAGGCGGAGGAAAGAGAACTCATACGCTGTTGGTGGGAAGGGAAACTGGTATAGCGTTATGGGAAAAAGTACGGAGGTTTCTCAAAAAATGAAGAATAGAACTACCTATGATTCAGCAATCCCACTACTGGATATTTATCCAAAGGAAATGAAATCAGTATATCAAAGGGATTTGTGCACCCTCAAGTTTATTGCAGCACTATTCACCATGGTTAAGATATGGAATCAACCTAAATATCAATAGACAAATGAATAAACAAAATATGGTATACATACCCAATTGAATATTAATAAAAACGAATAAAATCCTGTAATTTGGGAAACACAGATGAGCCTGGAGGACATTATGTTAAATTGAGTAAGCAAGGTGCATAAAAGAAATACTGCGTGTTTTCACTCATATGTGAGAGCCAGAAAAATTTAGATCATAGAAGTAGAATGTAGAATTGTGGTTATTAAAGCCTAGAAAGAGTAGTGGGGAGGGGAGGATAGGGAGAGATTGGTTAACAAATGTAAATTTACAGCTAGCTGGGAGGTACGAATTCTGGTGTTCTGCAGCATGGTAGGGTGAATACATTTAACTGTAACTTACTGTATAGTCTAAAAAAGCTAGAAGAGAAGATTTTCGATGTTCCCAACACAAAGAAATGTTAAATATTTCAAGTAATGAATATATTAATTACTCAACTATTACTCAACTTTCTACTCCATAAATACTTGCAATTATTTATGTGCCAATTAAAATAAAGGAAGAAAAATAGGGCAGGTACCACCATGGCTACAGTATTTGCAGAGGACAGAATGAAGAGCAACTCCAAAACCGAATGTGTTTATAACTTTGTAGTTTTAGCACTTAAATGTTAATAATACAATACAATTGGGTAATTAGAATGGAGTTGATTCTGGGTGTTAGCCATTATTAATAATAGTTTCATTGTCTTTAAACAGCTCTTAAGAAATTCCTTTCATTACCATCAAAGAGAAGCATGTGAAATTGGTGAACCTAGTCAACACTTTCTGAAATTATTCCAGGGCTAACAGCGGGTAGAAAAGAAAAATAAATAAATAAAAAACCTGTTAGATAATTATACATATAATTATTAGGAGGACTTATTAATTGCCGGTATGCTATCTATACATTACCTAAGCTAATTTTCTTAAAAAATGAAAAAAACCTTTTTTTCAACTATTTTTCATTTTTCTTTTTAAAAACACTTTCTTAAGAGAAACTCATAAAAGCTTAAATGCTATTGCTATTCTTAGAAGGACTTTAGAAGTCATTATCTTATACTATTTTCACGAATAGCAGGAGCACTAGATACTTTAAGAGTCTTTGCTTATATTTTTATTTTAATATTCAATTCATGAAAGATTTATGTGTTTCATATAATCATTGATACTCTGAGTGCCAAGACATTCCTAAAGGTGGCCGGCCTTGAAAACAGGTCTGCTTTACCTTGTGACTCTAATTTAGCATGTGCCTTTCAAATGAATGTGTTTAATTCATGTCTTTTCTTTTTTTTTTTCATATTATCAACTGTAATTTCAAGGAATATCAAAAGAGCACTGAGAAGTATTTTTTATACTTTAAAGTCCTCAGATGGTTTAAGATATACATATATCTTATTTTATATAATTGATTTATAATTATATATAATATAATTATATATTATTATATAAATATATAATAATTTATATATACATAATTATATATAATTTATGATATATAATTTATAATAATTTATATATAATTATGTATATATAAATTATATATATTTATATATTAAATTCCTGAGTAGGTCTTTTGAAAATTAACTAATTCCATTTAATGTATACATTTGACAACCAAAGTAGACCAACAAATCTGTATCTAGAGGATGTCATATTGCCTGAATATGTCTTTTAAAAATTATGGCAAGTATTGTGTTTGATTATCTGGATTTTTTTCCACTCACACGACCAGTAATTTTTGGCAGGGAGAGATGACTCATGAAATTTAATGGCAGCTCATAATAAATTTATCAAAAATATCAAGGTTTTCTGAGAAAAAGGCCATAAAAATTCAATCTAAATGTTCAAATTTAAAGAAAAAAATATGACACTTTCAATTACATCTTTAATTTAAGAAGTCTAGTTAATGTGCTACTTGGAGTATATGAGGAATCTTTAGAATTCTGATATTCATTCATCCCTCAAATCTTAAATGATTAAATGACTATTGTGAACAAAACATCATAAGTATGTACCTGTTCTTTAACCCTTGGGGTAACAATATACAAAATGAATTAAGTCAGGAATTGTACATGTTTTTAATATGGAATTTTATTTATTATTCACCCCTACTGAACATGAAAAATATTTACCCTGTAGGGTATTACAAGTAAATACTTCATTGGTTGTAGAAGTCTAAATTCTGGTGAGCTATGCAGAAAACAAACAAATGTATATCTTTACTTCATTATATGCTATATAAAAATGTGGATAAGTGTATCTTGATAGATCAGAGACTGATGGTATTCAACATAGCTTCCTGTGTGCTTTAAATTGCAACATAAGGGAAATAACTATTGCACACAATTCTTTCAGAGAAAAGATAAGGCAACTTGATCCCATAATATAGCACTTTTCTTGAAGCTAAATTTAAAAGACCTAAGGCAGACAAAAAGGGAGAGATGTGTAGTGAATATAAATGAGGCGATACCTGGTTTTATATAACAATATTTAAGAGAGAGGGTGCAGTGCTATGTCCACAGATTTAAGCTAAGGACCTTCTATGCACATTTTTTCCCGTCTTGTTTTCTGAGAAAAAGAATTACATGCCAGAAAGCTGACAATAATAGAAGTATTTGGGAATTTGGTGCTTTTATCTTAAAAATAACATCTAAGAGAAATGAAAAGGCTGCTTTTTTATCTGCGCAAAAGCAAATTCAAAAGATTATTACTTTTTATCCTCTTGGTGATATTGCCATAGGCTTTAATTAAATATTTCTCTCCTGGCACCCACCCTTTACATTTATGACTAAGAGTGCTTGAGGAAGAATGGGAGTCCACTGAGCAGGTCACAATCTTAAAGCTCCTCTGACTCTTATTAGTAAAGTGTTAAAAACAAAAATCTGGAGAAGGATGCATATAAAAGTGACAATGTCCACTGCAAGAAATGGAGGAATTCCAAAGTCAGCAGTTGTCAGCATTAATATTACTGTACACCAAGGAATAGGATCACATTAAATATCATCTTTCCTTTCTGGTACAGCCTAATAAGTTTAGGTTAGTTCTACTATGAAATCTTAAAAACAAATAGCCCTTTGCCGGAATATAAGTAGCTCAGGAAAACAGAATATATTGTCTCCCTCAAGGATAAAGAGAGCCCACAAGTAATCTGCAGTGCCTCAGCTGTTTTTTTCTCATCTTAGGTCTTTGAAAATGTTAGGTCTTGAAGGGATCAATTTGCTCTCAAGTGTGTTTTCTCAACACCTAGACATTGGTTTGAAAATTGGCATGTTTAAAACTTTGAAAGAAGAGAATATCCTTCTACAATTTTCTGTTCCTTCAATTCTGGTCACAGTTCTGCTATGAATGTGTTCTTGTCCAGACTCCCCAGGGATTGATGCTTTTGAACAATGGAGATACCAAGAGTCAGTTAGGTTGAGATTTAGTTAAAATCCTGTGTGTTAGTAGCTGTGTGGTTTGTGGGCGTGCTGGTGAAGAGGCACTTTTTAGCACTGCTAGCTAATCAATATAACTAAAACATAGAATGTTTATTAGGATCAGTGTTTCACTGGTATTTGCAGCCCTGTCTCACTTTAGGCATTACTTGTAGTGATCTTAATGTGACTTCAATGATTATCACAATTGTGATAACAATTATTTATGACTTTTTAAGTGCTAGGTAGTATTTTAGGCATGTTTATATATTACCTCACTTAAGTTTTTTTTTTTTTTTTTTTTTGAGACAGAGTCTCTGTCTGTTGACCAGGCTGAAGTGCAGTGGCGCCATCCTGGCTTACTGCAACCTCTGCCTCTCAGGTTCAAGCGATTCTCCTGCCTCAGTGTCCCGAGCAGCTGTGACTACAGATGCATGTCACCACGCCTAGCTAATTATTGTATTTTTAGTAGAGACGGGGTTTCACCATATTGGTCTGGCTGGTCTTGAACTCCTGACCTCGTGATCTGCCCTCCTCAGCCTCCCAAAGTGCTGGGATTACAGGCGTGAACCACCGTGCCTGGCCACTCAAGATTTCTAACAGCCCATGTGCTGGATACTATTAGCATTGAAATTTCATAGATGAGGAAACTGCAACATAGCAAAGTTCAATGACTTGCTCCAAGTCATAAAGCTATTATGCAGGTGAAGTAAATATTTGAACACAGCCATGATTTTAACCACTATAGAACTTTGCCTCTCTATTCCATTAGTACCGCTGTATCTATATCCCCAGTGTTGTTCTCTAACACATCTCTCTTTTGCTTCCTCCTTTCCTTTCTGCCCTTGCCCTTTCTCTCTTCTCCCTTCCTTCCCTCCTTTTCTCCTTCCCTTTCTTTCTTCCATATATTCCATGTGTATTAATAAAATATATAGTATATAGTATATATGTGTATGTGTATACTGTGTACTTATATATGTGAATTAATATATTTATAACTGGCAAATAATTCCTCTTAGGAAGATGAAAATTCTGTATGTGTATATGGAGTTAGCTGGTAAGCCTGTGCTATACCTGGAAATGGAAATAACTGTTTTGCATAAGAAACGGGAAGGGATCTTTAATTGCCTTTAATTATTTGACATCAAGAAAGAGGGGAAGATGAAAGAGGAGAGAGGAAGTTGGGGAAGTGAACCTGGACCAATGAGACTGTGGTCTACCCAAATTCCATGATTTGATTACTACCTTAGATTCCCTCCAAAATGTTCAATAAAGTTTTTTTAAAAAGATGAAAGCAAATTGATTTCTAGTGGAAACTGATGAAGGATCTGAACTAAGTATCCAGTGTTCTGTGGGGCAGCAAACAAAAGGAGCTGGAGCAAGGAGCCAGAGAAAAACATTAAAAAACTAGTTTTCAAAACATAAAACAAAAAAGATTTTGAAGGTTGCTGGGAAGCTTTGCTTTTCAAACACCAATAGAATAGGGTTGGGACCAACTTCAGGTACATCTCCAAGTACTGGGACCTTAACTAACATTTTCGTTTCTTTCCTTTCCTCCCTATCTTCCTTCCTGCTTTTTTTCTGTCATTTTTTTTTTCATTTTTTCCTTACTTTCTTTTTTCCCTCTTTTCTTCCTTCTCTCTGTTTTTCTCTTCTCTACCTAACAATTTTTAGAAATACATAAAATACAATCAAAATTTTAAATACATATTTAAAATAAAGTAGAAGAAACTCCCGATTAAATAGAAAAAAAGGTAGAGTGAGATGTATCCCCAGATACCCCAGATACACTGGTTATAAAAGTATTTTTATACAGTTATACTAGAATTATGCTATAAATTTTAATGTGAGCTTCCTCTTGACAAAAGCAATAAAAGGTAATAAGTGTTTATAAGATTAATATTGAACATAAGAGAATTGTGTATCATTTTGTGAAATGCATACATTTTGCTCTTATTACTTATCTTAATAGTGACCTGATTATAAAAAGTTGCAAAATTTTACTGTTTGCTTATGCAATATGGTAGAAACTCAATGCTTTTCCAGATGCTTTGACATGTTGGCCAAGGTGACTAGCCTCTTACAGTTTGGAAAAAATTTCCACTCCCATATGTATGTTAGTGCATCCCTGATTACAGGACCAGGAAGGGCAGATACTCTGTTGGAAAGCTCTTTAAGAATTTAAGACAGTTACATTGTTTAGCTTCCTTCTTCAGAGTGTGTCACCACCATTTCATCTATTTTGAGTTTTTAGGATGCAGTGGACTGAAAGTCTAATTCTATGTTTAAATCTGTGTTTAATATATTGTTGATATTTTAAGCCATTTTCAGTTTTGTAATTCTTAACCAGAAAATAATTCTGTGGCAAACAAAGCATTTCTTTAAAGTGACCATCGAGGTTCTAATCTATAGGTAGAAATATAAAACAGATTGTTTTCTATATTTAGAGGACAAAGTAGTCACTGCACAGTGTAAAAATGCACTAAGAAATAAATCCCATCAATTTTTTTTTTTTTACAAAGAAACAAAATTTAGAATCTCACATGAGCTTTCTGTAAAGCTATTACACTTGAGTGCTAGGTAATATTGCAACCACAGCACTTTTTGATGGTTTATGGGAATTCTCTACAATCTTAAATTCTTTCAACTTAAATTGCACTTCAAAGTTTCATTCATATCCAGTAAAAATGATATATTTTTCAACTGGGAATGAATTATTCAGATAACGGTGTTAGTGTGGAACCAAGGAGCTGTAGCATTAGCATAAAGATTTCCCTGTCTTACATTAATTGCTAAAATTGAAAACAAACACAAAAGATAGTGAGTTGGAGATCTTTTTTGTTAAATTAAATAAAGTCTTTTATGGTAACCTTTACATCAGATTTTTAATCATGGAACATGGTTCCTGGGGGATTATAAACTATTTCATCTTGTTTATTAATGATAGTAATGCAAAAACTATGGTGGTTTTTTTTTTGAGACGGAGTCTCGCTGTTGCCCAGGCTGGAGTGCAGTGGCCTGATCTCTGCTCACTGCAGGCTCCGCCCCCCGGGGTTCACGCCATTCTCCTGCCTCAGCCTCCCAAGTAGCTGGGACTACAGGCGCCCGCCACCTCGCCCGGCTAATTTTTTGTAGAGATGGGGTTTCACTGTGTTAGCCAGGATGGCCTCGATCTCCTGACCTCGTGATCCGCCTGCCTCGGCCTCCCAAAGTGCTGGGATTACAGGCGTGAGCCACTGCGCCCAGCCAAAAACTATGTTTTTATGCAGACTTAACAATTGTTTAGGGTGGTGGTTTGAATTTTTTTTGGTCTTATGTAAATTATTCAAATGGCATACTTAAAAAAAAAGTAATCCATATATTTGTGTATCATTTTGTTGTATTTTGTCCCTGAAAGATGTTGATTTGTAAGAGGCAGCTTATAAATGCTTTGATTGAAATTTATAAGAAACACAGCATCAAATAGTGATTTCTTCAATAAAGATATCCTGATTGAAGCATACAAAATGCATCATTGATTTAAAATGTCATGATTTAATGCTTAATATGTGCCAGATAAAACATTAGACAGTGTGAAAGATGGAGAGATAAATATAACATGATTTACAGAAAACACAATTTATTTGGAAAGAAACTATAAAAAGAGAGGCAAATTCCAGGGGAAGGATTAGCTTTCAAGCTTACTCACATGGATATTGGCAAGCCTCAGCAAAAGACAGATAAAGAGAAAGAGGAAAGAGAGAACACTCCAGAGTGGGCTCCCAAGGAGAAAGTTATCTTCCTATCACTTAATATCAGAAGCAACAACTTAATATCGGAAGCAACAGTTTATCATCATTACAGTATTATATTTTTTGAGAAGTGAGTCAATTAGTCCAGCCCACACTCCTAGGGACGGGATTATACAAGTGTGAATACTTGGAGACAGGTCTCAATGGGGACCATTTTACAGGCTGCTTCTCACAGGCTTATATATTGTGGCAGCCCTTGCAAGTTAGAGTACAGCTACGTCAGACTTCCCCAGATCCCAAGGGAAAATAAAGAGAAGATAAATGTAACACAGTAAATACTTTTTAAAAATCAAATAATGAAACAAGCAAACAAAACAACCCTGCAGATGTGAAGTATTTGGGAAAGTCCCATTCTTACCAGCTATTTACAATTCAACCCAAGAGAAGGTTTTTTGAACCACTGATGGAATATGGTTAATCTTTGTGAACCAATATGATGCCAGATATTTTTAACTTAATAAAACTGAGGAAAAAATGAACGTTTTATGTGAGGAATGCAAGCCCCTTTGAACTACTGACCTAGAGAGGAATTGGAATGAAAGAGCAGTCGAGTCCCACATCTCCCCTTAAGCTAAATAAATACCTCTCGAAGCCGCTATCATGCTATTTGGGCTTTCAACTAACTGTTGCTAAGTAGCCACAAAATGCTATGTGCTGGACAATGTAACTTAAACTTTGTAGCTCAGCAACGTATAGCCTATCACTAATCAGTGTTCCTGTAAACCAATGAGTATTCATTCCTATGAGCAACTTTTGTAATCACTCCCTCTCCTGATTCATCCATTTTTTCTTTAAAAACTTGAGCCTCTCTTGTTTTCCAGAACACTTGCCTAGGCAACTTGGAAGTGTTTTCCCAGGCAGCTGTCCTCAACCCTGGTCTAAATAAATTATATTAATTTTGCTTAATTTCTCCCTTTAGGTCAACAAAACAAAGAACAAAGAGAAAGGTGGTGGTCATAGTGCTACACTGTTGGGTCATCAGCTCGTGATTCTTTCAAAGAAGAATCTTTTGAAGATTTTTCTTTGATCTTGAGGTTCCGTACTTGTCGTTATAGAATATTGCTTTTCCTTATAAGAGAGGCATGTGATAAAATAGAAAGCACAGCACATTTGGATTTAGAAGACGTGACCTCTAAATCTGGTCCCACCTCTTACCAGCTAAGCTGCATGACCTGAGACAACTCACTTTTTTTTACATCCAGTTTCCTCAAGTGTAAAATGGATAGAATAATGCAAAACTATTCATTGCTATGCATTGCATGTGCCAAAAGCTATGGGATCTTAGAGAAAGGAGATGAGGATATTGACCACTAGTGAGGACTGTGGGATGAGTGTGGGGCTTGAGAGGAGTGGAAAAGTTGTGGCCAGGTGGTGTGGAAAATTAAATACAGAGCCATCCAGGTATTGGAGAGCATGATTGATGCCCCTAGTGAGGCTGGGTAATGTGGGTTTATTGTGAAGCCAAAGAGAACAACTCTATAGCTTTTGGCAGCTTTTTCAATGGTCTGGAAACAGGAATACTAATTGTAAATGGTGGGGTTTGCCTAGATTTAGGATTGGCAAGAAAAAAGAACGGGAGACCAAGGAAGTATGATAATCCAGGGTGTTAATGAGTAGGAAAATGTGGTCTCTTGGGGTAAGCCTTTCCAATTGTTACATTTGAATAGAGAACTTTAAAGCTACTGCAGATGCAGCTCACGGAGACCTCGTATGTCCAAAAACATGGTCCGTGTGGCCAGACATCTGTTCTCTGTTCCCATTTATGGCTCTAACACATGGCAAATCATTTAGAATATACTGGTATAGACTTAATCTAAGAGGCTGAAAAAGCACTTGACTAGTTACAGGCAAAATTAGTTATTTTATTTTTTATGTATTATACATCTCTTCTCTGTGCCCTTCTCAGTTTCATTGAAGGTCCCATACCTTTTGCCCACATATAGGGTTCTTGCAAGTCTCAGCTTTTTTTTTTTTTTTTTTTTTTTTTTTTTTTTTTTTTTTGCTTAGGAAAACATATGTGATTAAAAAAACAAAGGCAGACCTTTAAAATGGGTTTATTACCCTTTATGGGCATCACATTCTTATAAAGATTTTCAAAAGAGGTGTGCCCTAGGAGTAACGAATTACTAACGGCACTTAGGCAGGTAGCCTGTTTTAAGCAGAGGAGGCCCCAACTCCATTGTAAAACTGACAATAATCATGGTCAGTTCAACATAAGCTCCAAAGTTGAGGTCCTTACCTATTTTCAATGTCTCCCTTTCTTTCTTCCAAGGATGCAGACAGGGCCAGAGCTATTTTATCCATCAGTACAACAGCGTAGTGCTCATAGACTGTAAGATTTTCAATAGCCAATGAAAGTATCTGAGGCTCTAGAAAAATATTTCACTTATAGCCAAAGAAACAACAACTCCAAAATTACAATTTTAACTTTATGTCTGCCAAATGTAATATAATGACAACTTCATTAGTTATTAATTTCAGTGTTCAAAAAACCATACATTTGAAAATACTTTGTGGCTTTGAGTTTTATATAAGATAAATGTCAAAAATATGTATGACGATTGTCAAAAAATCATACGAACTTATAAATTCATTAACTTATTCATGACTTAATAAGCTTAAAATATTAATTTTCATTCATCCACTTATTTATTAACTTAATACAAATTATTTCACAAACAAGCACTTAATTTATATTAGGTCAGCAGTATTCAATCTAGACTGCTGGTATCCTTAGAGAACAAAGAGACTTTGTCAGGAGGACATACATATAAATAGTTTGATGTAGATTAATTTTCAGATGTTCAACTTTCATGTGTACTCATTACTGATATTGATCAATCTAAAAACAAGCCTGTTCCTCTGGTTCCATTTTCTCACTGCCTTGTCTCCAATCAATCATCTTTCTTTCCATTGCAGATTAAAGGCATGCACCTCGAGAGTGTGCACGTGTGTGCACACACACACCACACACACTCACACCCGGTAGTCCAAATCTTCCTCTAGATACGAAGGAACTAAAGGGCCATTTTAACAGAATAAAAGTAGGAACGATTGGTATTTCATCAAAAATAATTTCTGATACTAGATCACTGAATGATTTGTGGGGGTATATAACTGGGAAAGAGTTAAAAGAAGTCAATTATATCACTATAAGAACAACTGGCCCATTTCTGCCTAATTATTTAGGCAAACTAGTTTTCTCAGTTATTTATACCAGTAACAACCAAAAGCAAGAATGAAATTGAGACAGAAATGTGTCTTCTTCTAGCAAAAATTGATAAATTGAAAAGAAGCTCTACCCATATAAGTAACAGATTGATTTATAACAAAATTGTATTTAGTAATTATTTTCCATAGTGTATAATATACTATTTTTGATAAATTTTGTGTCAATAATGATCATGATAATCCAGCAGATGTTTTCCAAAGCTTAGAAACCTCACGATAGGATTTTTTAAATACAAAATTTAATGTTTATCTCTCTGTGAATATATATATGTATATATGTATGCATGTACACGCATACATATACAAATGTATATATATGTATGCATGTACACACATGCAAATGTATATTTTGTCTTTTATTGTAAAAATATGCCGTGATTAAAATATTTTTATGACAAAACATATTAGCATAAAATAATGTGAAGGAAGAGAAACATCAGTTCATGGAAAAAGAGTGCCAGTTTTAAAATTTCTGATGCTAAACCAGAGCTTCCTCAAATATTTCTTAAATGTAGGTGGTGACTATCAAAGCACTATGGTATTTACAGACCTTTGGAAACATTTAGGAGAATGATGTGACAATTTTTTTTAAATGTCAAGATTCACAGCATGGTAGAAATTACAATTGCTTGCAATAATGTAAAATTATGATGCTAAATTACAGATTAAATATCTATAAATATAATCTTTAGTAGAATATAATCCTAATAATATAAGCAAGCAAGGTACAATGTTTTTCAAAGTTTCTTAGAGAGAATTCAAGAAATGTTTATAGTTCGCCACACTGGGCGCTGTGCTTATGTTAAGTTTCCATGTTTTTCCAGCCTATCAGACTTCCTGTAAATCATTTCTATGGATCACTCATATGCTCAGACGTTGCCTTGGTAAAGGAAGGAAAGACACAAAGTAGAGTTGAGGCTTTTTTATCAGATATGGAAATACAAGCGGTGAGACAGACAGTTAAAATTTATAACAACAACAACAACAAAAGATCATTTTGTAGAATTTGTGAGTATAGTATATTTTTCCTTCTGGTATTTTTGTGGGTCCTGTTCTATTTTTGTTATTAAATTTGAAATTGTTACTCTATTAGTTGAAAATATACTATTAATGAATGTAGTCAGTACTCTTCTACCTCAGGACAATGTTTCATTTATTGAATTAAATTACATTAATTGAATTAAATAACATGGATGAGTCTGTAATATTTACCTATATCCCCAAGGTGCTGGGAGTGGGAGATGGCAATGGCTTAAGTGGGGAAGGATTATGAAGAATAATAAAACATATTCTTTTGCCTGGATAATTTATATTCCAGTTTTTTTCTTTAGTTTTCTACCTATAGAATTAAAATGATATATCCCTGCTTAAAACCTCTCACTTTCCCTTTGTTCATCAGGAGAATGGAAAAAAAACTGAAGTCATGATGAACGTACAATGTTTTTCTGTTTCTCTGCCTTTGTGTAGATTGTGTCATTACCCTGAGTGCTGTTTCTGCCCTTATTTACCCAATTATTATTACACACTGAAGCCATCTCTGACATGGTAAGGAAAAACTAGTCAATATTTGTACACCTATCTTTATGTAGACTGGATTCCCTGGAAACAGACTCAGACAATGAGTTGCTTGCTCTGGGAAGCCACATCCGTTAAAGTAAGGCAGGAGAAGCTGATTCTCAATGCAGTTGCAAGCAAGGCCTCATCCTATCCTAACAAATTCTGAAGCCGGAATGCCCTTTCAGACTTCTCCCAAGTTAAGGCAAGAGGACTAGCTATTGTAACCGTGTATTACACAGTCATCAGACCAGGCCACAACCTTAGAGTTTACATAACCTTGTACAATGCAATTCAATGCGACTGAAGCCAAAACCCAGTGAGACATTGCTGAAAGCACCTTTCGGTAGCCAAGATCTACAGCAGTTAGTGTACAGCGTACTGGCTGGGACAAAGGGATCTTGACGAGGCACCATAGTATATATTGCAGGCCTCAGAGGTAAACTGAATTCACTCATGTACATCATATTTAATACCTGCTGTATGCAAGGAACTCTTTCAAGGTCTGTGGAGACACTGTTAATGAAAACAGCCAATATCCCTGCCTTTATAGAGCACATGTTCTTGTAGGGGAGGTACAACTCCAATGATAAACATAATAAAGAGGGAAAGTATACAGAAGGTGACACACGCTGTGGCAAGAAGAAAAGATGGACCAGGGCTGGGGGTTTAAGACAGGTTGGCCATATTTCATAATTTTCTTTTCAAGTCTCCTTTCAGCATTTTAGTTTCTTGAAGGCAATCTTTCTAACTCCCATGCCTAGAATGAAGTCAGGGTTCAATTTGCAATGCAGTACAGTACATTTTTCTCATCTTTTTGTTCCCTTCTCCTTTATGATCTTAACTGCCACCCACACACCGTGAGCAGAGTTGGTTTGTATTAACAAAGAGTGGTATGATTTGAAAGACTGCATAAAATACTCCTCCCCACACAAATAGACCAAAAGCATCCAGGGGGCCAAGTGCTTAAAATTTCATTTTGGAGCTTACCCGATTGTAAATTAGAAAGCATTGTCATCTCCCTACTCTAAAAGGAAAGGATCCCTTGGTGGGCTACTTTGCCGAGTCACTGGGTGGATATGTTTTTGACAGTTGAAAGTATGTGCAATTCAAACTTCTTAAGGGCTCACTTGGTGCAGAGGTCCTCACTACTATTAAACAAGAAACAGAAAACACAGTGTTTTGGGAAGTAGGTAGAACTTGAAAATGTTTGTGTTCCTGGGAGGTGAAGGTGTGACTCAGCTCGCTGGGAGTTCAACTGGTCACCAGACTCTCACACGCTTCCCCTGGGGTATCTAATTAAGAATTTCTCCCAACATGACTTCAGAAAAGAAACTGGTCAACCCTGAAATTTTAGACGAGGCAAAAGCTATGTTCTGGGAATAATAGAATGATTGCGATAAAGGATATTAAAATGATGCCTAGTGTTTCCTTCTCGCTCTTCTATGGAACAATAGATAAGCCTACAGAAAGGAGTGGGAAACTTTGCTCTTTCAGGAGTCACTGGCTACCAGGAAGAAAGAAGAAAAATGGCATACACATCTGTAAAAGTTGACACCATAGTATTTTGTTTACAGACAAAATAAAAACTACGTGTCTTAAAATGATTGCAGGAAATTATAATTGAATCCTATAATTATTGCATACAATAAAACTAAAACATATTTTAGCTTTACGAGATAAAATATAAAACTGAAATATAATTTAGTTTTAAGTTATCACCATTAAAGGAAGTAAGAGAAGAAGAAAAGGGAAATGGAAAGAAAATAGAGATTCAGGAGAAGAGAATAAAAACAATCTTTAATAAAAGAGAGAAAGAAGACAGAGAAAGAAAGAGAGAGAAAGAGGTGGGTAAGATGAGAAGAGAATGCCAGTAATATGAAGGGCAAAGTGATGGACACGGAGAAAAATACCTTAGGGACTGGAAACAGGATGATTGGTAGAAAGGTGAAGAGAAGAAAAAGAACAGCTTGAACAAATAATACATGTTACAGGTGTATTAACGCCTCTTGCCCCATATCTGGTGCACAGTTGGTTTATGAGTATCAAGTAAGTCATCACTACTATAACTATGCTTCTGGCATGTCCTAATATCTGGAGTAGTTAATGGAACACTGGGAAATATGCCTGCTATCATTTTCAAATTGAAACAGTATATGGAATAAAGTTTTGTTTTCCTATGGAATTCGGTATATTTTACATGTGTGTAAAGAAAATGTACTTTACAATTCCAACAGTTTATTACCAATTGGCCAAAAGTTTTTAATGTCCATGAGATTAAAATTGTCTCATTCCAAAATACATGCAAGCAGCATTTTATTTTATTTTTATTTATTTATTTATTTGAGACGGAGTCTCGCTCTGTCACCTAGTCTGGAGTGCAGTGGCGTGATCTTGGTTCACTGCAACCTCTGCCTCCCAGGTTCAAGTGATTCTCCTGCCTCAGCCTCCTGAGTAGCTGGGACTACAGGCACGTGCCACTATGTCCGTATAATTTTTTGTATTTTTAGTAGAGACAGGGTTTCACCGCATTAGCTAGGATGGTCTCAATCGCCTGGACTCCAGTGATCCACTCGCCTGTGCTTCCTAAAGTGCTAGGATTATAGGCATGAAAACTGCATCTGGCCGCAAGCAGCATTTTAAAACCAGCATTTACTTTATTGATTTTTGCATTATATCACTTTTCAAATTAAATTTTCTTTTAATCTAATTGAGACCAAGGAGATGAAAAATAAGTCATAAAATGTTTATTTTTAATTTTTTAATTTTATATGTATAAATTTATGAGGTACGAGTGTAATTTTGCTACATGGTTATTTTGCATAGTGATGAAGTCAGGGCTTTTAGTGTATCCATCACCAAAATAATGTACATCGTACCCATTAAGTAATTTCTCATTATTCACCTCCCTTTTCCCCTTCAGTCTCCACTGTCTATCATTCCACACTCTCTGTCCATGTGTACACATTATTTAGCTCCCAATTATAAATAAGAACATGCAGTATTTATCTTTCTGTGTCTGAGCTGTTTCACTTAAGGTAATGGCCTCCAGTTCCAACAATGTTGCTGCAAAAGACAAGATTTAATTCTTTTTTATGGCTAAACACTATTCCATTGTGTGCATAAACTACATTTTCTTTATCCAATTACCCATTAATGTACACTTAGGTTGAATCAATATCTTTGCTATTGTGAATAACATACTATTGTGATAAACATATGAGTGTAGATGTTTTTGATATAATGATTTCTTTTCCTTTGGGTAGATACCCAGTTGTGGGATTGCTGGATCTAATGGTCATTCTATTTTTAGTTCTTTGAGAAACAGAATGCATGTTCTTTGTTGTCGTTTTTTCGTATCTTCCTTTTTTTCATAATTATTTACTACCAGTCTCTTTATCTTTGTGATTTCCTGCTTATTTAGCTAAATTTTTAAAAAATATGAAACACTCATAGTGCCAACTAGGAAAATCTGGGCTATTATCAGTGCCATGCTAGGTTGTAATAGTGGCCATCAGAATGAGAGAGCTTGTAGCTTTATTGTCCTCTACCCTTTTCTGCTCTTCTTCATAGATAAGGACTTCCTGAAGTGGCAAGAAAAATTGAAGAATTAACTAAAATCATGGAAGATGTAAGAGAGGGAAAACATGCCTTTATAAAGAGATGTCACAATAATCAATAACAAGAATTAAAAAGGAAATATCATTACTGTCAGGCCTCTGAGACCAAGCTAAGCCATCATATCCCCTGTGAGCTGCACATACACATCCAGATAGCCAGTTCCTGCCTTAACTGATGACATTCCACCACAAAAGAAGTGAAAATGGCCTGTTCCTGCCTTAACTGATGACATTGTCTTGTGAAATTCCTTCTCCTGGCTCATCCTGGCTCCAAAGCTCCCCCACTGAGCACCTTGCGACCCCCACTCTGCCCGCCAGAGAACAACTCCCCTTTGACTGTAACTTTCCTTTATCTACCCAAACCCTATAAAACGGCCCCACCCTTATCTCCCTTCACTCACTCTCTTTTCGGACTCAGCCCACCTGCACCCAGGTGAAATAAACAGCCATGTTGCTCACCCAAAGCCTGTTTGGTGGTCTCTTCACACGGACGCGAGTGAAAATTATAAATGTTATAGCATTAGAAAGAAAGTGACAGAAAACAACTTTATGCCAATATAATTTTCAAATAATTGAAATCAAAATTCAACTTATCAAAACTGGCAATAAAAAGAAACAGAAAATATGAATAAATAATGTTGTAACTAGTAAAGAAATCAAATTTGTGATGAAAAATCTTCCTATAAGGAAAAATCTTGTTTCAGCTAGCTCCACTAAGGAATTATTTCAATCATTTAAGGTAGAAATAATGCCAAACTTACAATAACTCTGTTTTATGAGGTCAGAATGATCTTCATGTCAAAACTTCTTGAGGATAATGTAAGAAAGGAAATTTATAGGCTAAACTCATTATTGGACTGAAGTAAATCAAAATATTTACCCCCAAATATATTTCTTTGACATATTTTGAGATGGCTGCCAGAGGGACAGCAAAGAGAAGTGTCCCTGAAAAGCTGTCTTTCAGGGGCAGAGGAGATTTGCATCTGTAGAGAATCTGCCTTGATGCAGCCAGGTCTTTCCTTGTCTGAATCTAGGAAACATTAGCAGATTCTGACATCTTTAAAGGTTTAAAGAGAAATATTTGCCATCTATTCTCTCTGATGGCTACTCCCTGGGAGGTTTCATGTACACAACAAGACCACCTTTGCTAACCAAGTCTCCTCCTCTCTCCTTCCCATAACCTGTCTTGCCGCCAAAACCCCATTTACCACCCCCAACCTGTTTGCTGCCATGCTCTGTGCCTGCATTCTTTCTGTAACTTAAAGATGATATATAAAGTTTTGTACCTCATTGCAGGGGTTGCTTTTGGTCTTTATTCTAAAGGCTCCTGTGTCACATAAAACTGGGACCAAATAAATTTGTATTCCTTTTCTCCTATTAATCTGCCTTTTGAGAGTTAATTTTTCAGCAAACCTTCCAAGGGCGAAGGAGAGGCTTTCCCTTCACCTCTACAGGACATGGACATGAAAATCGCTTTTAAAAAATCAAACTGAATCCAGCAATTACCAAAACATTAATTCATAGTAACTAAGTTAATTAACTAAGTAATTAATTCATAGTAACATAGTTATGTCTCTTGGGACATTTGCTAATGTAAGTTGTATTACTGTAGAAATATAAGATTAGATTAACATCAAAATCAATTAGAAATATATATATACTATGACTATTTTAATGAATATGGAGACATATGCAATAATATTCAACATCCATTCACAGTGAAAACCTCCAGAAAACTAGGAATAGAAAGGGTGTGTTACAAAACTTATGGAAAAATAACTATTTTTATGGTATATCATTGTAAGCTTTTCTCCTGAAATGGGGAAGGAAACAAGAAAGGCATTGTCACTATCCCTATTATACATCGTACAATAGATACAGACCAAAGTAGCAGAATTAGGAAAGAAGGGAAAAAATTATCATTATTCATATGTGGCATGATTGTAGTAGAGGCATGTGAACCAGAACAACTCCATCTTGAATAGGAGCCAAGTAATATGAGGCTGAAATCTACTGGGCTGCATTCCCAGACAGTTAAGGCATTCTAAGTTACAAGATGAGATAGGAGGTAGGCACAAGATACAGGTCATAAAGATGTTGCTGATAAAACAGGTTGCAGTAAAGAGGCCAGCTAAATCCTACCAAAACCAAATCCTACCAAAACCAGGACAGCCACAAGAGTGACCTCTTGTCATCCTCACTACCATACTCTTGTCAGTGCCATGACAGTTTACAGATCCAATGGCAACGTCAGGAAGTTACCCTATATGGTCTAAAAAGGGGAGGCATGAATAATCCACCCCTTGTTTAGCATATCACCAAGAAATAACCATAAAAATGGGCAACCAGCAGCCCTCGGGGCTGCTCTGTCTATAGATTAGCCATTATTTTATTCCTTTATTTTCTTAACAAACTTGCTTTCACTTTGCACTGCCAACTAGCCCTGAATTCTTTCTTGTGTGAGACCCAAGAACCCTCTCTTGCGGTCTGGATTGGGACCCCTTTCCTGTAACATATTTCTCTGTCCTGTAACAATTGTGTATGCAGAAAATCCAAAAGGGACTATAACTGAATTATTAAAACTGATAAATTACTTTAATAAAGTTGCTAGATATAAGTATAAATCAGGAATCAATTGCATTTCTCTACATGAGAAACAAGTGGAAATGGAGCATTTCAAATATATTACATTTACGGCATCATCAAAAATATCAAATATTAGTATGACCCCTTTGGAAAACTTCTTGGCAACATATTCCAAAAGAGTAATGCATGGAAACTCTGGACTCAACAATTTCATTCTTAGATATATAGACTACAAAACTCATATGTTCAAAGTAGCACTATTCACAATAGCCTCAAACTGGAAATCTCTCAAATGCCCATCCACAGTAAATGCTTAAAAAATGATGTTTTTACAAGATGTAATATATATAGCAATGAGACTTAAAATATACATAAAATTATGAGTAAATTTTATAAATGTAGTATTGGCTGAAAGAAATTGTTTCAGTAAGTAGCTAGTCAGACATGAACAGGGCAGGAGAGGGCTCCCTACCAACACACACACACAGATATACACACACACACCCACACACCCCAGGACCAGGAATGTCAGGCAGCCATCAGGTGATGGACAGGTGGTGGTGAACTCTCTCTTTAAAATAATAATTGGCCACAGCCAGTGCCAGGGAAAAGCAGTCTCTCAATAAACAGAAACACCTAAAGCTGGTGATCAGCAGCTTCCTGATAAGATCTCAGGAACTGGGCAAATGGGCTCAAGCATGCACACTAAGAGGCAAAATGGCAGAGTTTAACTAGTGTATCGTAATATAGGAACACTGGAATTGTAAGGTAAACACCTCAATGGAGCACGCATACAACTCCAATAAACACACTGAACATGTGACAGCCCACCCCAAGGAAAGAATCAGGAGAGAAGTAATGCAAGACCCCGGAAGCATGCCAACATATAAAACCCCAAGTCAAAAGGTCTAACTGCACACTTGAGCTCTCAAGTCACCTGCTTGGCCCTCTTCCATGTGTATGTTACTTCCTCTCATTCCTGCCCTAAAACCTTTTAATAAACTTTCACTCCTGCTGTAAAACTTGCTTCAGTCATCTCAGCCTGCTTTATGCTCCCTCGGTTGAATTCTTTCTTCTGAGGAGGCAAGAATTGAGGTTCCTGCAGACCCATACGGACTCACCTCCAGTAACAAAATCATCTACAAAACAATTCTTACTGGGTGATTCAAATTATTTAAAGGTCAAAAATAGATTAGAATGGGACAGAAGAGGGGCAGGGATTTTGGGTAATGTGCTATTTCTTGATCTGGTGCTGGTTATAAGAGAACTTTCACTTTTGAAATTTCATTGAACTGTTCACTGATGCTTTATGTGCTCTTGTGATATTATACTCCTATATAATAGTTCTAATAAATAGAACTTAGTATAAAACTTCTCTCAGAAAACTATAAAACATTGATTGGAAAAATAAAAGTTGTAAAGACACCAAAGACACTGGGTCTCCAAAACTAGTATCTATTTGATACAATCTCAATGTTGTAGAAATTAGCAAATGGTTTTAAAATTTGTGTGGCAGTGTAATGGGTCACACACAATAAAGACAATCTTGGAGAACAGAACACGGTTAAAAGTCTTCCTTTACTGAATGTCAAGACTTACAGAGCAATAATAACTAAATACGTAAGGAACTTGGCTTTTGTTTGTTTTTGAGACAGGGTATCACTTCATCACCCAGACCAGAGTATGTGGCATGATCTCGGCTCACTGCAACCTCTGCCTCCTGGACTCAAGCAATCCTCCCACCTCAGCCTTCCTTGTAGCTGGTACTGCAGGTACACACCACTACACCAAGCTAATTTTTGTATTTTCTGTTGAGATGGAGTTTCCCCATGTTTCCCAGGCTGGTTTCAAACTCCTGGGAAGGGATTTGTTTTTAGGTAGACAAATAAATAGACTAGAATACAATAGAGTAGAATAGGAGAGCACAGAAAAATAACCTTGCTGTAACACTGTGGAAGCATGGGAAAAGGATGCCTTATTTGAAAATGTTGCTGAGACAATCAGATATTCATTTAGAAAAATTTTAAATTCATTTTAGATAAATTTTAGAACTAAATGTAAAACACAACCAACAAAATTTATAGAAAATGATACAGAAGAATATTTACATAATCTCACAATATAGAGTCACTTCTTAAACATTGACAGAAAACTAATGATACATAAATATTTTAAATTAGGGTATATTAAAATTCAAACAATAAAAAATAAAATAAAAATTTATTTTCACAAAATGGTTAAAAGGAAAGGCATGAAATGGGAGAAGACATTCTCCACACATATCACTAACAAAGGCAACTTATTTCAATTATGTAGAGAAGTCCTACAAAATAAAAACAAAACTACAGGCAACTCAAAAGAAAAATGGCAAAACACTTGAACATGCATTCCACAAAAGGGATATCCAAAGGGCCAAAGGTTGCTTAATATCCTAATTAGTCACATAAATAAAAATTAAAACAATTGTGAGATATCATTTACTACCCAAGAGAATGACTAAAATAAAAATGTCAAATATTGGTAAGAATATGGAACAAGTGTGAATTTTAGACACTATTTGTAGAAGCATAAATTAAGATAATTTTGGAAAACTATTAAGCATTATCAATTAAATTTGAAAATATTCTCATCCTATGACTCAGCAATTCTAATCTTAAGTATACCCAAAAGACATGTCTTTACATGTACACCAAAGAAATATGGACAACAAATGTGCTTAGCTACAAATTTCATAATAGCAATCCATAAACAGAAGTAACCCAATTTCTGTCAATATTAGAAAGGATAAAGTATAATCAGACAGCGAAATATTATGCAGCAATGAAAAAAGTGAAAAATGGCCACATGTAACAACATGAATGAATCTCATCAACATGATGTTGATGAAAAGACCTTTACCACAAAAAATACGGTAAAATTTTATTTATATAACACTCAAAACAAAACCTAAGAAAAATGTAGTGTTTGAAAATGTGTACTTATGTTAAAATGATAAAGAAATGCAAGGAAATAATAAACAAAAATATCAGGAAGGTTATTACCTTTGACAGAGAGGATAATTAGTGACTGGGGGAAGGTATTAAGATGGAATTAAATCTTTACATTACTACTAAGATATTTTTCACCATTTTAAACAATCCCAGTTAAAGGCATTTTAAGCAGAATGCAGGCTGCCTCATATTGTGCACTCACTGCCTAACTCCAAGATTCCCTTTATAAAGGATACAAAGTGCAGAGCAATAATGCAAGGTGCGGCATCATTGCTCTAATGTTATACAATAAAACAACCTTGCCAGAAAGTCCAGATAAACAAAATAGTCTTTTCTCCCTTGAATATGGATTTAATCTCACAGTTCTATTTTATCATAGTCCTGAAAACTAAAATATTTGTGAGGGCTAAAGTTACTTGGTTAGCAATAGCTCTTTCAATAAGATGGCATTCACCATTTATATTTGTTTTTATTTTCTATCTTAATAAAAACCTTGTGATGTTTCAGTCTAGCAGCCAAATAAATATAAGAGATTTCAGAACGTATGAGGCAAATTTTCGATCTTCCTGACAGTTCTATGTTGTTTCTGGCCACATCCCATATGGACTTAGCTATAAGATATGCTGGGAACTTAAGTAGCAGTTTTGTCCTCGTGACCACTCAACCAGGCTTATGGCTTGTGTATATTTTATTAGGAAAGTTTTAAATACATAGATAACTTGAAAATATTTTACACTTAATATTCAGATACCCACCTACTGTATCATTACCATTTTATTTAATTTGCTGTATCATGTAGCTATCTGCCTGTCCTTCCCTTTATCAACCATCCATCCATCTAATCATGTGATTATCATTGTTTTTAACAGCTCAGATTTATTACAAGGTAAACCTCAATGCAAGCAGCACCTATGTCAAGAAATAAAGTTTTTTCAATAGCACAGTCCCCCCTTCCCATGTTTTCAGTTCTTAAAAAAGGAAATGATCCCAAAGAAAGGCCTTTTTTTTTCCATAAAGGTGAAATTTTAAGAAAATTAGCTTACTTTACCTTCCCTATTTTGTCTTTATTGGTACATTTTTCTGTAAGCTGAGAATGAAGAAAGATAAAATTGCACAAAAAGTTTATGCGATCAACTTTCTCATAGATTTCCTAGTGCGATCTCAAGGACATATTAGAAATTCTTAACACTAAAATTCTAGAAGGTTGAATATTTTTATAATCAACAAATAGACCAGGCTGGGTCAGTAAACAAGTTAGATCTATGTCTCATGGGACATTTGCTAATGTAAGTTTTCTAAATATGGGCAATTTAGAGCTCATATTTGCCATTATCTGGTGAAACAGTCTGCATTGAACCTAATGCAACCTAATGTTTTTTAATGTATGGTTTTCTGAATTCCCCTCAGACATTATAGCAGCAAGCCACACAGTAAAGAAAGCTTTTTTTCTTTTTCTTTTTTTTTTTTTTTTTCTGTGCAGTGATTTCACTTCTCACATTTCTGTTGGAATGAAAATTAGATTCAAGGACAGTTCTGTACCTGTTAACTCTGACAAGGTGTGGAATGCAAAGCTTTCCATGGCTGTAATAAAAAATGTATGCAAAGTTGATTTTTTTCTCTTTTGTCTGAAGGTTTCAAACTGTCTATCCTGGAGTAAAAATATTCTAGTTTTGCAGCATCAGCTACCTTGTCTGTTGATGACCATGTTCTCCAAATGCCAGCTGTAGGGGGAATAGCAGCTCTCTGAGGGCTGCTTATAACTTCAGCACTTGATTTTCCAGGGACTGACAATGCTCATGGCCCTCCTGCTTAATTGTTTGAGCTTCTCTTTGCTCTCCAGATGGCATCCTTTGGAATATTTGAATGAGTATGGCAAAATTATGGAGCTTCTATGAATGAACAGAAGTTAGTCTAAAGCAAAAGAAGGAACAAATGGGCATACTTTTTTGTTTACCTACATAGAAGTATTACTATTTCATTATGTAAAGGGTAGCATAGACAGTTTACATCCAGATTATATTAAAATTCAGATCTTAAGTATTATTTTAACTTTTTGACAAAGTCACATGCAAAATAAGCTTATAGTTCTTTGCATGTGTAAAAAATAATTGTAAGTATGCAGCCAATTCATGTCGCTATGAGTCCTCAAGTGTAAAGTGAAGCCCTGGGTGCTGGTTTACTTAGACCATTTTTGGAATAACTTTTTCAGCCAAAAGTCAAAAGGATAGGTTAGATTTCTATTGTGTAAACAAGATCAGTACACTGAATGAAAATAATGTATTTTTATATACTAGCAGTAAACAATATGAACATGAAGAGAAAATACCCATTTAAAATAGCATACAAGAGAATACAATATTTAGGAATAAATGTAACAGAAGAAATGTGAGACTTGTACACTACACTGAAAGTTATTCAATGTTATTTAAAAAAGTAAATAAAAATATTCTATTCATGTGGATTGGAAGACAATATTGTTATCATGGTGACACTCTGTATTAGTTTTCTTATTGTTGCACTAACAGATTGCCACAACTTTAGTATTTTAAAACACCACCAATTTATTATTTTATAGCCCTGGAGGCCAGAAATGCAGCATAAAATCCACATGTTGGCAGTGATGGTTTCTTCCAGAGTCTTTAAGGAAAATTCCGTTTCTTGCTTCTTTAAGTTTATAGAGGATGTCAGTGTGCCTCAGCCTGTGGTCCCATCACTCCAGTCTCTGCTTCCATCATCACATTGATTTCTCCTAAAGTCTTCTTTCCCCTCTCATATAAGGACACTTATATTTAGTCTCACAAAGGTAATCCAGGAAAATCTTAAGATCTTTAACTTTATCACAGCTAGAAAGGCCCTTTTGCCATGAAAGGTAACATATTCATAGATTCTGGGGATTCAGACATGGACATATTTGAGTGGGGACTTTACTCATTATTGTGTCCTTCAAACTGATCTTCAAAACATATGCATCCCACATCAAAATTCTAATTGCTTTTGTGGCAAAAACTGAAAAGCTGATTACAAAATGTATTAGGAAACTCAAAAAAAAAAGCAACAGAATAACCAAAACAATATTGAAAAGAGCAAAGTTGAAGGACTCACATCTTCTAATATCAAAACTAAAAGCTTCAGTATACACGACACCATAGTGTTGTCATGGATGTATAGATCAACATAACAGAATTAAGACTCCAGAAATAAACTCATATGGTCAACTGAATTTCAACAAGGGTGCCGAGACCATTCAAAGTAGAAAGAGGAATTTTTTTCAACAAATGGGTGGAGATAACTGGATATTCCCATGCAAAGGAATAAAATTGGAATTCCTATCTTAAATGACATTTAAAAATTAGCTCAAAATGGATTTAAAAATCCTACATACAAAAGGGAAATCTATAAAACTCATAGAAGAAAACTTAAATATAAATCTCTGACTCTCGGGAATAGTTTCTGAGACATGACACCAAAAGCATAAGCAACCAAAGAAAAAATAAATTTTACTTTATCACAATGAAAAACTTTCGTGTGTCAAAGGACGCTTTGAGGAAAGTAAAAAGATAAAACCACAGAATGGAAGAAAATATTTGAAAATCATATATCTGATAAGGGTCTAGTATCCAGGAAATATACTCTTAAAAATTAACAATAAAAAGACAAACAACTTAAAAACAGGAAGAGAATTTGAATAGATGTTTCTCCAAAAATATAGAAATGGCCAATAAGCACATGAAAATGTATTTAACACCATTAGTCATTAGGAGCATGCAAATCAGAATCACAATAAGATATCACTGTATAAACATGAGGATGGCTATAGTAATAATTTTTAAAAACATAAGTAAGTGTTGGTGAGACTATGGAGAAATTGGCACCCTCATATATTGCTGGTGAGAGCATAAAATAGTCCAATTGCTATGGAAAACTTTGGCAGTTCCTCAAAAAGTTAAACAGTTACCTGACCCAGCATTCCACTCCTAGTTCTATACCCAAGAAAATTGAAAACATATGTTCACATGATGTTTACAGCAGCGTTATTTATAAGAGCCAAAATCATGAAAACAATTTACATGTTCATTGGCTGTTGAATAAACAAAATGGGATATATGCATACAAATAAATATTATTCATCCATAAAAAGAATTAAATATTAGTACATGCTACAGGATGAATGAACTTTGAAACATTATGCTAAGGGAAGGAAGTCAAAGACAAACGGCTGTAGATTTGTATGATTTCTTTCATATGACATATCCAGAATTGGCAAATCCACACAGATAGAAAGTAAAATAGTGGTTGCCAGGGAGTATAGGTAGGGAGGGACAGTCCTAGAGGTCAGAAATCCAGTATAAAATCAGTATCTTGGCAGAGATGGTTCCTTCTGGAGGCTCCAAGGAGATTCACTTTCTTACCTCTTTAATACTAACGGGCATGAGATCTCTTTTTAAGGTGATAAAAATGTTCTGCAATTAGATAGTGGTGATGATAGCATAGCACAATCTTGTGAATATACTAAAAAATCACTGAATTGTAAAAAATGAAAAGAGTGTATAGTATAGATAAAGGGATAGGGGATCGAGTATAGAGTCTCTTAAATCCAGGAAATAAATACTCTCTCTGTTCTCATTCTTTGAAGAATCTTGACAGGTTTTTGTTTTACTCTGAATAACTTTGAGAAGAAACCAGAGATATTGAAGATTCAGAGGTTAAAAAATTTCAGTGTGTGTTCTAGAGTGTGGTAAATGACATTTTGTATTTTCACTTCTCTTTAACAGGATAAGGAATTGATGTCCCAGATGCTGATTCTGTAGGTGCCCAGGGCACAGTGTTGATATGTGGCAGAAAGAGAAGGGGCATAGAGTGGGTGGGACAGAGTAACCTAGTTATGTTGTATGGGATGAATATTTGTGCCCCTTCAAAATTAATATGTTGAAGTTTTACCCTCAAGATATTGGGAGGTTTTTGGGCAGTAACTGGGTTTAGATGAGGTTGGGACAATGGTGTTCCTGTGATGGAATTCATACCTTTATAAGAAGAGAAAGAGAAACCAGAGACGTGTGTGTGTGTGTGTGTGTGTGTGTGTGTGTGTGTGTGTGTGTGTCTGCCTGCTATGTGTGGACAAAGGGAGAAGGTAGCACACCAGAAAGTAGGCTGTCATCAGAAACCCAATCTCCAGGCATATTGATCTTGGACTTCCTAGCCTACAAAATTAGGAAATAGAAGTGTCTGTTATTTAAGTGACCAAGTGTATGATTTTGTAGTAACAGCCTGAGCTGGCCATTACATTATAGAATGAGATACAAGAGGCAAGTGTGGAATAAAGAAGGTGAGAGAATAGGGAATATATTTGTTTAATAAAACAGGATCCTGATCAGAGAGAGATTTGAAAAGGGGACTGATGTTATACCATTTTAGTTGTTTGATCTTTAATTGAAAATTCTTTCATGAACCACAAACAGATTGTAGATAGACTACAGTAACATTTCTGTTAATAAAATTCTTTGTTTTTTTAAATATTAAGGTACAGTAGAATATATATATGCTTATTAGTTTTTATTCATGTAGGACTTATACAGAGAACATTTTCATTTTATGTATTATAATATAACTATGGGTACACAATTTATAATGTTCTTTAGAAAAATATAAAGCAAAAAAGGAAAAGATCTATTGAATTTTTTGAATTTGAAACAGTTGTTTTATTTTTATGTATTTGTAATGAGCTGGGACCTTCGGAATGGGAGTTCATGATGAATAACAGGTAATGATCAGGTGATTAAGGAGGCAGAAGACAAAAATACAGGGCAGAACAAGAGCCTTGCCAATGGTAAGGGATATAGCCAAGTGTGATAGAGGATGGAGAATTCTTTATGCACACGAGAATAAAGCTCTCTTCCATAATGGGCCATCTAAATCATCACTCTATCAGACACAGTGTCATTTTGTGATTCCTGGGATTCCTGCAGGCACACAGTATTGGACAGGCTATCAAAGAATAGCAGTAACCCAGATGAGTCAACAAACAGAGCAATAGGTCACAGGCTTTTGTAAATAGGTTCCAAATGGAGATAGAGTTGGGCTTATGAGAAGCTGGCTTCTTTCACCAAATATATACTACCTTACCCTCAAGTAGATTCTCGTCTGGTATTCAAGGGGAGCCTTTTTTTTCAGCTTTAGTGCAGAGTGATTCTCCTCTAAAGCACTGTTTAGGAGATTGTCTTAGATTAGTCTTATAAACTCAGCACCAATAGTATCAGTGTGAACTTGGACCAAATGCTTTATCCTCCTATGTCTTCTTTGCTCATCTGTAACACATGAATAACAATGTCTGCTCCAGAAGCAAATATTTGTGAAGATTAAATTGGGTAATATCTATGAAGTGCTTCACACAGTACCTGAAAGAATAAGCACTCATTTCATGATAATATATTTCAAAACTAGCATTTCTTCAATTCTGAGGTCTCATGACCAGAAATCTTATTCTCTTCTCTTTTCTCCAGATGCATTAAACTTAGCTAAGTTCCTCACATTGTTCTCACCAAGCACTTTCATAAATAACTGAAGCCTTTTTCTTGTCCATTAACAGCTGTGATCTCTCGAGCTCTATCAATCCACTTTCTGTATTTCATAATTCTCTGCCTCTGAATTGGCACTAAACATCTCAGTCTTTTTCTTCTTCCGATTTCCTTACATCAAAGTCTGGTCTGTTACTCTTTAGCTTTTATATGTAAGAAGAAATCAAAAGATTTGGGCATTATTCTTTCAAAAGTGCCGGGAAACTAGCCATGGACATGCAAGACCTTCTGTTTTATTTTGGGCAGAAGAAAACTAAAAGCCTAACAGTGATGCTCTGGGCAGTCCTGAGGCAGTCCTGAGGATGATTTCCATACAGGAACTGTGAAGGCCTGACTTCAGTAGTTGTCTGCTCCCACATTCTATCCATGAACAACCATCATTCCTCCAAAACTCTCTGTCTCCCATATTCCAGTAACAGAACAAAAAAATCTACAAACCACCAATGAGCATCTTGCAGTTACATTCAACTATACATTTTGTATTAAACATAAGTACAGGTACTATTTATGTAGCATTTCTTTCCTAGAGGATTTTTCAAACTTTAACGTTTAATCATCACCTGAAGTTGCATATTAAAGATGCAGATTCCTAGTTTATTTAGTCTGAAAAGAATGTCAAGTGACTTTAATATAGGTAGTTCATGTACCATACTTTGAGAAACGCTGCCTAGAAAATGGAGCACATGTGCTCACACTTTAAAGAAGAGAAAAAACTTCAAGGTTGCACTTATATATGGCAGGCAGAATACACAACATAACCAATTTATGTATTTATTTTAAAAAAACCCTTGTTTTATATCTTAAACAGCATTTTACTCTGTATCTTGAGTATTTAGTTTTCATTTAAATAAAGTAAAATAAGCAATCTTTTGGTTAAATCAAGGAATGAAAATGTTACAAGTAGAAGTCAATTCCCTGTGAGCAATGGTAAAAAAATCAGGGTATTATACACTGTTTTTATGAATTACAATCTACTGGCAGCTTTTCACTTATTATTTTTAGGAAATGCTTTGCTTTCACTGAGATTTTTAAGATAAAATTCTTAGAGAATGATTCTCAAGACATCAGACAAAAATATCATTAACCACTCAAACTTCAGGCACTAAGCAAAGTTCACTAAATGGGAAGTTTTCCCCAGGAAGAACCTCATTATAATTTTTTGTGTTGGTGCTTCAAGGAAAAGACTGCTATGTGATAAAATGATTTTGATATCATAGAAGTTCATTAAAATAAGGATTCTATCTGTAATGAGATGGGGGTGCATGACCCATGGAAGTGCTGGAAGCAGGTGCTGAAGAATACATGATGGCAAAGAGGGAAGAACATAAAATCAAAACTGATGATGACCTCATCAACCAGACAAACTGTCTCCTGAAACTGGGAGAACGCAACCATCAGTAAGAATGAGAAAAAGGTAGGACAAACACATAAATGGTAGTTTTATTTTTCTCTCTCACTTTCTCTGTCTCATCTACATGCAAACCAGATGAGAACATATTTTTATCTAAGCAGTTAGTTATTTGTTCAGATTCTCCTTTTAGAGTTTTTTATTTGACCTCGATGCTTTATTGTTTCACTTTTATATATGTTTTTTTTTACTTTAAAATACAGCAGAGACAACTGATAAGCATTCAAGCACATTTCCTGATTTTTCATTTATATACAAAATATTCTTAATCTTCTGCAAACTGGCTTTTATTATCAATTGCTTCTAAAATTCTCCCTAGAGTTATTTAATATTCTTTCTCTGGACAAAATTAATATTTTAATTAGTTTTTTTAAGTTCTGCCATCACATATGTTTCACCTTTATTTCAGAAAGTTGGCCACCTCCTTCCTTCTGAAAAAATTATTTTTAATCTTGGTTTGGTCCTTTTCCTCTTTGATTCACTTAACTTTCTTTTTTTCATTGAAATGTTTTTCTTTTCTCTCTCCGTTGCTTTCTTTCTCATTTCTTGTCTTTCTTTCTTCTTCCAACCATTTCTCCTTTTCTTCCTACTTTCTTTCCATTTTTTATCCTTGTTTTCTTCTTTTTACTCTTTTTAAGTCTCAATAGGAGATTTCTATTCATCCCTTTCCATACCCATAAAAAACTCAATTCATTCACAAGACTTCCAAATATCAATTTTTTACTTTGACTCTTCACTTTGTTTTTTAAGGTATTTCCATTTACATATTCAATCAAAGCCTAAAATGGGTCATATCCAAGTTCATAATGTGTTCATAAAATAATTATAACATGGCATTTTCCCCCATTCTGACCGTGCCATCTCCATTTCCCAGATTTTTACTCTCTGAAGTCTTAATCATCTTTAAATTTGTTCTCATTCTTCCACTCATTATCATGTGCGCTGATTCTTCTTTTTTGAACATGCTTGCTATCTCCGCTACTTTTCCGTGTTTGTATTTGTGACAATATTGCTAATTATCATCAACTCACATCTGGACAATAATATGGCATTTTTCTGGTTTCTTTGTCTATAAGAATAAATAGTAAAGAAACCAAGTCTCATGAGAACACGTAAGGGCAATGGAGACATTGTCAAAAGAAGAGTTAATGAAGGAAAATGATATAACCTTTAACCTCTCTTCCAACTCCGGCATTCCATGATATCTGCCTTTCTTTCTTAGTTTCATTCTTTCACTATATCTATAATGATAGCATTCTCTACCCTTTATTCTTTGAACCCACCAAAATTAAAAAGGAGAAATGTCACAGTATTGTGAAATGGATTGTTGAATTCTGCATTCTCCACATTATCATCAAACCTACTTTTTTTATAAGACAAAACTAGGTTTCTTGCTTACCTAGGCAGGGAGACCACTACCTTAAGAAAGTCTTAGTAGTGTCTCAGAAGGGGAAGAGCAAACTTGGGATACTGAGGATTCTGAAATCTGTTTATGGTGGGTATTCCAATGTAGGAGCTTGGTTTGGATTGAGTAAGAGTCATGAAATAATAGTTTAGGATTTGTAGATAGAGCAAGACAACAATGTTGAGGCAAAAAGTTTTAAGAGGATATAAACTGTTCTTTGATGCTTCCTATTACATAATTTACGGGTGTTTTAAGAAGATTCTTGGAAGAACAATAAATTATTTGCAGCTTTTATCATGTGGGGAAAGCTTTTTGAGATAGTAAAATCATGTTGAACTATTTTCTTAAAGAGTCTCCATTTCTTCATAAAGAAAATTTAAAAACAGTTACATAATGTTTTAAAACATATATAAAACTGTAAAAATAAAATTTTATAGGAAAATTGAGTTCTAAAATCTTTAACTTCCTGGAAACAGGTGCTTCTGTTTTTCTACCAACAGAAGCTTGCATTTTTAGTAGTTTTACTTCATAGAAGAATCACGTACCTAAATCAAAAACACAAGCTCAAATACTTAGATGGGCCAGACCCAAAACATTAATGCACCAAGCTGTAGGTTCCACAGTAGGGGTATGTACTGTGGGAACTAAAAATGTAGAGAACATTTTCCATTTAAAGTCATTTACATCTAAATTAAAGCATTTTAAAACTTGTCCTGGTCAAACAGAATCTATGTCCAGGCCTGTTTCTACCTGCGAACCACCATTTTGCAACCTTTTTCAGTTGAAAGCATTGTGGGAATCTTAACTGTTGTTTGATGTTGGTTATCAAGTTAGAAGAATGCTTACAGGAGTTTCCCGGCATCCATCCAGCTGTTAGTAGCAGATATATGTAGTACCCAAGTATAGACAGAGCCCTGTCTAACCTCATCCATAGTTAAGGAAAAGGTTAAGTTTTCCAAAGCTCTGCAGTGACACAGAAAAACCTTGATGCCAACCCTGGCAGCTCAGAACAAAGTGAGAGGATAAAGAGCTACAAACACACTTGGGCAAAATCACAGTTCTTTTGATTACAGAAGACATTCCTTCTTTAGCAAAGCAAACAAAATTTCACAAGTGCTTTTATTTTTATATATTTTGGTTTGTTTTTCAACACTGAAATGTATTTAAAGCATTTTAAAGCCTGTGGCTTTTTACAAAATCATCATCCTTCACTGTAGGTTTGAAAGAAAAAAAGTAATTAGGGGAAAAAAATGTTGGCAAGCTTCATCAATAGACTGATGAAGTCAGCTATTACTCTCCAGCATGAGTCCTGGCATGACTGCTTAAATGATCATTTGATTCGTGGTATCAATGAGTTTTTAGATCTGGCTCTTTTTGTGTATGCAGCTTTGGGAATTATGTATGACATGTTGATTATATTCTGCAGCAGGAAAGTCTGCAGTGATCTGCTTTGTTCTAGCTCAGTCTCATTGCCATTAGCAAAAAAATCTCTAAGAGCCTTCAAAAGACAGGCTGCCAGCCAAAACACCAAATCAGAATTAAATTGTGGCATAAAAATATAGAAAACCCAATTAAACTGGGATTGTTAGTTGGGGTAATTTGTATGTCATGTTAACACCCTCTTCTCTCTGGTCACTCTATTTGTTTATGAGTGTGGGCTGACCTAGAAAATCATATAGTCCATAGTCCTGTTAAAAGCCTCAGTCACTGGGCTCCATATGGTTTAAAGTGTATGATATTCCACTTTAAATATCCATTTAAACAACCCATTTCAGGACAGCTGAAAAAAATCAGTCCTGCAGGTCCATTTGCCAACCAAGCAGTCTGCATCTTTTAGACTCCACTGCCTTAGCATTTGCCACTGGCTTTCTTGAAATGTGGAGAAAGTAAATGTGTATGTCCTCAGCAAAAACATTTATGGCCATGCAACTAATTAATTGCTATCCATTTCCAACAAAAAGCTAACTCCATTTCTGAAATTTAATCATGCAACAAGGGCTCCCAATATGCCAGCCTTAGAGTGCAGGGAGCAATAGGGCAGTGGGTAAGGGGGTTGGTCGCTGTCATTTTCAGCCAAGCAGTCTATTAAAGATGTATGCATTTTCCGATCTGACTGCTTAAAGAAGACTGCATGATGTCTCCTGAATGATGTACAAAGTAGTAGGAAGATGCACTGCTGATTCATGCTGCCTCCAAAATTGAACTGTCATTGGAGGTCCCTTCATTATCTTCACACTATAGCTCTCCTCACAGTGCTGGCTACCATATCTATAATATGAATTCAACTTAGTCTTTCAAATGTATTACAGTTTATTCTATTGAATTCATTCTTCACTTACATGTGTTTTGGTGATGTAAGGTGTCCATATATCTCAGATAGTTTAGAGGCTGATGGAACCATTTTATCACTGAAAAGAAATACTATTGAGAAGTGATCCAGAAAACCTTGTTCTTCCACTTATAAATAGGCCAGGACAAAAACACATACATAAAGGACAGAAAAATCAAAGAATATAATATTACTTTCTGTTCTTTTTATTTAGTTATACATTTAGATTTTCCTAAGTATTTCTTTTTGACAATAGGCCTGAAACTAATCTATTTTAGACAAAAGTTAGAGTTATGTCATGTAAATTTTGGAAGAGAAGTTAGAGAGCAGCTAACTCACCCATCATTTTATAGATTAGACAATACATTAATGGAAGAAGCAAGCACCAGAATGCCAGGGAAGAACCAGCTGATCCTGACACAGAATATCCTGCTTGGCCATTTTACTGTATCAGACCCTCCCAGATTCCACTGTCATGAAGGCCAAAGAGCTTTGTCTTCTTGATGTGGAGCCTGGTGTCCGGCCCACAGTAGTCTTTCTGAAAATGTCATGAGCTGAATGAACCTAGTTGAACCATGAAGAAAGGAGGAGCCAGGGAGGAAAAGCTCTCAGTTCTAACTATAACAAGAATCTTGAGGTTATAATATGAAAGCAAATTATCAGTTTAATATGTGGTTTGAACTAAAACATCAAATTCCTTTAAAAAACAGAAAGTGCAAATAACCAATATATTTGGATATCTCAAAGTATAATTTGAGAATTATCTTCATCAGAGTTATCTCAGTGCCCCAATTCTAAATTTATTGAAGTAGAACATCAAAGATTGGGGCTCAGGGATTAAATGTGTAACAAGTTTTTATACATGATTCATACTGATTGACATTCACTCTGAAGACTGAAAACCACTTTATTCAGCTATCATGGCTCCAATAGTCCTCCAAAAATTTATAGGGGGAAGCTTCTTTGCTCTTATCTAAATAACTGGATATGTGGTTAGGGATGGTAAAGTGAGCACCTATGTTGATGAAGCCATTTCAACTAGCTAGAGCCAGGAATCTGGTTAAGGAGGGGACAGATAAATAGTGGCCATAATTTATGGCTCCAGAGTTGTCTCCTTGCCTGGGCCTGAAATTCAGGCGAGCCACAAGGAGCTGGGCATAGCAGCAACTCCCATCCATAAGAGTTGTCACCTTTGCTGACATTTCACAAAAAGAGATTTTCTTGATGTTATCAATTAATACTCCCAGAAGGAGCCATTTTGCCCTCTTTTCAGTCAACAATCAATTCATTTCTTATTGCTAGTCAGTTTATATGCAGATTTCAAATTATCCAATTGTCTCTATGTTAAAGGAATAATTTAAAGTCCCAACATAAAAGTCACTATACAAGTAACCCTGTATAAAGTCTATACAAATATGTGGTGTTTTTTTTTAACATTTATAGTATTTATTCATTGCTCATATGTACCTTTCTAATATTATTTTAGGCTTTATTGAGGTATGATTGGCATACAATAAATAGTACACATATTAGCATAAGTTTTTGTGTAAATATACACCCATGAAAACACCACAATCAAATTACTGAACATATCCATCAACTTCCAAAACTTTCCTTATGCCCTTTTGTAATTCCTTGTTTCTCTTCTCTTCTAGACCCACACATTCATCTGTTCATAAGTTTTCTGTCACTACGGATTAGTTTGTATTATCTAGAGTATTGTACAAATGCAGTCATACAGTGTGTACCCTGTACTGTCTGGTGTTTTTCACTCAGCATAGTCATTTTGATTTTAATTCATTATATAGCAATGGTATATTCCTAGTATTCCATAGTATGGATATACCACAATTTTTTTTAACCTTTCATCTATTGATACATTTGGGTTGTTTTCAGTTTGGGGCTATTGCAGATAAAGTTGTTATAGATGTTTATGTACTGTATAAGTCTTTGAGCAGACATATTTTTTTGTGTGGGGTGCGGGTTGATACCTAGCCTGAATCAAATGGTAGGTGTGAGTTTAATTTTACAAAAAAGTGGCTAACTTGTTTTAACAAAGCGATTGTACCACTTTACATTCCAATCAGCAGTGTATGAGCGTTTTAGTTCTTCCATTTCCTCACCATTTGACATGTTTTTCAATTTTAGCAGTTTTAACAGTTGTGTAGTGATATCTTATTGTGGCATTCACTTGCATTTTCTTATTTAGTGATGATGTTGCACATCTTTTCATTTGCTTATTTCTTATCCATATATCTTCTTTGTTGTTGGATCTTTTCAAATCTTTTGCCTATTTATTTTTTGGGTGTCTTATATTTCTGTTACTGAGTTTTGATAGCTTGCTGTGCACTGTGGATAAAATCCTTTATCACAGGCCAGGCGCGGTGGCTCATGCCTGTAATCCCAACACTTTGGGAGGTCAAGGCGGGAGGATCACTTGAGGTCAGACATTCGAGACCAGCCTAGCCAACATAGTGAAACACCATCTTTACTAAAAATACAAAAAATTAGCCGGGTGTGGTGGCGGGTGCCTGTAATCCCAGCTACTTGGGAGCCTGAGGCAGGAGAAATCGCTTGAACCCAGGAGGCAGAGGTTGCAGTGAGCCAAGATTGCGCCACTACACTCCAGCCTGGCAACAGAGCAAGACTCTGCCTCAAAAAAAAAAAAAAAAATCCTTTGTCACATATATGCTTTGCAAATGATTTCTTGTATACTGTGCATGTCTTGTCTTCATTGTCCTACCAGTATTTTTTGAAGAGCAAAATTTTAATATCAATCTAGTTCTATTTATCAATATTTTCCTTTTTAAATCATGCTTTTGATCTCTTGTACAACCAAGGGTCTATTCCCTAACCAAGGGTCACAAAGATTTCTATGTTTTCCCCTATACATTTTATAGTTTTAGCTTTATATCTATGTCTATGGTCTTTTTTTTTTTTTTTTTGTATATTGTATGAGGTATAGATCAAAGGCCAAATGACTTAGGAGTACAGTCTCAAGCCCACATTCTCTGGGCAGGATTTGTGGTATTGTTATCTGTGAAAGACATTAACAAAAATACAAAATCCTATAGGTAAGTGGAAGAGGTTGAATTCAAACAACCACCCTGGAATTTCTGAAGACAGGAACACAGGCTGACAGCGGCATAAGGCCTTTCAAGTTACAGTATCTTTGTGTCTTTTTATTTCTACTGAAAAGAAGATTTTCTACATTGCTCTCACCCTGATCCCAAAGGGACTATTTGGAAAAGACTGAGAACAGTGGTTGGAAAGAATTGTGCATAGAATTGCGCCCTGATACCCACTATTAAACACATACTCCTTCCTCTACACTCTTGAAACAAGCAGCTTCCTGTTCTTGCCTCCCGTATTTCACCTCCTTAGTCTGCTAACCCATACTCTGAAAAATCATGGGAAAAAAAAGAGGGTGCTCAGGTCCATGGCATAAGTATAAGAACCTGTAGCCCCTTGATGTGAGCAAAGGGATGGTGTGAAATATTAATAGTTCCTACTACAAGTATGAAAACATTAACTTGGCAATATATAAATTATGTCTGAAAATATTTTAAAATATTTAACTTTGTGCAAGTATTCCAATGCAGTTTCTACACATAAATATTCAGCCAAAATAGCATTTTCATTAACAAGATTGATGGCTAATAGGAAAATGCTCATACCATATAGTTAAATAACAAATTTAGGTTACATAAAAACACAGAGTTATGGGTTGGCTTTGTAAAAAAAAAAAAAATCTATGCATATTAAAGGACTGAAAATATATACATAGAAATGGTTTTAAAAATTGTATTTAGGTTGTATGAACTTGATTTAAACTTTTTAAATTTTTTTTTATTTTGAGATTACATTCCCAAAAAGTTATAATAAATGATATGAAGAGGCCCCATGTACTCTAAACAATTCCTCCCAATGATAACATCTTGCAAAACTATAGTGCAATATCACAATCAGGATATTGACATTAATACAATCGAGACACAGAACATTTTCATTACTATGAGGATCCCTTTCACTGCCCTTTCATGGCCATATCCATCTCTTCTTCCCTTCTCGCTCTGTCTCTCCTCCCTGCAAAGCACTAATTTGTTTTTCATTTCTATAATTTTGTCATTTCAATAATGTTGTATGAATGGACTTATGCAGTAAGTAACCCTTAAGGATTGGCTTTTTTTTTTCCCCAGTCAGCATAATTCCCTGGAGTTTCATCAAATTGTATGTATCAATACTTCAGGAATTCCAGTATTTTTTAATGTACTTTTTGTGTTTCCTGTTTTTTAAAAAACTGTATTTTAATAACATTTTATAAACATATGAAGTAACTAAGTCTTATATCCATATCAGAAAAAGATTGGCAATTATTAATATACAGCCAGAGGTTTGTGAATACTTGCTAAGGAGAAAATTTTCTTTAATAAAATTTATAATACTCATATCACCACAGTAGCGATAGTGTGGGTTAGTGACCATGATGTGAAACACTGAATGCTAAAACAATATCCATTAAAACATTACATTCTACACTGGAGAGATTCAACTTTATCATTTGTTATTTGAATGGCTCAGCTCACTGTAGGCCCTTCTTAGAATTCCAAAGGGTGTGTTTCAGGACAGAAAGCTTTATGCATCATTATTTCATACCCCTCTGCGTCTTCACATGTTTGAGTCTGTAAAATAATTCTGTTCTGAGATACTGAAGATGAACTCTTGAAGTTGAACAAAAGGATTCATTTGTCTCACTAGAAATTCATACTCGTTATAAAATAGAAATCCGGCTTCCCCTCAGTAATAGAGCAACCATGAATCATAGTGTCACGCTGGCTCAATCATAATCTAACACTTCATGCCTCAGACAACAACTTGATTTGTCAAGAGACTATCCCTGTGAGGGCTGCCAATAGTATTGATGCCCATTGAAGGGGATATAATTAAGCCCTTGGTGAGCTAATTTCATTTTCTTTTTTTTTTAACAACTTGGGGTGCATAAGTGCAGAATAGGAAATAGAGGGTGCTAAGAAATCTTTCTCTGCCAATATTCAGAGCAAGTGTTTCTCACCTTTTTTTTTTTTTAATCAATAAAGGATGTTTTGAGACATTCAAAACAGTCTTCTGTCAAATACTCAACAGGTACATGTTCCTACCCAGTAAACACCATCAGGTTTTCTCCATGTATAACATTTTCTTCCAAATTAACTGCAGTAAAGCCCAGTGTTTCATGTTTTTTATCTGCTTCTATTATGGCTTGAGGACAGAGGAATTGATTTGGATTCACTCTACTACTTGCTGTGAGCGGTTTGGAGTAAAGGTATTCGTCAATTTGGATAATTTCTTAGAAGCTTGTTATTTGCTTGGGAATACATCCTTTACTCCACAGTTGAAAGTATAAGGAACTAAGTTAACTACTTACAATTATTATTTAAGTTAAAATAAGAATTTTATGCTGAGACTGGGAAGTAGCAGCTTAAAAGTTATCTTAATCATTCCCGTATTAGGATAAATTCTGAAGTTGCATGAGGCGAGCGTCCTATTAAGGCAACAAAAAAATCTCTATACCCAAAAAGTCCCTCCCCCTTTGACCTTTACTTGTCTTCCATGAGGAAACATAACTCCTTCCAAAATACAGAGAAATAAATGTATTCTGCACATGTTACATGCTTTGATCAAAACCATTAAATTCATTGGGGGATTTAAAGGGCAGGAAAGATCATTTTATAGGATTTCTGCCCCAAACTGATATCCAACTAGTTAAGCATATTTAGTTTTTCTCACCTCTCCGAATTCCTGGGCCCGTTCTTGGTGATGATACACACAAACTGCACATCATGACAGATCCTGCATTCAGAGTAGGATGGACAGCTGCCCTCACTTAAAACGCTGGCTTGTGCGGTGGGCAAAATTAGATTGCTTAGCAACTTGGAGCAGAAGGACGATTGTTAAAATGTGTTTTAAATTTGCCATCTCATGGACAGGGCCTATCCGGGTGGCTGCTTTGCCTCTGGAATACATCTCCAGGTTCCAGAGTCTCCAGCAATATAATGGCAGAGTCAGGGTTGATAAGTAGAGCTAACCAAATCTCGGTTTCTTTATGAGAAACAACCACAAACAGGATAAATTTAGTCTACAGATTCTCGCTTTCCCTTTATGACTACTTTATTCTCTGTTCTCTCTGATTCCCCAAACACTCAGATTCCTGGAGCTTTCAAGCTATGGGTTTCTCTCATTCCAAGAAGAAATGTTATCTCATAATCCACTAACAGTTATATTCATGTGTTTGATATGTTTTGTCCTAGTATTGTTAGAATATTCAAAAGGAACAAATGGGGAAAAATAAAATGAAAATGAACTGACACGTGATGCTAGATGTGGGAGGCTTCAGAGGCACTGGATCATTTCAAAACTTCCTGTCTGAGATTATATGGGCAGCTCTCTATTTCTCTCATGCATGAGGTCAGCTGAAATGTTCTAGCTTGCTTACACTGTTTTATGTAAAAGCTGTCAAGATTTGGGAAGACAGGACTCTAATTTAGAGATTTCTATGGCTTGGATGTTTGGCTCTTCCAAACCTCATGTTGAAGTTTGATCCCTAATTTTGAAGGTGGGGCCTAATGGCAGGTGTTTAGGCCATGGGGGCAAATTTCTCATGAATAGACAATACCCTCCCTTGGGAGTGAATGAGCTCTCACTCTACTAGTTCCCACAAGAGCTTCTTGTTAAAAAGAGCCTAAAACCTCCCCTGTCTCTATTGTTTCTTCTTTCACCATGTGACCTCTGCATACCTTGGCTTGTCTTTGCCTTTGACCATGAGTGGAAGCAGCCTGTGGCCCTCCCCAGATGCCCAATCTTCCAGCCAGCAGAATCATGAGCCAAATAAACTCTTTTTATTAATTTCCCATCCCCAGGTATTCCTTTACTGCAATAACAACAACAAACTGACTAAGACAGAGATGAAATTAAGTTAGTAGCTTTTTACATCCTCATTCCAGAATGCTTCAATGAACTGCAGATCCTTTCGGTTACAAGTAACAGAATATCAGACTAAGAGTGGTTTAAACAGATAGTGGTTTGTTTCTCTCACATAAGAAGGAAACCAGAGGCAGTCGCTGACATTGTTTAAGCAGCTTGAATCACATGACCTTTCACTGCTATTTTTTTATAACCTCAGCATTTTTTGTATGTTTTGTCAAAGCCCAATCCCTGAGGCTTATATATTACCTCAAAAATTTGCCACATTTTTCTATTTGTGGATATTTCCCTGTATCAGTAAGAAACTAATTAATAATTCTAAATTGTCTCCCTAAGGGAGGAACAAGGTAAATAGAAAGGAGAAACAGAGAAACAGTGGCTAATTGTGATGCATAAACTGAATGTGGACTGCCTTGCATAGCAGCTGAACTCCTGGGCCAGTGTTTATGGCCAAGAATGAGTTAATGGAGTCCAGAACCCCAATGCTTCAGTAGGTATATCCTCAACAGGGTACTTTTATTATCCTAGTCCAGTGGTCCCTTTTAGCCACTCTTATTCAGCCAAGTAAAGAATCACATATGTATGGCCAGGCACAGTGACTCACACCTGTAATCCCAGCACTTTGGGAGGCTGAGGCGGGCAGATCATGAGGTCAGGAGATCGAGACCATCCTGGCTAACATGGTGAAACCCCGTCTCTACTAAAAATACAAAAACAAAATTAGCCAGGCGTGGTGACAGATGCCTGTAGTCCCAGCTACTTGGGAAGCTGAGGCGGGAGAGAACCCAGGAGGTGGAGCTTGCAGTAAGCTGAGATTGCGGCCCCGCACTCCACCCTGGGCAACAGAGCGAGACTCCAGCTTAAAAAAAAAAAAATCACATAAGTATTGGCTCATCCCTTAGACTTTCCTTGATCTTTCCTTGCAGTAACCAACATTTTATAAGATACCACACCTGAGAACTATTCCCAAGTGTGAAATTCTGAGCCTTCAAAATGAAAACACATCTGCTATTCAGGAAATGTATCCAGATTGACCTTCTTGGAAGGTACCTGCTTTTTGGGCAATTCCTGCTATTGGCTTAGATGGGCACTTCTCCATTTTCTGCCTTTCTCAAGCTTGCCACACTTGGAATGTTTCACTTGTTTGTGATCCCAGTATGAGACGTCTCTTCCCTGCAAACTTACTCATTCCTCTCTGTACTAGGTTTCCATGGATTTTCAAACTGCATGTAATTCTTATGCTTTAAAAAGCATTTCCATGAAGCTCACCCCAGCTCTGCCACACTTCTTGATACTTTGAGTCTCCATGTCTTTAAACGATGGTTTTATCAAAGATGCCCCTCTTCTTCTCATCCAACTTTGTATGTACTCTTACATTCTCATTAATTTACTTTGTTCCATCTAACCACTGACTTAATTTTGGTCCATTTCTTTCAAATTTGTACCTTCAACCAACATATTCTTCTGATTTGGAAAATGTTGTCTATAATTGCCTTCTCTATATATCAACCAAAAATTTATCGGCATCTTCTTTTTTAAATTTGCAAACTAGCTGATGGCAAATGATCACATAAAAATATGTTCATCACTATTAGCTAGTAGGTAAATGCAAATTACAACCAGAATGAGGTATCGCTACATACCCATCAGAATGGCTAAGGTAAAAAAAGAAAAAAAAAATACTGGTAAGAATGTAGAAAAACTGGATTACTCACAGAATGCTGGTGGGAATGTAAAATGGTACAACAATCCTGGCAAACAGTTACACATGTTAAAACATGTCACTATCATAAGACCCAGATTGGACTCTCAGGCATTTATTCCAGAAAAATGAAAAATTATGTTCAAACAAAACCTACACATGAATGTTCAAATAGCTTTATTCATAATAGCCCCAAACTAGAAACAACCCAGATGACCTTTAACAGGTGAATGGTTAAACAAACTGTGATACACACATACCATGTTGCTATAGTCTGAATAATTGTGTCCCTCCAAAATTCGTATGTTGAATTCATATGTCAAGTCCTCATGAATGAGATTAGTGCCCATATTTAAAAGGCCAGAGGGGGCTGTCACCTCTTTCACCATTTGAGGACACAGGAAAAGGTGACAAAGTGGGCACACACCAGACAATAAATCTGTTGGCACCTTGATTTTGGACTTCCCAGACTCCAAAACTGTAAGAAATTCATTTTTGTTGTCTATAAGCCACTCCGTTTATGGTATTGTGTTATAGCAGTTCCAACAGACTAAGACACATGTACTAATACTCAGCAATTAAAAAAAGAATAAGCTGTTAATATACACAAAAAGTTGGGCAAATCATCAGGAAATTATGCTAAATGAAAAATGACAATCTAAATGGATGCATACTGTATGACTCCATTTATATAACACTCTTGAAATGATAAAATTTTAGAAATGGAGAAAATACTGGTGGTTCCCAGGAGTTAAGATTTCTGTGGGTTGGGGAGAAAGAAGTGGGTGTGAGTTAATAAAATGGACAGATGAGGGATCACTGTGGTGATGGAAATGTTCTGCATCTTGACTCTATTGATCCTGGTTTTGGTATTGTACTATACTTTTGTGAGACATAACCACTAGGAAAAACTGGGTAAACGGTATAGGGTGTCTCTTCAAATTATTACTTACAACTGCATGCAAATCTATAATTATTTCAAAATAAAAAGTTTAATTAAATTAGAATCACATTTGTTTAGGATGGTATAAAATAAGTAAATTAGAAGATCAAAGTAAAAATAAACAAATAGAATTAGAAAATTGTCCATAAAATTACGTAGCATATTATAATTGTGTATTTTCTTCAACATCATTAAAATTTTTTACTATTTTTTAAAAGATAATGTTCTCTACTTTGATATAACTAAATTTGCATTACTTTTTCATATTTCCAGAATTAATTCTGTTTGCAATTTCTTTGGGAGAAACCACCTCTTGAACCATAACGCAAAAAACAAAAACAACGGTCTTAGAAAAATTTCTAAAAGTCATTTCAAATACTTCCAATATGTCCGATATTGTACAGATAGCATTTGATTAATATTTTAACCAACCTCTTACATCTCAGATAGTATGCTTTCAAAAATATTGGTTTCATTGAGTATAAAAAATAGTTATAATTTGGAAAGGAAGAAAGCCATTGATAGACTAGTAGAAAGAGCTAAGAATTAAGTAACAAGAAGTCAATGAAAGTGGGAAAGCAGAATAACTGGGAAAAATTACCATGAAGTGCATGGAAGAGACTGTATTGCATGTAACATAATTTTTTTGAAAAGTATCCTCCATTTAACTAACTCTCTCTTCATCTGTATTTACACTTTCCTTAAAACTACCCATTTGGTTTATTTTTAAATTATTTTAACCAAAAATATTACCGAATTATATCATACATACAGAAAAGCATACAAATTATAAGTGAAAAGCCCAAAGTATTTTTACTAGATGAGTCAAGCCATGTAACCACCACAACCCATATGAAGAAATACAATGTTAAAAAAAAAAAAACCACATAAGCTTTTATCTCAGTCACAAACTATTCCTTCTCAAAAGAAACCAACATTCTAAGCTCTATAACCATAGACTTATTGTTCCTGCTTTTGTACTTATATAAATAGAATTCTAAAGTATAGACAAAAATAAAATACAATTATCTTTCACACAATCTATCTCCCTTCTTAAGTGTTTTCTATCTTGGCTTCCTAAATCAGAACCCCTAAATTTCTTTGTCCCTCTCCTCATTGCCTTATTTCATCAACTATCTAGCTCTGGAAGCAGTCAGCTAAACATTTTTTAAATTTTTTCTTGACACTTTGTTGCTGTTAGCACTAATTTAGGAGGTCATTAATTTTTTTTTAATCAATCAATGAGCACTCAAACTGTCTCCCTGCCCTCAGTATTACTCTCTCTGCTTTAATCTCTTCTCCCTGCTGCTTCCAATATGACCTTTCTAAAATACAAGCTGCTCAGCTACTCATTCACTTTAAAGCAATTCATATCTTGCTTCACCTTCAGGAAAAACAAATCCAATCATTTTAGCTTGTAAGCAAATCCCTTGATGACTCAGATCTAGAAGTTCCCATCTTCATTCTGCTTACAAATCCCAGCATGCACTGTACTCCAGCCATGTGGTATAACGTACAGTCTTCTAAATATAAATACTCTTTCACTCACTTTTAAGTCTTGGCATATGCTCTGTTTTCTTCCCAGGTTGCTTTTCTACCTCTTTGTCTGTCAAGTAAAGAGCTTATTCGACCATTAAAACTCAGTTATAGCGTCCTCACAATCCCCTCTCTCACTCCCAGAGACAATAGCTGCATGTGATACTTGCTCCAGTATAATCCTTACATACTTCTACGTAACATTTCTAACATAATGTGCAATTATTTATTGGCATGGCTCTCTGCTCCATAAACTGAGTCATCTTTTTATTATTTTCTACATTCTTCATGTATAGAATAGTATACATACATAGAATAGTTGTTATATTTGAATGAACAGTAATAAAATCATGAATAAAATAAACAACAAATAGAAGTGCAATAATATTCTGTAAAAGCATCAAGGAAGGAAGAGATATGTCTTCCACAAATAAGGCCTTTAAACTCAGTCTTAAAGAATGGGTTGAATTTAGGCAGGCTGAAAATGAGACAGAAATTGATCCCTCATTACTCACAAGCAGGAACATTCTTTGGGAAACGTGCACCTGGGGAATTCCAAACATCACTTAGGAAGAGCACTTCTTCAGACTATTTCAGACAATAAAACCTCTTCTTTCTACCAAAGACACTCACTACCGGGTTCAAACTCAGGCCCTGGCTCCTGGATGTACTTTGACAATGGGAAATCATAAAACAAGCATTGGCTCACGCTTTGAACAGTCCTAGATTCAAATCCTCTGCTTGCAGTATTTGTTATTGATCAGTCCTAAGTCTCCTTTATATCCTTTGTATAAAAGGAATAACATGCTCATTTTTAAGTAGGTTAACGTGAGAGTCAAATGAAATAATGTTTACTAAAGTGCCTGACACAATATTTGGCAAATAGTGCCCTGGAAATTTTAATTCCCTTTTCTGTTTCCCCAATACACACTTGTCGTATTTTCCTTTTTATACACTCACTATATATTGCAGGAGGTGGAACACTATGTGCATTAGCTGTGTAGTGTACTAGGTGGCAGAAACCATAATACCATGTAGGGCTGAGCATAAACAGTAAATCCTGCCATGTGTGCTGTGTTCTACTGACCTCTGTGATTCTCTGGAGGCCCACTGTGGCCTGGATTGCTGACACAGGCATGAAGAAACTATGCTGCTTTTTCAAAACAGCTAGCTCATGTCACCTGATTTTGCACAGATTCAGAGCACCACACACATTCCATCTGATTTGTGCTTAGAAGAGATAAAGAGAAAGAAATGCCTAAAAACAAAACCCACATGCTAAATCAGCTAGTTTTGAAGCTCCACTCAAGGTTGCACATAAATAAATCTGTTCTTGGTCTCTATTTCTGTCATTCAGCAACACTGTGTAAGCATTTAGTATAGACACATCTATATCTGATGCTGTGAGGGTGAGGGACCCATAGAAGCAATGAAATTTCTATCACTCAGCTGATCATTGCATCTCCTGCTGCTTGAAAAGTAAATTAGTTTATCCAGTACTTATTTTCCTCTGTATGATACCACATGAATTCATTTATTTGACAAATACTATTTAAGCATCTACTATGTGCTAGGAACAGAGTTACATGCTAGAGATTCTGTGGGAGACAGCATAGAAAAGGCATGTGGTTACAAAGCTAAATGTCTAGCAAGACAATTAACAACCAACTTAAGCAATTCTCTTGTTCACAGAACTAGTATGATGTGCAGAGGGACAGAGAAAGCATAATTATTTAGCAAAATATATATTGATCACTAGGCAGTAAAAATGAGTCAGAATATATAGAAAATGGGAAAAGATTAATTGACATTGATTTACTATAGATGCAGAGGCAGGTTCTGAAGGAATTCTCAGTGGATGATTTGGGTCATGAGTTATTATGGATAAGAGTATTGGGAGCAGATGGAGAGGTCAGAGCTAGAGTGATATATCAAAGAAATAAGACAGAGACAACCTGTATTGTTTTCTATTGCACGTAACAAATTATCACAAACCTGAGAAGGATTTATCTGGCTCCACTTCTCAGAGTATCACAAAGCTGCAATCAAGGTGTCAGCTGGCTGCATCCTCATCTGAGGGCTCAGTTCGTGGCTGTTGCAGAACTCATGCATACTGTGTCTTCACAGCTTACAAGGGAGTCTAACACTTCACTGCTTTTAAGGAGCTCACCTCACTGGGTCAGCCTCCCTGAGGATAATCTCTTTTTTGACTAACTCAAAGTCAACTGATTGGTAATCTAATCACCGGACTGACATGCTGTCCTGTGTACTAGCTGCAACGGAACACACTGTACAGAGCAAGGACACTAGGGGACAGGAATCTTGGAGGCCACATTAGGGTTTTTCTCCAGGTCAAACAGGCAGCTGCCAATTAACGGTTCCACTGATGACAAAAGGTTCCACGGTTAGCTGTCTTTATCCTACATGTCCCTGTGTGGAGGAGACCTGCAGTGCATGAGAGTTAGACTCCAGAATTGAACCACTTGAGTTCAAATCCTGCCTCCACTTCTTCATAGCTGTGTGATCTCAGGTACAATACTTAACATCTCTAATGCAGGAATGATGAGTTAACTCAAAAAGATTTTGATTTCATCCTCTGTAGATATTATCTATTATGATAATTTAAAATCTAATCACAAATTTTCAATAGTACAAATGTAATCATTTAGTATATTTAATTTCATAATAAATTTCTTTTTTTTTTTTTTTTTTTGAGATGGAGTCTCACTCTGTCGCCCAGGCTGGAGTGCAGTGGCACAACCTAGGCTCACTGCAAGCTCTGTCTCCTGGGTTCACGCCGTTCTACCGCCTCAGCCTCCCGAGTAGCTGGGACTACAGGCGCCCGCCACCGCGCCCGGCTAATTTTTTGTATTTTTAGTAGAGACAGGGTTTCACCATTCACAGGATGGTTTCGATCTCCTGACCTCGTGATCTGCCTGCCTCGGCCTCCCAAAATGCTGGGATTACAGGCGTAAGCCACTGTGCCCGGCCAATAAATTTCTTAAGATTATGGTTGTGATTCTTTCTCCTTGAAAATTAAGTAAAGGTCATCAACTACCAACTTGCATATTAATAGAAAATATTGTGATTAGAGTGAAAATCTTATTCTGAAGACCGCACAGTATTTATTCTGAAGACCACACAGTATTTTAATGTATTACTCACAAAAAATACTCTGGTTTGTTGAATTAGGTAAAACAATTGAGCTAATAAGTATTAGACCCCTGCTTCCAATGAGCAGGTCTTCAGAGTAACTAAGGCAATGAAAAGAGCCTTTGCTTGTTACACAAAATCTTGGAGGCACAAGGCAATGAAGAATATATTCCCTACTTTTGATGTCTGTGGAGAGGAACAACTGAATCCTTGTTAAAAGTTAGTGCTACCTGAGTGGATATCTTTCTAGTTAGAAATATATACTTGAGCCTGGCTTACTTCTTTGTCATCCCATTAATAACATTGATAACCTCTAGGAGACACAATCTTCACATCCATCAAGAACCACAGAACTTCAAAGAAGGTAACCTGGACTGTGAATGTGTCCTGCCTTGGAAACCAGGGTGGTACAGTGGGCAGACCTACAACTGGTACCACTGCCTTCTTGTTTATCCAGACCATCCAAAACATTTCCTTTTCCAAGAGTCTAAATTGAAATGCTCAGTAGCATGAGTCTCCATGAGAATGTTATGCATAATTCAGCTAGGCCATTATAAGCTAACATAGGAACCCATGGAAACTAACATAGCAGTGGTTTTCATATTGTATTAAAGTGAGTAGGTCTAAAGCATTGGTTCTCAACCTTTGTTTCTCAAACATAGAGCCCGGGGTGGTGGGGCTGACATTAGGTATAAGGCAGGTGATCTTGAAACCATACTTTGAGAAAATCTATTCTGACAAATAGCAGGAACATTGGGTGGCTGTAAATTATCTAGGGAAAGGCCATCCAGGCATAGACTACAATAATGTCGGGAGTGAGATAAGGTGAGGTGGATGCTTTTTATTTTTTTATTTTTATTTTTCGGTGTTTATTAGCTCAGTTTCTCCTTTTGAGGCAAAAACTTTGTGTCACCCAGAAGAGATATTTAGCAGAAAGATTTTTCCCCTCAAACTCTTTCAGCTCTGAGAGCTTGCATTTTATCATTTAGACATAGAACATGAGAGAATTCTATAATACAAGGTAACAACATAATGCAACTAAATGACATGATAACAACTCCCCTAACATACATTTTTAGGATTACTTATATCTATGCTCAGTTGGCGGAAAAAAGTCACTCAACTCACACAGAGATTTCTCAGCTTACAAAATGGCAACAGACCTGAGCAAACTAAAAATGCTTAAGAAATATTTCTAATCACAAAAATAAGAAATTAGCTTATTTTGAAATATAAGTATTTATACTCATCAACTAGCATAGAGTTAAATAGGGTGTTAGTTATTCTTATTATTTTCTTCAGCAGGAAAATTTTTACCTTGAAAAGACCTTGAGAAGATCGGAAAATTTACAATGGAGAAAAAAATAAAAGTAGGACCTAATTAACTTAGCTTCTTTCCTTTCGTGACAAGCTCTGTGAGGGCTCCAGGATATGCACTCCCACTCCTTAAGTATAAGTTTGATTTTTACCCTCCCACAAGAAGGCTGTTTTCTCCTAGCAGATAGGGCCTCTCTGCTTCTCAGAGGCCTGGCTATTATGACATCTGATGCAAGCCAGGCCAGGTTGCAATCACAGAACCACCAGTGGACCTTTTGTCTGCCTTTCCAGGAGCAGAGCAGTCCCTTTTGGAGCTGCTGGAATTCCCCCATTTGGCAGTGCCATGAGTGAAGAAGCGTGTTGAGAAGAGAGTCTAGGGGTTCTAGTTCTAGAGTCAGAGGTGGCACTGCTGAGCAACTTTAACCTAGTTAGATAACCTCCCTACACTTCACTTTTTTCAACTGGAATTAAAGCAGTTAGATGAGAACTAAACATGCTTCCATATCTGGCCTTTCATTATTCTGTCATTTAAAGCTCAAGTTTAAATGTGGAAAATCAGAATAATCATGAATCAGGAAATCCAAAGTCTTAGAATATATCCCAAAATTCTTATGTAATCTTGTCTCTGCATGCCCAGGCCTTGACATTCTCCTCCTTGTTCAATGTACTCTGCATAGTCTGTTTTTCCCCAACACAGTCTTTGCCTTTGCTGCCTCTTCCTTCTGTGAGATTTTTGCACAGTCCTCAGCCTGGCTAGCCTTCCCATCTCAACACAAATGCTACTCTGTCAGGAATGCTTTTCCTGACTCTCTCAGTCTAATAAGGTTCCTAATAAATACTTCTTTCTGTAACATTTTATTATTTTCTTTACACCATCATTGATGTTTGTTATTTATATCTAACAGTTTTATTTGTTAGACGTCTTTTTCTTCCGGAAGACCGTAGGCTCCCTCAGGACAGGGATAGTGCCCACTAGTTCAGTACTGAGTCTCTCACTCAGTGCCCAAAACATAGTGAGCCATTTCAAATAGATGACAAATGAATGAATGAATGAATGAATGAATCAGTCAATTTCTGCAATTTCTTCCCCACTCCAACATAGGAAACAGAATGTCCCTGTTCCCATTAATGAATGAGATATATATCTAGGTGTCTTTCATCTCTGCCCTAATGTGTTATCTGGAACCTCACCTCCTTTGAAGACTTTCTTATCATCTGTATCCCTCCATCCAGGCCTCTACTCTCTGTAATTTATGTATACCAGGTTTCCCTTCCTCTTTTAACCCCTAGAGATTATTAAAGGAGATGTGTCTGTTCTATGCCTTGCTTATATATTCCATGAACAAATAATATTCCCTGAAGTATTAGCTATTAGTGCTGTAACAAATTATCACAAACTTGGTGGCTTAAACAACATAAAATTATCATTTTGTAGTTCCAGAGGTCAGGAGTCTAAAAGGTATTTCCATGGGCTAAAATTGTGTTCCTTCTGGAGGCTCTAGGGGAGAATCTGTTTCCTTGCCCCTTTCCAGCTTCTAGAGGCTGCCCACATTCCTTAGCTCATGGCCCTCTTCCTCCAACTTTACAGCCAGCAGAGTCAGGTTGAGCCCTTCCTACCTCAAATCATTCTGACTTCCACTGTTGTAGTTATAGTAAGGTAACCTTCATAGATTCCGGGGATTAGAACATGGGCTTCTTTTTCTGAGGGGTTGTGGGACATTATTCTATATGCCATGGGTAGTACATTTCCAATTTACTCTATATTTAATGTCTACATTTAATACGTCTTTTCGAACACTTATTATAATGTTATATGACAAGAATTATATACCGTAGTGTAGCCATGTTTGTTACATTTGTGAAAGTCTATTATTCCTAATGAATATCAAGAATATAGTGAAAATTCATATTTGATCTTATTTATCTTCACAGCAACCCTGCTAGAAAGCTTTACAGACAAGCAGCAGCGATTCAGAGATCTTCTACAGCTTACCTAATGTCTGACACCTAATAAAGGGTGGAACCAGGATAGAAAACAATTTGGCACAATAATCAAGCTCTTTCCACTGCTCCAAATATCCAACCATCTTTATGTGGTTCCCTTTTGTTAATTTCATCATGTGAAACCGCTGCAGCTTCCAGGTGGCAGAAACTCTCCGCTCAGCAGATTGGGTCCTAATTAAGGCCTATTGTGTGTTGACACTCTTCCTCTGCAGACTGAGATAAAGGCCTCAGACAGTTTCAAAACCTGTCCATACATGGGAAAATGGGTCTTTCTCACAGCAGAAGAAATCTTGTATCTTTGCAAAAATTATTTTATTGGGGTGACACCAGGATGAAGGGAAGACAGAATATAGAAAATACAATGCAATTTTAGTAGAGCATTAGGTTTAGTTAGGAAGAAAAGCATTCCCCCACTTCCCCTGAAATAAGACAGCTCCACACTATAGCATATGGGGTGGTTAGCTGAATACGAAGGTGAGCTTACTCAAGGTGAGGACTGTAGAATCTAGTTATAAATGATATCTCTGAGGTCTCAGAAATCACTGGGGAACATCAGTCTTCTTAAACTGATGGAGTACCTGCTACACTAAGGCGGTATCTGGCATCTCACCCTTTATATTAAAGCCAGAGATGAATTAACTTCAAATATGAAGTTTTCCAAAATTATACATCCTTCTAGCTATTTCCCCAAGCAGTTATTAAAATATAATTTTCAAAAGTTTAAAAGCAAAACAAACATGCAAGTATAAAATGAACATATGTCAAAGGTGTTACGTAATGAAGAAAAAAAGCAGCAAGAAAACAGTTAAGAATACATTTGAGAACCTACAGATTTATAGGTAACTTAAGAAAGGACTGTAAGGATGAGATTGTGGTGCTGGATGTAAAACCAGTTAATGTCTAACAGAGCACTAAATTGTGATTTTGGAATTATTTTTCCCACTGGTGAGATTTTTTTTTCACCTCTGTTGGATGAACATGTTTAAGTTAACCATACTCCCTAGAACTGCGTTTCTCAAATTGGCACTATCAACATTTTGTTTGGTGGTCTGTCTTGTGCATTATAGGATGTTTAGAAGCATTCTCAGCCAGTAGCATACATGCCCCCACCCCACAGTAGTGACAATAAAAAATATATCCCAGCTGAGAGTAGTGCTGAGCATCTGTAATTCTAAGTATTCAGGAGGCTGAGGTGGGAGGATGACTTGAGCCCAGGAGTTTTAGGCCAGCAGGACCCCAGCTCAAAAAACATATATATAAAAAAGAAAACATAAAAAAAAGTCAAGACATTGTCCTATGCCTCCTGAAAGGAAAACAGAAGTTGTTTTACAGAGGTAAAAAAAAAAAAAAAAAACTTCAAAATAGGCAGAAAAGATTACTGAATCTTCTTTCAGTGCAGTACTAGGCTTGTACCTTTGCTCCAGTGTCTTTTGACTCAGCTATTTTATTTCACTCTCTAAGGTAGTGGTTCTTCATCAGGAATGATTTTAAGGTGTACTTCTATTATAACTCACACTAATTATTTTCTGTTCAGCTCTGCTACTTAATATGTTCCATCATTAGTTGGGTAGGAAAAAAAGTAACTTGATTATATCTTTGCCAAAAATGACCAGTTTTTCAAAGGATGTAGTAAATTGTGAGTAGCCATTTTTAGTCCTCTTTTTTACACTGTCACTTTGTTTCTATGTTTATTTTTTATTTTATTGTTTTAAATTTCAACTTTCATTTTAGATTCCGGGGGTACCTTGCAGTTTTATGGGTATATTGTATGACGCTTCTATGGGTATACTGCATAATGCTGAAGTTTGGGGAACAACTGATCCCATCACCCAGGTAGCAAACATAGTGCCTAATACATAGTTTTTCAGCCTTTGCCTCCCTCATTTGCAACCCCTGCCCCACTTTTTGAGTATTTTTCCCATCATTGTGTCCATGTGAACTCAATATTTAGCTCCCAACATCATGCTGATACCAAAATCTGGCAAAGACATAACAAAAAAAAAAAAAAGAAGAAAGAAAACTACAGGTCAATATCCTTGATGAACATAGATGCAAAATTCCTCAACAAAATACTAGCAAACCAAATCAAAAAGTAATTCAAATACTTTTTGAAATCAAAGTAAATCAAAGCACATCAAAAAGGTAATTCACCATGATCAAGTAGCCTTTATTCCTGGGATGCAAGGTTGGTTCAACATATACACATCAATAAATGTGGCCCATCACATAAACAGAACTAAAAACAAAAACCATGTGATTATCTCAATATAGACAGAAAAATTCAGCATCGCTTCACATTTCTATCTTTAATCCTGCTCTAGACATTTGAGTCAGAATGTGCCAGTGTAATTAATTTCAATGTTACAAGGTGTGTAATTAAATTCAGTGGTAACTGTTCACCTCTCACATATTGGTAACACCAATTTCCCAATAGAACTGTGTCCTCTCTAATCTCCCCATTCTGTCTGTAAAGAAAATATTATTATTAGCTTTGTGATCCTTGGTGATGTTAATTATAATCAAGATACAGGTCAACGTGTCTCTGTCTGAAACTCTTAAAGATAAGTGGACTTTTAAGTTCAGAATTTTTCAAAATTTAAAAAGGTGATATGATACATATTTTAGGACATTCCCAGCAAGGGCTAGGGCAGCATTTAATAATTAAATACTTTAATATTTCTAGTGCTAAACAAATGGGTATACACACCAAATGGGAATAAGTCTACTAATAGCCTCACAGGCTCGCTTTCAGGTCAGGCTTTCCTACCAAATGAGTTTCTGCAAAAGATTTTGGTTCCCAGAGTCTTTGGATTTCAGAATTTTTAATTAGGGATTTTGGATCTCAAATAATAAAAATAGCAACAATGTCCAATATTTAGAAGTATTTACCATGGGACAGGCTTTGTGTTGTATTTTATGTATTAAATCACTTCAATCTTCTCTCACAACTCTGCCAGCTACCTTTATCAACCCTATTCCACAGATGAGGTTTGATGAGTTAGACACTTGCTCAAGGTCATTAAGATTTAGACAGAGGAAATTTTATCCAGGGCTAGGGTCCAAAATAGGATTATCTGCTGAAACCTAATAATTCTACCTCCATTTAGCACTCAATCTTTTCTGTTCTTGTTTTCTGTATCCATAAGTCTATCAAAGATGGGTCAAGAACATCATGTTTGTAAATGAAAGACAGTATATTATGTTCCTTCTGCATTGCCTGAATATTTTACTCATTCTACTATTTATCTCATTCTACTTAGATTCACAGGGTTCCTTTGCCAGGCTAATTTATTTTAAACCTTCCTATCAAGAGTTTCATAGGCACAAATCGGACACTCAGTATGTATATATTGAAAAACTGGCGGTCAATATTTCAGCTGTTTCTAAAAGCATTTCTCCTGCTGATACAGGCTCAGGAACAGTTATAATCCACATGACACCTTCATGAAACACTTCCCAAATGATTTCACTAAAATTTTTATATGGGAAAAGTCTACTAAAAGATTGACCCAAAGACAACCCAGTAGGGAATAATAGAGTGGCTAGAATATGAGTCTTCCCCTTATGGAACATTTATAAATAGCCCTTTTGTATGTGACATTTTGGGGATTACAAATATGTATGTTGTCTGTCACTAGGGCCATAATTTTCAAGTGCTTTTAAAAGTCAGTAAAGAAGTGCTTTGCATTCTCACTAAGTAACGCATCAGCATTAGTTCTATGACCGTAGAGCTATCAGTTAACCATGAAATTTCATCTCCATTTTTTTCTTCAGTCCTCACTTTTAGAACTATAAAGAAGTCCTTACATTTAAGTCTATGAAATAGGGTACTATTTACATGGTATTATTTCATACCACTACTTTGAACCTATTCATATCTTTTGTAGCTAACATGTATCTCCTGTAGGCAGCATGTTGTTGGATCTTGTTTTTAATATAGTCTGACAAACTGTCTCTTGATTAAATTGTTTAATGCATTTACATTTTTAAAAATAGCCTAATTGAGATGTAATTCACACACATATTATTCACCTTTTTAAAATATAAACTTCAATTGTTTTAGTATATTCATAAGTTTGTACAACCATCAATAACATCTGATTTCAGAACACTTTCAACCAGTCCCTATCTAAAACATTTTAAAAAGAAACCCTGTATCTTTACCCTAGCCCTTGGCAATGATTAATCTAACTCCTGTCTACATTCCTTCACTCTGTAACACATGTATTTTATTTCTTATTATGGCTGAATAATGTTCCTTTGTATGGATGAGCCATTTTGCTTATTCATTTATTAGTTTATGGATATTTGGGTTGGTTTCCACTTAACTATAATATGTGAGACTGATATGAATATTTGTATACATGTTTTTGTATAAAAAAGTTTTCAATGCTATTGGGTATATATCTAATTATGGAGCTGCTGGGGCATGTGGTAACTCCATGTTTAACAGGTTGAAGAACTTCTCAAATTGTTTTCCCAAGTGGCTACACATTGTATATTCCCATAAGCACTGTAAGAGTGTTTGGATTTCTCTACATCCTCCTCAACACTTATTATTGGCCATCTTCTTGTAACAATCCTAGGGAGTATGAAGTAACATTTCATTGTAGTATTAATTTGCACTTCCATAAAGAGTAATATTGAACATAAATTTTATGTGCTTATTAACATTTTTTATCTTCTTTGGAGAAGTGTTTATCCAAATCATTTGCCCAGTTACTGTGTTTTATGTATTTTTATTGTTATAAGAGTTCTTTAAGTGGGTATGAGTACCTTATATTATAACACATTTGATTTGCAAATATTCTTCCACTTTAAGGGTTGTATTTTTACTTTTTTGATGATGTCCTTTATATAAAGTTTTTTTTAATTTAGGAAATTCTAATTTATTTGTTGATTTAGCTTTGTGATCATAGCTGAGAATCCATTCCATAATCCAAGCCCACAATAATCTACTCCTGTTTTATTTGAAGAGTTTTATAATTTAAGCTCTTAAGTTTAGTTCTCTAATGTGCTGTGAGTTAAATTCTGTATGTAGTTTGAGGTAGGGGTCCAACTTCATTCTTTTTCAATGTTTACTTTTCCTGGCATGATTTGTTGAAAACTATTCTCTCTCCACTGTATTATATAAGTACCTTTGTGGAAATCAAATGACCATAATGTCAGGGTTTACTTCAGAATTTTCAATTATATTCCAGTGATCTATATCTGTAAGCCAGTACTACACTATAGTGATTACTGTAGCTTTGTCATAAGTTTTGATATCAGGAAGTTTGAGTCCTCCAATTTTGAGAGCTGCTTTGGAGATTCTAGCTGGGAGTTCTGCTACTTGTATACCTTCAATGGAAGAATGGTTTTCCTCTATTGAGGAAGGTCGTCCTCTTTGACCAAGGCCTCAGCTTTGGGAGGGGCACACATGGAGTGGTGTGGGAGGAAGGGAACACCTACCTAACCAGCTCTGTCAGTTGAATTAACCTTGGCCATCAATTAGGTGACAGATGTCACATGCAGGTCACCCTCACATCTGAGTCATCCAACTTTGTTCTTTCCTTCTGAATTTTTTTTTTTTAACTATTCTAGGTCTCTTGCAGTTTCATATGAATTCAATATGTATTTGTCTACTTCTACAAACAAAGAAAAGCATTTGGCATCTTGATACGGATTGCAGTAATTCTCAACATCAATTTGGAGAGCATTACAATTCTAAAATATTTACTCTTCCAAGCCATGAATATGGCTTGTCTAATTATTTAGTTCTTTTTAAATTTCTTTCAGCAATGTTTTATAATTAACAATGCAAACTCTTGCAGTAGTTTGCTAAATATATTCCTAAATATTTATATTTTATTCTATTATAAATGAAATTATTTTATTAATATTATTTTTGAATCACTAAATTATTCCAGTTTTTGTCTCCTGTATTTGGGACTTTGCTGTTAGATGTGTATATATTTATAATTGTTACACCTATTTGATGAATTAAATATTTTACTATCATAAATTATTTTTTCAAGACAAAAATATTATCTAAATCTATTTTGTCTACATATAGCCAATCAAATTATCTGTGTACTGTTTACATGGTATGTCTTTTTTCTTCCTTTTTCTTTCTACCTATTTGTGTCTCTGAATCTAAAGCATTTCTCTTATAGACAATATGTATTTTAATTATAGGGTTTTATTTAATTCATTTTTCCAATCTGCTTTAAGAGTTTAGTCCATTTACATTAATTCAATTACTGTTACAATAGGATTTGTATCTTCCATCTTGCTACTTGTTTTCTGTGTGCCTTATTTCTTTCTTGATCCTCTATTCTTTCCTTACTGCCTTCTGTTGTGTCAAAGAGATATGCTCTTATAGATCATCTTAATTCTCTTGTTTTTTTCTTTTACTATTTGTTTTGAGGTATTTTCCAATTTATTGGCTGGTAGATTACAAGTAACAACTTTTCGTAAAACAGTACCAACTTAATTTCAATGGTATGTAGAAACTTTGACTATAGCTCTGTTCCTTCTTTTTTGTACTATCATTTTATGCAAATTAAATATTTACACATTAAAAGGCTGGATGGTTTATAACTGTTTTATAGCTATTGCTTAATGCACTTGTATTTTCAGTAAGGTAGGAGAAGAAATATGTTACAAAAATTAAATGTGTATTTACTTTTACCAGTGTTATTTCTTCTTGCGGGTTTGAATTATTAATAGCCCTTCATTTCAGCCTGAAAGATTTTATTATTTCTTATAGGGGAGGTCTGCTAATGACAAATTATCTTGCTTTTGCTTTTATCTATAAATGTCTTAATTTTAACTTTGTTTTGATGAATAGTTGTAACAGATGTACAATTATTGGTTGACAATCTTTCATCACTCAATGTATCAACCTACGAACTTCTCGAATCCATTTCTGATGAGAAGTGAGTTGCTAATTTTATTGGGAAAGACTGGCACAAAATTAGTTATTTTTATTTTGCTATTTCAAGGTACGTTCTTTGTCTCTGGCTTTTGGCATTTTCATTATGATGCATCTAGGTGTCAGTCTCTTTGAATTTATCTTTTGGAGTTCCTTGAGCTTCTTGGATATGCCTATTAAGATCTTCCCAAAAAGTTGTAAAGGTTTTGGTCATTATTTCTTCACAATTTTTTATGTCTCTCTCTTTTTCTCTTATTTTTTAACGTGCTTTATGTATATATAGTTACACTTGATGGGTCCCACAGGTCTGAAGTATTCACGTTTTTTTTTCTTCTTTTTTTTGTTTTTTAGACTAGATCATCTTAATTGACCTGTCTTCAAGCTCACTGATTTTTTTCCTGCCACTTCAAATCTGCTATTGAGCACATCTTATATTTTTTATTTCTATTATGGTAATTTTCAACTCTAGAATTTCTATTTAGCTCATTTATATAATTTTTAATCTATTAATTAATGTTTATATAGTGAGACATGGTTATCATACTTCCCTTTAATTTTTATGTAGGCTATTAGTTCTTTTAACTCACTTATAATATCTGCTTTGAAGTCATTGTTTGCTAAGCCCAAAATGTGAATCTTCTCAAAAGATGTTTTCATTCCTTGATTTTTTTCTGTTATAGGATATATACTACTAATATTTTTCTTCATGCCTCAAAATTATTTTTGAAATCTCAATTCTTTTGCTATTGTTTTCTGAATATAAACCACACTCCCCTAAAGATTGTGGTTATTGTGTGTTTGTTTAGTGACTTGGCTAGACTAGTTCCATGAAGTGCATTTCCCTTACAATGTGCAGCCTGAGATCACATATATCCTTTATTCAGTTTCTTGCAATGGTAACATCTTGCAAAACTATATTATAATATTACAACCAACATATTGATATTGATAATACAGTCAAGATGCAAATGTTCTCATTACCACAAGAATGTCTCATGTTGCCCCATTACTCCACACTCATTTTTCTCCCTTTTCCACTCCCACTCCCACTTTAGTCCCTGGCAACTATTAATCCATTCACCATTCCTAGAATTGTGCCACTTGAAAAATGTTATAAAAATTGAATTACACAGGGCATAATGCTTGAGATTGGCTTTTTTTTCACTTGGCGTAATTCCCTAGAGAATCATTCCACTTGTTGCATGTATTAAATAAGTGTGTTCCTTGTTATTACTGAGTAGTATTCCGTAGTTTGGATTTACTGCAAACAGTTTGTTTAACCAGACAGCTATTGAAGGATACATGGTATGATTTCAGTTTGCAGTTCTTACTAATAAAGCTGCTATAAACATTCATTACATGTTTAGGTGTGAACCTAAGTTTTCATTACTCTCAGATAAATGCCCAGGAATGTAATAGTTATGTCATACAGTAATTGCAGGTTTAACTGTATAAGAAACTGCCAAACTATTTCTAAGATTAGCTATACCATTTTACATTCACACCAGCAGTTTATGAATGATACATTTTCTCCAAATCCTTGACAGCATCTGGTGTTGTCACTATCTTTTTTTATTCTAATAATATGTAGTAGTATCTCATTGTGGTTTTTTAATTTGCATTTTCCTTATGACTAATGGTGCTGAACATCTATTTGCGTGCTCACTTGCCATCTGTATGTCTTCATCAGTAAAATATCTCTTCATATCTTTTGGCCATTTTCTAATTGGATTATTAGTTTTATTCCTATTGAGTTCTTAGAGTTTTTATACGTTTTAGATATTTCCAGGTATTCAGGTTGCAAATATTGCCTCCCAGCTTATGAGTTGTCTTTATTTCCCTCTTCACATGGTTTCACAGGGCACAAGTTTTTCATTGTTACAAAGTTCAAGTCATCAAATTTTAATTTTATGGGTCATAGTTTTGGTATTAAGAATTATTTGCCTAGCCTAGTCCTGAAGATTTACTGTTTTTTTATTATATCCTTATATTTTACACTTATAGACTATATAAGTATATAAGTGTATTTTACACTTAATAGACTCAAAAGTCTATTATCCTTTTGAGTTAAATTTTTATATAAAGTGTAAGGATTATGTTGAGGTTTATTTTATTTGGGCAGGGGATGGGGGTGCCTATTGATGTCTAATGCTCTGATATCATTTGTTGAAAAGTCTATCCTTGTTCCATTGAATTGATTTTTTCATCTCTTTCAAAAATCAGCTGGGCTTATTTGTTTGGATCTATTTCTAGGTTCTCTAATCAGCTCTGTTTATCTTTCTCTGTCTCTTTGCCAATATCACACTCTTAATTGCTGTAACTATATAATAAGCCTTTAATATAGATGAATGTGATTCTTTTCACTTTATTATTCAATTGTGAAGATTGTTTTAGCTATTCTAAAGACTTTTCATAAAGATTTCAGAAGGAGTTTTTTATAGGAACTGTATTACATGTACAGATCAAGTTGAGATATTTTCAAAATCTGTTATCTCTCTTACTTAGATTGGAGATGATTTCTATTGATTTATCCTCAGGTTCACTGATTATTTTTTTCCTCTGCTACCTTTACTCGGCTATTGAGCCCCTCTAGCTAATTCTTTGTTTTAGTTATTTTACTCTTCCACTCTCAAATTTCCATCGTTCCTTTTCATATTTTCTACATACTTATTGAGATTCTTTATTGATTACTTATTATTACCTTCTTATAATTCTTGTAACATGATTTCCTTCAGTTCTAGCTGCTTAGAAGTTTTTGTCTGTCAAATTTAACATCTGGACATACTCAGATACGGTTTTTATGGTCTTTTTTCTCCCCATACTATAGATCATATTTTCCTGATATTTTCCCTGTCTCATATTTTTCATTTAAAATTGAACATTTTAGGTAACATATTATAGCAACTATGGATTCTGATTCCCCAACCCCTCAAAGACTATTGTTGCTTTTTCTTGTTTTTGCTTAATTGCTTACATGAAATAAATCTGTGAAAATCTGTATATCCTACATTCTGTGATCTCTGATATTTCTGCTCAGCTTATTTCCTAGTTTTTACTTTTAAAGCCTCCTAAGACCTAAAAGTCTTCCTAAGCATTTTCTCCATGTCCATGTCATTTAATGTTCAGCCAATAAATGGACAAAAATTCTTCTTAAATGCCTTGAACCAGTAAGGCTTCTCTGCTAATGGAGCTGTCTTTAGGCAAAGGTGTGCATTTAAACTTCAGCTTATCTTGAAATGTGCTCCGAGTTTTACTTGAAGCTGGGCTTTTGTGAGCCTCTTATCACATGTCTTCAGTTTCAGTATTGGATAGGGGTGTGTTTGAATAGCTTGGTCTTTTATTTCTGGGCTGTGCATGCATATCCCAACCACTCCCACAATCTCAGCCTAATAGATCTGAACCATTGGCTCCTCTGAATTTACCTGACTCTACTGATAGACACTTTCACTGATAATTTCACAGAACATGAGCATTGTCCACTGCTCTAAATCAGGTCAGTTCTTTGAAGGCAGAAGAGATCTGCCACACTCATCACCTGCTCGACCCTGGGTGAACCTCTGTACCAAACAGCCAGAAATGGGAAGCAATCAAAGGCCAGAACATTATAGTGTTCCATTCTTCTCTACTGAAATTCAACAGTTGTTAAAGCATAAACACTTTTTATATTATTGATTCCTTTCATTTATTTCTCTTGAGCACTAAAATGATTGTTCTCGTTGATGTCGCCCAAGTTTGCTTTTGTGGAAAAGCAATTTTCTGATCTCCTTGCCAGGCTATAATCCAAGGCTATTGTTAAGCTTTGTTAGGGTGAGCCAGTGGTTCCTTTAGTCTAGAGCTAATCTAGTCCAACTATTCATGCAGTATCTTTTCTTTTTATTGAGATAATTTATGTACTATAAAATTTACTCTTTAAGGTACACAATTCTGTGGTTTTTATTCACAAGCATATACAACCACCACTACTGTCTCATTCAATAAAATTTTCACCCTCCCAAAAAGAAACTGAATACCCCATATCATGAAGTATTCCACACATCTTTTTATTCCTAGCCTCAGGCAACTATTTACCTATTTTCTGTCTAAGCAGATTTGACTGCTTTGGATATTACATGTAATAAGCACAGAATATGTGGGCTTTTATTTCTGGCTTCTTTCATATAGTATATGTTCAAGGTTCATCTGTATTGTAGCATATATTGGAATGTTATCCCTTTTTATGAATAATATTTCAACACATGTGTAAACCATATCTTGTTTATCCTTTCATCAGATGATGGACATATAGGCTGTTTCTACTTTTTGGTTGTTATGAATAATGCTGTTACATTAATATACAAGTGTTTATGTGAACTTATGTTTTCAGTTTTGGGGAGGTATATACCTGGAAGTGGAAAAGTTGAGTCATGAAAACTTTTCTGGGAGCTCCACCAAATGTCGCATATTTTATGAGGTCTTTCCATTCTGTCTGGTGCTAACATGAGCAATTGTTTACCCGTTCAAGCTTCAGAAATTGTTTGATTTCTTGCCTTTCATGTTTTTTTTCAGGACGTTGAGTAATTTTTTCCCATACATGTGCAAATATGTACTAAGCCAAAGATATGTGGGGACCCAGAAGGGGTAATTCTTATGGTTTTATTTTTCTTATAAGAGGTACTTATGATTTTTTCTTTGTAAACATTTATTCCTTGAATTAACACACCACCACTATCAACACTGTCACTCACTGATGCACTAAAAATTGGGTAATAATTTCATTATCTGATTTAATGATATTTCATGAATATTTGTGTGGCTTACATTTACTTCAATATTTAACATTAGAAGTGCTGTGGGTCTTTATTTAGAAGCTTGTTGGTGTGCTTTTGATCGGAAATATGCCATGGGAAGTTAACTCTTGTTTATGTCAATTAACATATGGTAAAATTATTTTCATTACACACTGTTTTATTACCATGAAAAATTCTGAGAACTTTTCAACAATTTAAAGTGATTTACTCTCTCTATATATTTACAATTGTTATGTTCTCTTGCTGAACTGACACTTTATAATGTCCCTCTTTGTCTTTTTTTAAAACAGTTTTTGACTTAAAGTCATTTTGTTGGAAATAAGCATAGCTAACCTTGATGTCTTTTGGTTTTTATTTCCATAAAATATCTTTTTCCATTTCTTCACTTTCAGTTTGTGTCTTGTTAAAAGTGAGGTGAGTTTCTTGTAGGCAGCATTTAATTGAGTCTTATTTTCGTTTATCCATTCAGTACTTCTGTGTTTTATATTGGATAATTTAATCCATTTACATTCAAGGTAATTATTTATAGGTAAAGACTACTGCCATATTGTTAGTTGTTTTTTGGTTGTTTTGTAGATATTTTGCTCCTTGTTTTCTCTTGTGTTTCTTCCTTTGTGGTTTGATGGATTTTTGTAGTAATATGCTTTGAATCTTTTATCTTTTTTTGTGCTTTTACTACAGATTTTTGCTTTATAGTTACAATGTGGCTTATATAGAACATCTTACAATAGTCTATTTCCAGCTGATAACATATGAACTTTCATAGAATACAAAAACTCGACATTTTTACACCAGCCTTCTCCATGTTTTATGTTTTGGTTTCAGAATTTATATCATGTTGTACTGTGTATCCCTTGACAATTTATTTTAGATATAGTTGTTATTAATAATTTTCTCTTTAAACCTCTCATTAGGGATAAAATTGTCTTAGTCACCATCATTACAGTCCTAGAGTATTCTGGGTGTGCATTTGTTTAACTTATATCATTGATTTTTCACTTTCATATGTTTCATGTTATTAATTCACAATTTTTGTTTCAGTTTGGATAACTCCCTTTAGCAATTCCTGTAAGGCAGGTTTAGTGTTAATTAATTCTATTAGCTTTTATTTGTCTAAGAAAGTTTCTATTTTTTTCTCATTTCCAAAAGGCTGATTTATTGGATAAAGTATTTTTAGTTGTCAAGATTTTTTTCTTTTTTGCTAAGAACTCCGCTGATAGTTGTATTGATTTTTCTTTATAGATAATGTGTTTCTTATCTGCTCTTCTCAGAATTTTTTGTTTTTGATTTTTGATATTTTGATTATTATGTGTCTTGGTGAACTCCTCTTTAGGTTGAATTTGATTGGAAACCTGCTTCCTGTCCACAGCTGTTGGCATCTTTCCCCAAATTAGAGAAGTTTTCAGTCATTATTTCTTTAAATATGCTTTCTAGACCTTTTCTATTTCTTCTTCTAAAACTACTATTATGTGAAAGTTTAGTTTCTTGAGGTTGTCTTATAATTCCTATAGGGTTTCTTTATTCTTTTTTATTCTTTTGTCTTTTTGTTCCCCTGAATGGATAATTTCAAATATTCTGCCTTCCAGCTTCTGCTTGATTAAGTCTGCTACTGAAGCTTTCTGTTGAATTTTTCAGTTCAGTTACTGCATTCTTCATCTCTAGGATTTCTATCTGGTTCTTTTTTATAGTTTCTACTTTTTTGTCAAACTTCTTGCTTTGTTCATGTATTGTTTTCCAAATTCTATTAACATATGATACATATATCTTTGTAGTTCACTCGACTTCTTTTTGAGTATTATTCTGACTTATTCATCAGTCATTTCATAGATTTCCATTTCTTTGGGTTCTATTATTGAAGCTTTATTTCTTTTGGGGGTGTCATGTTCCCTTATTCTTTGTAATCTTTGTATCCTTGCATTGTTTATGCATTTTAGGACTTGTGGCCTTTACTGGTGTCTTTTGGACAGGGATAGATCTTCACTATTTAATTTAGCCTGTGATTTGGGAAGAGACAGCTGGTGACAACCCCAAGCAGGCACAGCTTGTTGTGAGTCCTCTAGTTGCCTGGGCTGCTGCCTTTGCTTTGATGTTGGGTAGAACTGCTAACTGGGCTTCAGTGTCTGGTGAGACCACTGGCTGTGTTCTGCTGTAAGGCAGAGTAGCTGACTCAGTACTGTGATGACTTCTGTTCAGGCCAGTGAAAGGATGTATTGCCTGGCCAGGCAATTCTACTATTTGGGATCTACAGCTGGGCAGGTCTGCAAGCTGGACTCCAAAGCTGGGCAGAGTTACTGCTTGGGACAGGAAGAACCAGATATTATCCTCCCAGGGAATGCATAATTGGAAATTGTCTCCCTATCAGGGTAGAGCTGTGGGGTGAGCTTTTGGTTGAGTTGATTGGCTGTTTGAATTCCTAAGTAAAGCAGGCTTAGACCCTACATTTTTTTTCAAAGTGCACAGAGGTGGGAATGTCCCTGCCTGGGAGTGGTTGTTGGGAGGGCTTTTTGGCTGAATGGATCCTCTGCTTGACTTCCTTGTCAAGCCTGTCTAGCCCCCACTACTTCTCTGAAATGATTGAAAGTAAGTGTCTCCCTGCCTGCAGGGTCACTGCATAGGCTTTTTGGCTAAGTGAATCTCCTGCTTGACTTGGAAAGTCAAGTAGGTCTAGCCCCTATGCTTTTCTGAAATGAGTGGAGGCAAGCATCCTCCTAAATGTGAGGTGTTGTTGGGGTGGGGTCTTAGACTGTACATGGAGACAAGCAGTCTTGGGACTCAAGCTAGGTTGAACTCCCCATCGTGTTTCTGAAGGCAACCAGCTCAGCTTTGCAAGCGGGCCATGAGGCTGGCTGGTAAATATGATCATGTGCTGCCATTGGCAGAAACAGAGAGGTACCACCAAGATCTATGCACTGGTTACTATTACCTCTGTGTCCTTTCTTTGTTTCTACTTGTTGCCAAGCAGTCTAGCCATGCCATTTTCCCTACAATTCCCCATGTGGTGAGATCAGACTTGGAGTCCAAGGAAGTGTCTTGTAGTGCCAAGGAAGCTGCATGACTACCTCTGGTTCTCTTTTTCCCCTGTAGGGAAAACCATGGGCCCAAGAAAATCCTCCTGTCTGGTGTTGTGCCAACTTGGGGGAGGAGGAGGGGTGGCATTATATGAGTGAGACCATTCTTTTTACCCTGTTAATTTTAATTTCCTTCAGTTCTGTAGACCACACAAGTTCTCAGGCCTGTTTCCAAGTACTGAAGTTTTCAGAAGGATGTTCTGGTCTGTTTATAGTTGGTGGTTGAACTTTCTGTTGGTGGGGAAAGTGAAGCCTGAGACTTTATATTCTGCCATCTTTCTGATGTCATCCTGTGACTCGCTCAGAAGCATCAGTTTCTAAAGAGATAGTGTTTTAACTCATAATATAAATTAAAATACACTCTGGTTCGTCAGGCTTACCAGTCTAACGTTACTCTTGTGGTCTTATCAATGTACTTGCAATTTAGAAACTTGCTTAAGAACACATTATGAGCATTTTATAAGATATTCCTCATAAAAATATGAAAACAATGATAGAATAATATTTGTTGGTCAATTAGGTGAATTAGAAGAAATTTTGGGGTGGCAACTAAAATAGGCAAATTTGATTTTTCCTTTTCAAGATATAAAATGTTAGTTCTTTCTGAATCACACTATCCTCATCTATAAAATGAAAAACAGACATTATATAAGATTATAAAGGCTCAATGTTCTAAAAATTGTTCTGAAGGCATAAATTTACATTTTTACTATTTGAATTAGGTTAGTAATATACCCAAATATGATCGTATCAAGCAATTACCATAGCACCAAATGTACAAATACACTTAGCCACTCTCCCCTACCAAAAGCCTAGAACTTTAAATCTAAACTGAGCAATTATTAAAGGGCACAACTTACATAGGATTCAACTAATACTGTTACTTAGTTGATTCTGATGTGATCAATTTTTGGCAGCATTCAAAGTTTTGGAAGCTGCAGGTACAGAGTTCTCATTTACATCCCTGGAGGAATCCTTTCATTTCTGTGTTGCTTAGTCACTAAATCTTTAATTTTATGTACCTTATATTAGTGTTCTTTGTCTTACAAAAAATTCTTATTAATTATTTTACATGTTGTGCTTCTACTCTCTTTAATTCAAATAAAAATTGCTGAAGTCTAGTCTTGAAGTTCACGAGTATTTTTAGCTGTCATGCAAAATTAATGAAATAGTTTTGTCTTCACCTCAGAATGTCAATATTTACATATCTTAAGCAGCAGAAATTTCCATGAATACTACAAATAAAAGACTGAAGGAGGGTTCAGACTCTGAGATCAATCTAAACCAGAAAAGTTAAAAAATAATTATAATGTTTAGTTGGGCATCCAAGACTACAAAACACTTGTCTAGTTTTTTTGCTAGTCCTGTTGTTGCCAAATAATTCTACTACTTCTGCTTTTAGTAACTGTCATAACCTATCCCTGATGCTATAATAAAATACCTTAGGCTGAGTAACTTATAAAGAGCAGACGTTTTATTTCTTACAGTTCTGGAGACTGGGAAGTGCAAGATCAAGGCACCAGCAGATTTCACATCAGGTGAGGCTTGCTCTCTGCTTCCAATATGCATCCCCATATGGCAGAAGGCTCAAACACTGTGTGCTCATATGGCAAAAGGAACATAAGGGCAAAAAGGGCAAAAAGAACTAACAGATTCCCTCATGCCTTTTTACAATGATACTAATTCAATTCATAAGGGCAAAGTCCTCACAACCTAATAACCACCTAAAGGCCCCACCTCTTAATACTATTGCATTAAGTTTCAATATGAATTTTGGAGAGACACATTCAAACCATAGCTTAATTTAGTTTATTTAGTCTTTCAAATCACTGACATAAAGGTAAACTACTATAAGCTCGTGATTTTTAAGCTTGTTTCCCAAACTATAAAAATTATGTTGCCATTACTTAAGATTTATGAAGCTCCTAATTGATCGTGTGCCTCTAGAATAACCAATTTACAGATACTTGGATTAATGAGTACATATCCAACAATTTCAACAATTTCATCGTTTTTCTTCTGTTTTAATCATTTGCTGTACTCCTTTTGTCTTTTTTTCAGGGTATGAGTATGTGTATTTGGTAGTTTTCTTAGTTACAATACAAATACTTGCCACAATGGGTATGAACTATAAAGTGAGATCTGTGACTAGCTTATTAATTGTTTGTGTATTTCTTCATAGAATGTTGTAAAAATTGAATGGATTTGAAAGCCAGAGAATTTCTGATTCAAGTCTTAGTTCTACCCTTTCCAAGCTGCATGATTTGAATAAGTGACTTATTTCTGAGCTTGCTCCTTTATGTAAAAAACAGGGACCAAAATATGTGTACCACAAAGTGTTACGGAGGGTGAAAATTTATGATAGGTACTATGATTATTATAGAAGCAGACAAGGATGAAGTGTCAATAAGTAGTAGTTATGAAAATTGTGAACATCTGGAAATGGTACAACACTCTTTCAATAGAACATGTGTTGTGGTTTTTGGTTCACTGAATCTGGTCATGACACTGATAAGTCTTGCTTCAGCAGCCCTCTAGAGATCTGGAATAGCACACCATTAACAGAATAAGTGAAGAGTCATGTTGGCAGGGTCTTTACACACATATGATACCACTTCACAGGACTTTATATTCCACCTGCTTCTTTCACATCCACTGTAATATGCAGAGATATGGTGTGATTCATAGGGGAGCACCACAGTTCTGGTTAAGACAATCATTTAATAACAAACAACTTGATAATCCCTTTCTCCTGCCTAGAACCCCATATGAATTATTATGGAATTGAAAAAAAATGGAGAAAACATTGAAGACCCAAAAACGTAGTCCTTAAAAAGCAGCTCCATGAAATATTGGTAGAACCCAACTGACAAGGCTTCGTTTTACAGGGAAAGGATAGCAAAAAATAAAAAATAAAAAAGCTTGAAAGCATAATTCATCACTTAGAAGCACTTTGAGAGCTAGAGATTTGTACTATTTGAGAGTACATCTTCATCTATGAAGTCCCTAATTTAAAGGAGTCACTATTCCAAACGAAAAGCTATCACCTTTTGAGGCAACTGTGATTTCCTTGCCATGTGAGCACCACTGCCAGGTAGATATCCAGACACAGCCATAGCACAACTCAGTTCAGGATTTACATCACACAGAAGGATGTCAGCCAACACCCAGCCCAGATACAGTGGTATCTTCCAATAGAAAAAATTAAATCTTATAATCCCAAGAGATCTGATTATTAGCAACCCAAAAGATTATGTTCAGGCTATCAAACACCCTTAAGTTGTTGTACTCTAAGCTGTGTATATAAATATGCACCTGTCAAATACTTTAATACTTGAGAATAACCTATGATAAGAAGTGAAATAGTATTGACCTCAAGCATATCTCCCAGGGTCCTGGCTGAATGAATCCCATAAACCATTAATCTTGGAAAACCAAGGGTCTTTCTCATTATATTTCTGTACTGACTTTTCCTCTTGGCCTGGGACATTAATCTAAACACAGTAGGAAGTACTGAGAATTGCATGGAATTTATATTAAGCTACAAGAGGAAGTCTAGGGCAATTCTATCACCTATTACAAGCCCAACCAATGGGCTGCCCTCAATGCCTCCCGGGGCCAAGGAAAGAAACAATCACTGTATTTTCTGGAGGGAATTGCTCCTTGGATTCTTTACAAAAATGTAAAACCTCAAGGGCACATGTGTTCCCCCTGGAAAGAAAATGTTGTTTATAATTCTCCCAAGTGGTTTCTATGTCAGTTGAGAGATGTACAAGTTGATAGCATCTCCAATATGGTGTCCCAACTGACTGGTAGGCCTTAGGGTTCCCAATTCAGTTCAAATAATTGAGGCTAGGTTTTGTTTTGGGAGGGACTTCCTGACAGCAGCTGGTTTAGTCTGTGCTGTTTTCATCACACCACCAGTTGGGTGACATTTGTTTGCTCATACAATTGCTGAGTTTAAAGATGCAAAAAACATCCAGAGGTGATCTGCATGACAAAGAAACTGAAGCCATTTCTGCTGTTTCTGATAGCCTTCTCAGTAAAGTTAAGGAAAACGGTAATCAACTCATGATCAGAGCTATCTGCTGAGGAACAGTAGACACAGCAATCAGTTATATTTAAGATACTTGCTACAATTTGAAAGCATGTCAGCAGGGCATTTTCCTTGGGGAGGAAAGCTTCAGAGGTAGCTCTGAAAGACAAAAGATCATCAATGCCAGCAACAACTTGGCATCATGGGTGTTGGGGAGAGGAGGTTGAGCCTCTTAGATCACTGGAAATATAAAGGAGGGAAGGACATTGAAGATCTTTTGTCTTTCAGAACTACCCCTGAAGCTTTCTTCCTCCAACACCAAAAATTAATCAGTATGTTATATTCTGATAATTTTTATTAATTTTACAATCCCCTTCTACTTGCACCTTTTGTCCAGAATGGTAACTAGGAATGAAAACAGGGATAAAAGGACAAATTGTTAGAAGATCCTAAGTATAAATATGTTATCAATTAAAAATATATGCCATTATTCAGTGACATTGGAAAATGTTAAGAATGTAAAATTAATAGAAAAGAAAAAGATCAAAAACACTTGTTTAATTGAATCCTAGTTTAGAAAAAAATTCAAAGACATAAGCAAAAGACTTGAAAATGTAGAAAGATTTAATGATAATAAGATAATGGGTTAATTTTATTTTGTAGCTTTTAAGTCCTGCATTTTTATTCTTTTAACATCAGTGTATATATGCTTTATATGTGTTTTCCCAGGGGGAAAAAAAACAAAAATGCCATTTAAAAAAATCAGATTAGCTCAATGGAAAGTCCTATAACATCCCACAAACAATATGAAAATGAATATATTTTAAGCCCCTTTCCAACTGCATCTATCTTTAATTTAAACACAGTTTTCTCTTCCTTTTATTAAAAAAAATTACGCCAAAATTTTGTGATATCATGTCCCTTGAAAGGCACCTGACAAGATAAGCTTAGATATACAGGAAATTAACTGAAGGAAACACCAGTTGAAAGATGAAGATGAAGGGCAGGAGTAGGCGGGGAAACTTTCAGACTAAGCAATATAGGTTTAATAACTGGAAGGAGAGGTCAGTAAATAGTGCCAGGTGGGAAAAGTCTCAGACCAAAGCATAGTTCTCAGGATCTTTCAACTGAGGGGACATATCAAGTCAATGTTGCCTGTGAGAGGCAGCCCTCTTCTGCAGGAATGGACACCACTAGTTCCCTGCCTGCCATGTGCAGTCATTGGTTGGGAACAGTGAGGAAAAAGCATGCCTTCTTTGAAAGCTCAGAGATACCACTGTGTTCTCATCAGGAAGATTCTGGGCCACACATTTCCATGATCTCCACAGTCTAACCTTCATATCCCTTTCCAAGATGTTCTGAAAATTTTTCTCAAACTGAAGTCTCTTCGGAAAGTATTCTATTATCTGCACTTCTGTGAATTGTCTTTCCCTTAAAATTATGAGAGAAAAACAAACACTAGTACATGTCTTTAATCTGTGAATTGGGCAATGGAAAAGGGAACTGAGAAACAGACCGGAGGCTCAGCCTAGTTTTACCACATTGGCTGTATGTTAAATAACTCACGTAAACTCTCATCCTGTTTCCTCAAGAAAAGTACTTACTAGGACAATATGGTAGAGACTTTCAAGCACAGTTTCTCAAGGAGGAGAGATTTTCAGGGAAACTCCCTACACATACAGCTGTGTTTCTGCACAATGGAAAGCACGTGGGATGGGTGCCTGATTTACACTGTGCCAATGAGAATTTTTCTTCCAGAAATTTGAGATTAGGTCATACATATCAGTGTCTAATAACACTTGAACTTGGAAGAAAAGCAAACTTATAATCAAGGTTGTCTATAGTATGGTCAGTTTTCATCACTTGCTCATCCAATTTTATGCACAAAAAGACAGCAGACTGAAATTGAATACAAAATGCAAAGGCAAGAGATAATTAGAAAGAGGTAAAGGGAGACAGATTGACATTGAGAATACCTGCCATGGAGCCTGATTTTCCCCTTTCCTGGTATCAGTCCTGGTGTGACTAACTCTACTTCTTCCCTTGGGTGCCAGGGCATATACTTCCTTGTTCTTATAATAAACTCCCTTTTATACATAAGTTAGTTTAAATGGATTTCTGTTGCTTTTTACCGAAAGAGCTTTTAATCAAATAGACAGAGTCCTGATTAATAGATGCTTTTCAGAATAAATGCATTTACTTTAACCTTAGCTTTCCTGGAGTCAGCTATTTTCTGAAACCAATTTTTCCATTTTTCTGGAACTTTCATTTAGCTGGCTCTGGTCAGGTTATATTAACTGATTACAACACAGTTAGGAGGCAATGAGCAGGACCCCTAGGCACATCTTTCTTGGTATAGCTAAATTTAAGGCAAAATAAAAGAAAAATTAAAATACAGACCTGAACATGCATCATTAGCCAATAAATTTCAGAAGTTTGGCAAAAAGTCATCAACCACAGACTTCCTTGCTCAGTGTTAATATAATAGTTAACCGAGGAATTCAACTGATCTAATTCGTACAAAGACATCCTCTATTCAGCAAGGGTAATTTAGTTGGATACTGTTTTTAAAATATAATATTGATTATCAAATATTGTCTTCTTTTTTAGAAAACTCCAATGAAGTCATGATGACATTGTAAGCCATGATGATCATGTAATTATAAATGATCACAATTAGGTCAATGTAACATTATCAATAGAGCAAGACAAATGAAATAATCAACCCAGTGAGTAAACTTGCATCCTTTATATATGAAGTTGTGGCTGCTATCTCTGAAATACGAGAAGACAATCTTTCGCTGTGTTCCAGTGATGGAAAAGCTTTGTGCTGTCTCATTGTGACTAGAAGCATCCTTTGCCAAAGGGATTGCTAGGATTAGGCTGTGGGTTGCTGAACACAGCAAAACTAACTGGTATACACATGCGAATCCTCTAATGTAATCCAGTTCCTACTGTGTTGTGAATGTCTTCACCTGTATGAAGGTATGAGGAATACTTCCCTTTTAATAAGCATCTTGGCCACTAAAGAAGTCTGAGTGCACTTATCCAGTTAGAAATAATCTCTCCCATGCCTGTATTTGCAGAGCAACTTTTGGTTCCTTTATTATAGCTCTCATCAGTTTGCTTCATATTTGTTAGTTGTATATTTCTCGTAGATTGCATACTTTAAAAAGCTACTTCTGGCTAGGCATGGTGGTTCACACCTGTAATGCCAGCACTTTGGGAGGCTGAGGAGAGTGGACTGCCTGAGGTCACGAGTTTGAGACCAGCCTGACCAACATGGTGAAACCCTGTCTCTCCCAAAAATACAAAAATTAGCCAGGCATGGTGACAGGTGCCTGTAATCCCAACTACTTGGGGAGCTGAAACAGGGGAATAGCTTGAACCCGGGAGGCAGAGGTTGCAGTGAGCTGAGACCGGGCCATTGCACTCCAGCCTGGGCAACAGGAGGGAAACTCCATCTCAAAAAAAAAAAAAAAAAAAGCTACTTCTAGGTCTTATTCGTGTTTTATCTCCCACAGGATTTATACATTGTAATCAATTTTTTAAAGTTAAAACAATAAGTTACTAATAATATTGACAGCCTTAAGAGAAGGAATTAAAGCAGTTCGAACTCTGAGGGTCAAGGGTCAGAAGGTTCTAGCTACTTACAGAAATAAAGTTCAGTATAACTTACTGGATATATCTAGATTTTTAAAAATAACTCTTTACAATCACAAAATCATTGAAAATATTAGAGCAAAGACTTTATTCACACTGATAAGCAAGTTAAAAGATGCATAATTGGATACGAAATGAGTCAAAGTCTCCTCATACTAAACGTAGCTTTAAGTATACTAATTAATGGATTAATTTTATGTGAGAATCTGCTTAGTTCTCCAGACAAGGTGAATTATACCTCAAAGATAATGCTCAAAAGGAGGAATCTGTTTAAATGTCACGGGAGAGGAAGTTATGTCAGAGCTTTAATAGCCTTTAATGCTCAGAATCTGATCACAGTAATTATAGCCTGATAATTCAAAGAATGGGGAATATTTGCTTCTTAGAGTTAAATTAGACATTTGAAAGATATAAATTCTGTAGAAGACATTGAGTACGGATGTTTGATAATATTAAATATCTTAACATTTACTAAGAGAAAAGGCTTAACACAGGGACAAATTTCTCCTTTTATCCTGAAATACTTTAAATTATATTTATTATATTACTATAATAAAAGCTAAAATTATAATTGTAAATATATATTGGCTATAGAAAGTTTAGAAAAAGTACATAACAAAAACTACTATTATTCTCACAATCTAAAAATAACTGTCATTTATATTTACTGGATTTCCTTTAATATGCTTTCTCTATGTGTGCATAAATTTTACACAATGGATAACATGCTGTAATCATTACATATCCTGCATTTTTGCTTAAAATTTTAATGTGAAACATTTTTCAAAACCCTGAAGAAATTTTTCAATATTTCAATGACTGTATGACATCCTGTCACATGGATATGCTATATCTTCTTAATAATTCTCTTACTACTTAGCATTTAGGTTTTCTTCCCATTTTATGATTATATTTTTCATTAAGCATCTTCATAAATTTTGTTTGCATTTATTTATTTTAATGACATTATTAGTTGAAATGATGATTTCAAAGGTTCTTAACATAATTTGCCACATTCCTTTGCAGAAAAATTGTCAACACTTATACTTACCTAGTCACACAAATCTCATTTTACTATATGCTTTGTCTATTTGAAGAAGATATTTGTATTCCAAATTTACTTATGTTTGCTAATGGTACTTTTAAACTTTATGTCATATGTGCTGGAAATGAATAAATAAGAGCCAAGAATATAGTGACTCAGATGCTGCTTTCTCCAATCAATATTCTTTCTTTATCAGGATCTTCCATTTCATCAATCTGGGAAGTAAAACCAAAAATTGCACCAACCATATGTAGTTTTCTTAATAAAACACTGAATATTTGGCATGGATTATTATTTTTATCGTCTTTGTATTTTCAGCCTAAATAATTTAGTTTGAGAAAGAAGCCATTATTTATTCTCAACTGAATAACAATAATGATGATGATAGTATGTAATTAAACCAAGATTAACTATCGTGCTCTTTTTTTGTGTGCCAGACCAGTATTACGGTTTTACATTCACTACTGTATTTAATAACAGTAGTGAGTCTTATTAGGTGGAAACATAATTTAATTCTTTATTTTAAACCCCATATTCTATGATTTAGGATTTCACATCTAAAAACTACATATTTTTCCTGTTAGTCAGATCATGACTAAAAACCTCCAATTATCGGTTGTTAGTGAAATCTTTTGGGGGTGTATGAGAACCATGGGAAAACATGATTTGGAGCTGCTCAGTCAGCTAGAAGATTATTAGATAAGGAGAAATGATGGGAAGTTTTGAAAGAAATTTCATGTTGAGACGCTAAAGAAATAATCATAATCCATGTCACCTGGAAACCCTCCTGTCAGATTTGCACCTCTATCTATTGTGATATCTATATCATGTCATCATAAATGTTTTGCCAGGTTGTTAGCAGTCCCACACAGAATGCCTGAACTTCACATTTTTAATTTTATCTCTCATGAAATGTATGATTAATCGGTATCTACTTTTTGTGAGTCAACCATGTTAAATCTAGCAAATGCAAATTTAAATAAGTAGCTGGTTAAATCCTTATTAAACATAAAGTTACCAGGGAATTCTGATGTAAATACTGGTGGGTAAGTCAGTATCTTTCCTCTTCTTCTTGAAATCATATTAAAATTCTCCCAGGGACAATGAGTCAGAAAACTTTACTTTCAGGAAAATTCTGAGACATATTTTATCTATAAATTACAAATGCACAGAAGTGTTGAGACTAGACAAAAGCCATTGTGAAGAAATGAAGAGATAATATGCAGGTGAGAGTCCACTCGTGGCAGACCTCAGAAAACCCCAGGGAAAATTACATTTCCTGAAAGTGAGACTCACTTTGGATTGCAAATTTTACCCCCTCATTGTAACAATTGATGGGGTGTATGAGAACCATGGGAAAACATGATTTGGGCTGCTCAATAACCTGGAAGATTATTAGATAAGGATAAATTGTGGGAAGTTTTAAAACAAATTTGATGTTGAGATGCTAAAGAAATAATCATAATCCATGTTGCCTGGAAACCCTCCTGTCAGGTTGAGAAGGACTAAGCACAAGCTGTCAGGGACTCAATTTTATTGAGAAAAGTAGAGGAGAGTTTACAGACGCTTTAAAAAAGCCCTCTTTGGAGGATGGTCTTTGTTTCTCTGGTAGTAAAGAAGGAAAGATCCCTTTGGAGGTGAAGCCTGCAAGACTACAAAAGTGTCCTCCTATAAATAGAAACTTCTTGTATATAATTATCTAGACATGTATCATTTATTAAGGATGAGTAATAAAAAACTGTTACAGTACTAACACAAAGACATTTTAAGAAAAGCACAGAAAAGAGCATTATAATTTTAAAACAGACAAAAGCCTGCAGAAAAACATTTCTAGGAGCAGGTAAAAATTATGAGCATATGTCTCACCATGAATTTTTAAAAAGTGTTTTTATAAAAACAACTGCCTGCTTCTATGAAGACCGTCTACACACACTGAAGGAACTCAATTTAGGAGTAAGATGGCAAGACAATAAAATATGAAAAAATATAACTTGGCCATATGTAAGAAAGTAGAAAAACATAATCATAGAAAGAAAAACAAAACTGAAGGAAACAACAAAAAAAAATATAACCTGGAGGAGATATGTATATACACACATGCACACAAACCTGGAGGATAAAATGAAATAAGCTTGGTGGATAAAGTGATACAAGGAGATTAAGTAAAATAGAAATAAATATTTTTAAAAGACTCGATAGAAAATGATAAATGTAAAAGATATAACACTGAAAATCAAAACAATGTAGTACAAATGTTTTAAGATTTTTTAAGCTTTCCTAAGAAAACACAACGTTGAGTATGTGAATTAAAAATGAAGACCCTGAAAGCGTATCTTAGTAAAATCAACACAGAAGATCTCACAAGACATATCCTGGTAAGCTTTTTGTATTTATAGGAAAAAAAAAGTTCTGGTTAATTAGCAGAGAGTTCAGGTCACATTTTAGGGAAAAACATATCAGTCTACCTTCAGATTTCCCTACAGCAATATTAAATGTCAGAAAATAATGCGGAGATACTTATCAAAAGGATACTTGAACCAAGGGTTTTATATTCAGCCAAGACAAACTTCAGGTAAGAAGATGAAAGATAAAGTGTTTTGAATTTGCTACAAATCAAGGAATACTTTTCCTATGAGTTCTTCTTTAAGGAAAGTATTGAAGAATGAACCTCAGAAAAGTAATAAAGACTTTGAAAGCTACCAGAGAAGGATGAGTGGCATGCATACATTATACTTAACTTTAGAACAAAGAGTAAAATAAGTGCAAAGATTAGAATGAAGAGAGTGGAATGAAAGTGTTATGTGCCCTGATACAATAGAAATGATATAACAAATAAATATTTTGGAAGCGGTAAAGAAGGTGGGACCTAGAATAAGCTGTTATCTGTCACTTCTGTAGTTGACTTCATAGTCAAGAGGGCATCAACTGGAGCTGAAAAACTGTATAAGTTTACACATAATTTATAGTACCAAGGTGAATATTAAGAAAAGTGATGAGATAAATTAAAATTGGTGGATAGATATATGAGAAAGAAAAACTTGTAAATGTTGTCACCCGTTATAATCAAGAAGTAATAACTATAGTCTAAAAACATATATTGTTAATTGCTTAACAATATATTATAAAAATGTGTCAGTGGCTCTCCCAGCACAGTGTTCGAGCTCTGCTAAGGGACAGACTGCCTCCTCAAGTGGGTCCCTGACCCTCGTGCCTCCTGACTGGTAGAAACCTCCCAGCAGGGGTTAACAGACACCTCATACAGGAGAGCTCTGGCTGGCATCTGGTGGGTGCCCCTCTGGGACGAAACTTCCAGAGGAAGGAACAGGCAGCAATCTTTGCTGTTCTGCAGCCTCGCTGGTGACACCCAGGAAAACAGGATCTAGAGTGGACCTCCAGCAAACTCCAGCAGACCTGCAGCAGAGGGGCCTGTTAGATGGAAAACTAACAAATAGAAGGGAATACCATCAACATCAACAAAAAGGATGTCCACTCAGAAACCCCATCTGAAGGTCACCAACATCAAAGGCCAAAGGTGGATAAATCCACGAAGGTGAGGAAAAACTAGCACAAAAAGGCTGAAAATTCCCAGAACCATAACACCTCTTCTCTTCCAAAGGATCGCAACTCTCACCAGCTAGGGAACAAAACTGGACGGAGAATGAGTATGATGAATTGACAGAAGTAGACTTCAGAAGGTGGGTAATAACAAACTCCTCCAAGCTAAAGGAGCATGTTCTAACCCAATGCAAGGAAACTAAGACCCTTGAAAAAGGGTTAGAGGAATTGCTAACTAGAATAATCAGTTTAGAGAAGAACATAAATGACCTGATGGAGCTGAAAAACACAGCGCGAGAAGTTCGTGAAGCATAGGCAAGTATCATTAGCAGAATCGATCAAGCGGAAGAAAGGATATCAGATACTGAAGATCAACTTAATGAAATAAAGCGTGAAGACAAGGTTAGAGATAAAAGAATGAAAAGGAATGAACAAAGCCTACAAAAAATATGGGACTATGTGAAAAGACCAAACCTACGTTTGATTGGTGTACCTGAAAGTGATGGGGAGAATGAGAACCACGTTGGAAAACACCCTTCGGGATATTATCCAGGAGAACTTCCCCAACCTAGCAAGACAGGCCAACATTCAAATTCAGGAAATACAGAGACCACCACAAGGATACTCCTCGAGAAGATCAACCCCAAGACACACAACCATCAGATTCACCAAGGTTGAAATTAAGGAAAAAATGTTAAGGGCAGTCAAATAGAAAGGCCGGGTTACCCACAAAGGGAAGCCCATCAGACTAACAGTGGATCTCTCTGCAGAAACCCTACAAGCCAGAAGAGAGTGGGGGCCAATATTCAACATTATTAAAGAATTTTCAACCCAGAATTTCATATCCAGCCAAACTAAGCTTCATAAGCAAAGGAGAGAAAATATCCTTTACAGACAAGAAAATATTGAGAGATTTTGTCACCACCAGGCCTGCCTCACAAGAGCTCCTGGAGGAAGCACTAAACATGGAAAGGAACAACCAGTACCAGCCACTGCAAAAACATGCCAAATGGTAAAGATCATCGACACTATGAAGAAATTGCATCAACTAATGGGCAAAATAACCAGCTAGAATCATAATGACAGGATCAAATTCAAACACAACAATATTAATCTTAAATATAAATGGGCTAAATGCCCCAATTAAAAGACACAGACTGGCAAATTGGATAAAGAGTCAAGACCCTTCAGTGTGCCTTATTCAAGAGACCCATCTCACATGCAAAGACACATGTAGGCTCAAAATAAACGGATGCAGGAATATTTACCAAACAAATGGAAAGAAAAAAAAAAAGCAGGGGTTACAATCCTAGTCTCTGATAAAACAGACTTTAAACCAACAAAGATCAAAAGAGATAAAGAAAGGCATTACATAATGGTAAAGGACCAATGCAAAAATAACAGCTAACTATCCTAAATATATAGCACCCAATACAGGAGCACCCAGATTCATAAAGCAAGTTCTTTGAGAACTGCAAAGAGATTTAGACTCCCGCACAGTAATAGCAGGAGATTTTAACACCCCACTGTCAATATTAGACAGATCAACAAGACAGAAAATTAACAAAGATATTCATGACTTGAACTCAGCTCTGGACCAAGTGGACCTAATAGACATCTATAGAACTCTCCACCCTAGATCAACAGAATATACATTCTTCTCAGCACCACATCACACTTATTCTAAAATTGACCACATAATTGGAAGTAAAACACTCCTCAGCAAATGCAAAAGAAGGAAAGTCATAACAGTCTCTCAGACCACAGAGCAATCAAATTAGATCTCAGGATTAAGAAACTCACTCAAAACTGCACAACTACACGGAAACTGAACAACCTGCTCCTGAATGACTACTGGGTAAATAACAAAATCAAGGCAGAAATAAATAAGTTCTCTAAAACCAATGAGAACAAAAACACAACATGTCAGAATCTCTGGGATACAGCTAAAGCAGTGTTGAGAGGGAAATTTATAGCACTAAATGCCCTCGGGAGAAAGCAGGAAAGATCTAAAATCGACACCCTAACATCACAATTAAAAGAACTAGAGAAGAAAGAGCAAACACACTCAAAAGCTAGCAGAAGACAAGAAATAACTAAGATCAGAGCAGAACTGAAGACATGAAAAACCCTTCAAAAAATCAATGAACCCAGTAGTTGCTTTTTTGAAAAGATCAGCAAAATAGACCACTAACTAGACTAATAAAGAAAAGAGAGAACGCATCGGCTCCTGAGGATTCTGCATTCTTCACGTAGTTCTCGAGCCTTGGTTTTCAGCTCCATCAGCTCCTTTAAGCACTTCTCTGTATTGGTTATTCTAGTTATACATTCTTCTAAATTTTTTTCAAAGTTTTCAACTTCTTTGCCTTTGGTTTGAATGTCCTCCTGTAGCTCAGAATAATTTGATCGTCTGAAGCCTTCTTCCCTCAGCTCCTCAAAGTCATTCTCCATCCAGCTTTGTTCTGTTGCTGGTGAGGAACTGCGTTCCTTTGGAGGAGGAGAGGCACTCTGCTTTTTAGAGTTTCCAGTTTTTCTGTTCTGTTTTTTCCCCATCTTTGTGGTTTTATCTATTTTTGGTCTTTGATGATGGTGATGTACAGATGGGTTTTTGGTGTGGATGTCCTTGCTGTTATTAGTTTTCCTTCTAACAGACAGGACCCTCAGCTGCAGGTGTGTTGGAATACCCTGCCGTGTGAGGTATCAGTGTGCCCCTGCTGGGGGGTGCCTCCCAGTTAGGCTGCTCGGGGGTCAGGGGTCAGGGACCCACTAGAGGAGGCAGTCTGCCCATTCTCAGATCTCCAGCTGTGTGCTGGGAGAACCACTGTTCTCTTCAAAGCTGTCAGACAGGGACACTTAAGTCTGCAGAGGTTACTGCTGTCTTTTTGTTTGTCTGTGCCCTGCCCCCAGAGGTGGAGCCTACAGAGGCAGGCAGGCCTCCTTGAGCTGTGGTGGAACCAAGTTGGAAAACACTCTGCAGGATATTATCCAGGAGAACTTCCCCAATCGAGCAAGGCAGGCCAACGTTCAGATACAGGAAGTACAGAGAATGCCACAAAGATACTCCTCGAGAAGAGCAACTCCAAGACACATAATTGTCAGATTCACCAAAGTTGAAATGAAGGAAAAAATGTTAAGGGCAGCCAGAGAGAAAGGTCGGGTTACCCTCAAAGGGAAGCCCAACAGACTAACAGCGGATCTCTCGGCAGAAACCCTACAAGCCAGAAGAGAGTGGGGGCCAATATTCAACATTCTTAAAGACAAGAATTTTGAACCCAGAATTTCATATCCAGCCAAACAAAGCTTCATAAGTGAAGGAGAAATAAAATACTTTACAGACAAGCAAATGCTGAGACATTTTGTCACCACCAGGCCTGCCCTAAAAGAGCTCCTGAAGGAAGTGCTAAACATGGAAAGGAACAACCAGTACCAGCAGCTGCAAAACCATGCCAAAATGTAAAGACCATCAAGACTAGGAAGAAACTGCATCAACTAACGAGCAAAATCACCAGCTAACATCATAATGACAGGATCAAATTCACACATAACAATATTAACTTTAAATGTAAATGGACTAAATGCTCCAATTAAAAGACACAGACTGGCAAATTGGATAATGAGTCAAGACCCATCAGTGTGCTGTATTCAGGAAACCCATCTCACGTGCAGAGACACACATAGGCTCAAAATAAAAGGTTGGAGGAAGATCTACCAAGCAAATGGAAAACAAAAAAAGGCAGGGGTTGCAATCCTAGTCTCTGATAAAACAGACTTTAAACCAACAAAGATCAAAAGAGACAAAGAAGGCCATTACATAACGGTAAAGGGATCAATTCAACAAGAAGAGCTAACTATCCTAAATATATATGCACCCAATACAGGAGCACCAAGATTCATAAAGCAAGTCCTGAGTGACCTACAAAGAGACTTAGACTCCCACACATTAATAATGGGAGACTTTAACACCCCACTGTCAACATTAGACAGATCAACGAGACAGAAAGTCAACAAGGATACCCAGGAATTGAACTCAGCTCTGCACCAAGCGGACCTAATAGACATCTACAGAACTCTCCACCCCAAATCAACAGAATATACATTTTTTTCAGCACCACACCACACCTATTCCAAAATTGACCACATACTTGGAAGTAAAGCTCTCCTCAGCAAATGTAAAAGAACAGAAACTATAACAAACTATCTCTCAGACCACAGTGCAATCAAACTAGAACTCAGGATTAAGAATCTCACTCAAAACCGCTCAACTACATGGAAACTGAACAACCTGCTCCTGAATGACTACTGGGTACATAATGAAATGAAGGCAGAAATAAAGACGTTCTTTGAAACCAACGAGAACAAAGACACAACATACCAGAATCTCTGGGACGCATTCAAAGCAGTGTGTAGAGGGAAATTTATAGCACTAAATGCCCACAAGAGAAAGCAGGAAAGATCCAAAATTGACACCCTAACATCACAATTAAAAGAACTAGAAAAGCAAGAGCAAACACATTCCAAAGCTAGCAGAAGGCAAGAAATAACTAAAATCAGAGCAGAACTGAAGGAAATAGAGACACAAAAAACCCTTCAAAAAATTAACGAATCCAGGAGCTGGTTTTTTGAAAGGATCAACAAAATTGATAGACCGCTAGCAAGACTAATAAAGAAAAAGAGAGAGAAGAATCAAATAGACGCAATAAAAAATGATAAAGGGGATATCACCACCAATCCCACAGAAATACAAACTACCATCAGAGAATACTACAAACACCTCTACACAAATAAACTAGAAAATCTAGAAGAAATGGATAAATTCCTCGACCCATACACTCTCCCAAGACTAAACCAGGAAGAAGTTGAATCTCTGAATAGACCAATAACAGGATCTGAAATTGTGGCAATAATCAATAGCTTACCAACCAAAAAGAGTCCAGGACCAGATGGATTCACAGCCGAATTCTACCAGAGGTACAAGGAGGAACTGGTACCATTCCTTCTGAAACTATTCCAATCAATAGAAAAAGAGGGAATCCTCCCTAACTCATTTTATGAGGCCAGCATCATCCTGATACCAAAGCCAGGCAGAGACAGAACAAAAAAAGAGAATTTTAGACCAATATCCTTGATGAACATTGATGCAAAAATCCTCAATAAAATACTGGCAAACTGAATCCAGCAGCACATCAAAAAGCTTATCCACCATGATCAAGTGGGCTTCATCCCTGGGATGCAAGGCTGGTTCAATATACGCAAATCAATAAATGTAATCCAGCATATAAACAGAGCCAAAGACAAAAACCACATGATTATCTCAATAGATGCAGAAAAAGCCTTGGACAGAATTCAACAACCCTTCATGCTAAAAACTCTCAATAAATTAGGTATTGATGGGACGTCTCTCAAAATAATAAGAGCTATCTATAACAAACCCACAGCCAATATCATACTGAATGGGCAAAAACTGGAAGCATTCCCTTTGAAAACTGGCACAAGACAGGGATGGCCTCTCTCACCACTCCTATTCAACATAGTGTTGGAAGTTCTGCCCAGGGCAATTAGGCAGGAGAAGGAAATAAAGGGTATTCAATCAGGAAAAGAGGAAGTCAAATTGTCCCTGTTTGCAGACGACATGATTGTATACCTAGAAAACCCCATTGTCTCAGCCCAAAATCTCCTTAAGCTGATAAGCAACTTCAGCAAAGTCTCAGGATACAAAATCAATGTACAAAAATCACAAGCATTCTTATACACCAACAACAGACAAACAGAGAGCCAAATCATGAGTGAACTCCCATTCACAATTGCTTCAAAGAGAATAAAATACCTAGGAATCCAACTTACAAGGGATGTGAAGGACCTCTTCAAGGAGAACTACAAACCACTGCTCAAGGAAATAAAAGAGGATACAAACAAATGGAAGAACATTCCATGCTCATGGGTAGGAAGAATCAGTATCGTGAAAATGGCATACTGCCCAAGGTAATTTATAGATTCAATGCCATCCCCATCAAGCTACCAATGACTTTCTTCACAGAATTGGAAAAAACTACTTTAAAGTTCATATGGAACCAAAAAAGAGCCTGCATCGCCAAGTCAATCCTAAGCCAAAAGAACAAAGCTGGAGGCATCACACTACCTGACTTCAAACTATACTACAAGGCTACAGTAACCAAAACAGCATGGTACTGGTACCAAAACAGAGATATAGATCAATGGAACAGAACAGAGCCCTCAGAAATAACGCCACATATCTACAACTATCTGATCTTTGACAAACCTGAGAAAAACAAGCAATGGGGAAAGGATTCCCTATTTAATAAATGGTGCTGGGAAAACTGGCTAGCCATATGTAGAAAGCTGAAACTGGATCCCTTCCTTACACCTTATACAAAAATCAATTGAAGATGGATTAAAGACTTAAATGTTAGACCTAAAACCATAAAAACCCTAGAAGAAAACCTAGGCATTACCATTCAGGACATAGGCATGGGCAAGGACTTCATGTCCAAAACACCAAAAGCAATGGCAACCAAAGCCAAAATTGACAAATGGGATCTAATTAAACTAAAGAGCTTCTGCACAGCAAAAGAAACTACCATCAGAGTGAACAGGCAACCTACAAAATGGGAGAAAATTTTCACAACCTACTCATCTGACAAAGGGCTAATATCCACAACCTACAATGAACTCAAACAAATTTACAAGAAAAGAACAAACAACCCCATCAAAAAGTGGGCGAAGGACATGAACAGACACTTCTCAAAAGAAGACATTTATGCAGCCAAAAAACACATGAAAAAATGCTCATCATCACTGGCCATCAGAGAAATGCAAATCAAAACCACAATGAGATACCATCTCACACCAGTTAGAATGGCAATCATTAAAATGTCAGGAAACAACAGGTGCTGGAGAGGATGTGGAGAAACAGGAACACTTTTACACTGTTGGTGGGACTGTAAACTAGTTCAACCATTGTGGAAGTGAGTGTGGCGATTCCTCAGGGATCTAGAACTGGAAATACCATTTGACCCAGCCATCCCATTACTGGCTATATACCCAAAGGACTATAAATCATGCTGCTATAAAGACACATGCACACGTATGTTTATTGCGGCATTATTCACAATAGCAAAGACTTGGAACCAACCCAAATGTCCAACAATGATAGACTGGATTAAGAAAATGTGGCACATATACACCATGGAATACTATGCAGCCATAAAAAATGATGAGTTCATGTCCTTTGTAGGAACATGGATGAAATTGGAAAACATCATTCTCAGTAAACTGTCGCAAGAACGAAAAACCAAACACCGCATATTCTCACTCATAGGTGGGAATTGAACAATGACATCACATGGACACAAGAAGGGGAATATCACACTCTGGGGACTGTTTTGGGGTGGGGGGAGGGGGGAGGGATAGAATTGGGAGATATACCTAATGCTAGATGACGAGTTAGTGGGTGCAGTGCACCAGCATGGCACATGTATACATATGTAACTAACCTGCACAATGTGCACATGTACCCTAAAACTTAAAGTATAATTAAAAAAAAATAAAAATAAAAATAAAAAAAAGGAAAGAGAGAAGACTCAAATAGACACAATAAAAAATGATAAAGGGGATATCACCACTGATCCCACAGAAATACAAACTACCATCAGAGAATATTATAAGCACCTCTACTCAAATAAGCTAGAAAATCTAGAAGAAATGAATAAATTCCTGGACACATACACCCTCCCAAGTCTAAACCAGGAAGAAGCTGAATCCCTGAATAGACCAATAACAAGCTCTGAAGTTGAGGCAGTAATTAATGGCCTACCAACCAAAAAACGTCCAGGACCAGATGGATTCACAGCCCAATTTTACCACAGGTACAAAGAGAAGCTGCTACCATTCCTTCTGAAACCATTCCAAACAACAGAAAAAGAGGGACTTCCTCCCTACTCATTTTATGAGTTCAACCATTGTGGAAGACAGTATGGTGATTCCCCAAGGATCTAGAACTAGAAATATCATTTGACCCAGCATTCCCATTACTGGGTATATACCCAAAGGATTATAAATCATTCTTCTATAAAGACACACGCACACATATGTTTATTGTGGCACTGTTCACAATAGCAGACTTGGAACCAACCCAAACGCCCATCAGTGATAGATTGAATAAAGAAAATATGTTACATATACACCATGGAATACCATGCAGCCATAAAAAAGGATGAGTTCATCTCCTTTGCAGGAACATGAAGCTGGAAACCATCATTCTTAGCAAACTAACACAAGAACAGAAAACCAAACATCACATGTTCTCACTCATAAGTGGTAGTTGAACAATCAGAACACGTGGACACAGGGAGGGGATCATCACACACTGGGGCCTGTCGGGGGCTAGGGGAGGGATAGCATTAGGAGAAATACATAATGTAGATGATGGGTTGATGGGTGCAGCAAACCACCATGGCACATGTATACCTACGTAACAAAACTGCACGTTCTGCACATGTATCCCACAACTTAAAGTATAATAAAAAAAGTGTCACATAACTGAAACATCTATTTTCTATTAGCTGCATAACATTTCAGTTTATGAATATCTATGATTCTTTTAAATGAACCTATGTTATGTAGGTATTTCCAAAATGTGATTATAAGAAATAGCACTATGAATTTTTAATGTGTTTTTATGTATTTGTTTGATTACTTTTAATGTTAAGCTCTTAGTAATAGAATTCTTGGGTCAATAGGTTGGCAGATTTTGGAGGCTTTTGAAATATATTGCCAAACTATCTTTTTGAACAATGAATGGTGACTATTTCTCCTGATCCTTGCCAACAGTAGGTATCGTCATTCTTTTATACCTTTACTAAATTTCTAGGCAAAGAATACTAATTTATGTTTAAATTTTCATTTATTTCATTATTTATAAATAAACACAAATTCACTATATGTTGAACATTTGTATCTATTCTTAAGAACATCTTTTTCATATTCCATTGAGGTTGCACTGTTTTCCTATTGATCTGTAAATGTTGATTATCTATTAAGACAATCATCCTTTGTCATATTTGTTCTAAATATTTCTCCCTTTTAAAATCCTATTTATGGCATTTTTAAAAGCATAAAGAATTTTGTGTTAAAATGTCTTTTTTTCTCATAGCTTTATATTTAGAAAAAAAATTTAGATCTCAGTTTCATATAAACTTATTTTATTACCTTAAATGCTTTATTTTCTTGTCCCCTTGCCAGAAGCATAGGAAGTTTTTTTCCAGTCTTCACGGTAAGAACTTGTTGAAGCTCCTGGACATAAAACTCAGGAAAGTGTGGGGATTCCCCTAAGACTGAGGTCTCCAGAGTTTTTATCTTATATTTGAAGTTAGTACACACTGAAACTCCAGACATTTGTCAATAACAGCTGAAGGGTTCCTACCAGCTGCAGCTGTGGGCTTCTGCTTCTTTAGCTTCTACTCCAGTTAAGCTGTGATTCTCTGTATCTGCCTATCTGTCTCTCCAGTTTTCAGGACAGCAGTTTGCCCTGTAATCTCAATATTTCGATAGATCTAACAACTGTTGACTTTCAGGTTTTTCCTCTTTAGAGGATGGGACTGATTAGTTCCAAGTTCTTTACACGTTGGGATGAAAACTGGAAGTCTAATTTAGTTTTTAAATCACAAGAAACTTTGGAGGACTTTTAAAAATGAAACATACTAGTAAAGAGCTAGTAGTTTTCCCAAATAATTAGATAATTGTTGACAGCATTTATTATTTATTTTCCTCATTTTCCAATTTATAATGAGACATGAGGTGAGCTTTTAAGAGGGAGCTCAAAAATAATTTTGGACAGTTTTCTAAGGTATTATTGTAGCTGTACAAGCATAAGCAATATGGTTTCTTGAAAATTATTTATCTAATATGTCTTCTTACTACATAAGATGTAAGCAGTAAATGAGAGAGACAGGAGAGAACTGTCTATTGTTTTGGAGCATTTTAAGCAGGTCTTTTAAAATCTGAATGCATTGCTAATGAATATCTTTAAGTCAGTTGAATAGTATCCAAGTAATACCTCTTTGTTGTATTTTATCCTTCATTCCCTCTATCCCCTTCTGCAAGTTCAAAATATCATTTCTGAGTGAATATACACCTGTAATGAGCTGAATGGTGTTTTCTTAATTAGGCAGTTCTTTTTGTTGGCTGGAAACTAAAGCTCCAATTAGTACGGAGTCAAAGGAGCAAATTACCTGCGTAAGTTACTGTCACAGCAGCATCAGCTTATGTCTTTTCATGAAGGTCTTTGGAAAAGAAAGTCTTTGGCTTAGCATCAGTCTGTCAAAATTTTATTTCCTAGTATCTAAAGTGAAAATTTGATATTTATAAAGCTTTTGGAACTGTAAATAAGAAGGAGTGGAAGTTATTTTTAATATAAAGAGCCACCAATATACAAGATACAAGGAGGAGAAAACAAGGTCTAAAAAATACAATAACACATGTGTAAGTTATGTTCTTTCAAATTGCTGATTTTGATTCCTCGGTCTTCACATCCCCAAACTTTAACATGGTACCAGGAAAAGAAAATCTTTATGCACGTATATATTCAACCAGTAAACACTTATTATACATTCAGCACTTTATCAGGCTCAGAGGACAGAGGATGAATTCAGATCCTTTACTCTCAAGGCATGTAGAAGTAGTCAGGGTTATTCTCCAGAGAAACAGAACCACCAGAATTTATTTATTTGTTTGTTTATTTATTTATTTATTTATTATGAGAATTGGCACACACAATTATGGAAGCTGAGAAGTTCCATGATCTGCCCTATGCAAGCTGGAAAGCCAGGAAAACTAGTGTCGTAATTCAGTCCAAGTCTGAATGCTTGAGAATCAGGAAGGAGCCCAAATATCCCAGAGTAGGAGAAAATGGGTGTCCTAGCTCAAACAGAGAGAGCAAATTCTCCATTCCTCCAATTTTTTCTTTTATTTGAGTTTCAGGTAATTGGATGATGCCCATCCACAGTGGTGAGGGCAATCTTCTTTATATCATCTATTGATTCAAATACTAATCTCTTCTGGAATTACCCTCAGGAACAAACCTAGAAATAGTATTTTACTGGCTATCTGATCATCCCTTATCACAGTCAAGTTGACCCACAAAATTATCCATCACAAGGGATTTATAACTAATGGATGAAACAGGTATTAAAAAAAGTGCAATAAAGGGTTAAAGAGGAGTTTATAGTGGTACATTTAACTTCCTGTTTTAGCAATGGAGCCCATTGCTGCAGGCTTATATATAAACTCATGTGTGGTAAGTCTGTGGGCCTATGACCAGGAATAAATTCCATACCTTTATCAATCATTCACATCCATTACTGGAAAAATGATATAAGCTCAGTTGTAGAGGTGAGGTTTTACATTAAGTATAAACAAGGTAATGGTAAAATTTACTCCTGGGATAAGGAAACTCTTCATAGAGAAAGCGATGTTTGAGCTAATTTTGGAAGCAAAGTAGGTGTTGATTAGATAATGAAGGAGAGTAGGTGGGACTTACATTTCAGGCGGAATAAATAATGCTGAAAAAGTTGCATAAATGTGAAAAATATTGAAGTGTTGAAAACAAAACAAAACAAAAACTGTAAGCTATACCACGCAATTGGAGCATAGAGTTTAAATGTAGATTTGAAAATATGTACCTAGCAATTAGATATACAGCATGTAAATTTTGAAAGAGGTCTTGGCAGGAGATGTGGATTTGAGAATCATTGAATTGGAGCTACAGGAATGATTGAAATTGCTTTAGGAATAGGGTGAAGAGCTGGGTGTCAAATGTGGAGATCATTTGCCAAGTCAGCATGCAGTTATTGGTTGCCAACATTAAAATTTCAAGAGATTTCACATAAGAAATACTGATATCCGGCTTCTCTTGAAAAGGGTCTCCATTTCAGGTCTACATCCCAGGATGGAAATAATTGGCTGGCACTGAATAAAGGTTTGTTCCCTTTTGTTAGGACTCGGAGCCCTTTCTAATTGTCCCAGTCTCTGCTGTCACAGTCCCTGAAGACTTGCTTACTTCACATGTTTTTGTACTCGCCTGCTTTGAGGTTTCGACTTCTTGTAAAGCCTTGAAAACATAAATGTCCATGATGTCATTGTAGAAAGAAGAGCCAGCAAAAGAGACTGAGAAGGAAATGGGGACAGGAGGGTTGATTTGGTTGTAGCATCAAATGGTTCTGGATAGCAAGAGATGATCAATGTGGGAAAAGGAATGGAAAAGCTTATGGAACAATGCCAAAGCCAGTCTGCCCCATTTAAAAATGCTTGCAAGGATTCTCAAGTTTGGTAGCTTAGAATTACATAGGTTGTGTGATTTAATTCAACTATTTTGAAAATGATATTTCTTAGGATAATTAAAATTTTGTGATGCAGTAAAATATATTTATCTTTTTTTAATTTTATGGCTTACTCATATCTTATTAAATTATTGGGATGGTTTTATAATTTTAAGTGAAGTGTGAAAAAATTAAGGCAAGCACTTTAAAAATATCATACAGTTTAATATATGAATAGGAGGATAAGTATAGGATATAAAAATTATTCCAGTTTCTACAATGGACCTAAATCAAGTCTTAATATAATTTAGAACCCCAGAATCCTGAACACTTGATTTTCCTTTGTCATTTGTATTTGATATTTCTAATAAATGTTTTTATTTTAGAACAGTTTTAGGTTTAACAGAAAAGTTGCAAAGATAATCCCCAGAGTTTCCATTTACCCCACACCTAATTTCTCTTATTAACTCCTCACATTACTATAATACATTTGTTATAAGTAATAAACTGATATTGGTAAACTGTTACTGATGCAAGTCCTTAATATTTATAGTTTTATTTATATTATCTATTTCTCCTGTGAGAGCTGGCTGTTTGTGCCTTTCAAGAAGTTGGTCCATTTCATGTAAGTTATCAAATATATGGAAAAATATATTCAAAGTATTTATTTATTATCATTTTAATGTCCTTGTGTATTAGACCGTTTTCACACTGCTGATAAAGACATACCTGAGAATGGGCAATTTACAAAAAAAAAAAAAAAGGTTTAATTGGACTTACAGTTCCACGTGGCTAGGGAAGCCTCAAAATCATGTGGAAGGCAAGGAGGAGCAAGTCACATCTTAAGTGGATGGCAGCAGGCAAAGAGAGAGGTTGAGCAGGGAAACCCCTCCTTATGATACCATCAGATCTCATGACACTTATTCATGAGAATAATTATTCTCACTATCATGAGAACAGCACGGGAAAGACCAGCCCCCATGATTCAATTACCTCCCACTGGGTCCTTCCCACAATACGTAGAAATTCAAGATGAGATTTGGGCAGCCAAACTATATCATTCTGCCCCAGCCCCTCCCAAATCTCATGTCCTCACATTTCAAAACCAGTCATGCCTTTCCAACAGTCCCCCAAAGTCTTAACTCATTTCAGCATTAACGCAAGAGTCCACAGTCCAACATCTCATCTGGGACAAGGCAAGTCCCTTGTCTGCCTATAAGACTGTAAAACCAAAAGCAAGTTAGTTACTTCCTAGATACTTGTTAGTTACTTCTAGTTACTTCCTAGATATTTCCTAGTTACTTCCTAGATACAATTTAATTGGCTCATGCTTCCACAGGCTATACAGAAGCATAGTACCAGCATCTGCTTGGCTTCTGCGGAGGGTACAGGCATTGTGTAAATACAGCCATTCAAAATGGGAGAAATTGGCCTAAATAAAGGGGCTACAGGCCCCATGCAAATCTGAAATCCAGCGGGGCAGTCAAATCTTAAAGCTCCAAAATGATCTCCTTTGACTCCATGTCTCACATCCAGATCGCGCTGATGCAATAGGTGGTTCCTGTGGTCTTGGGCAGCTCCTCCCCTGTGGCTTTGCAGGGTACGGCCTCCCTCCTGACTGGTTTCATGGGGGTGGCAATGAGTGTCTGCAACTTTTCCAGGGGCACGGTGCAAGCTGTAGGTGGATTTATCATTCTGGGGTGTGGAGGATGGTGGTCCTCTTCTCACAGCTCCACCAGGTGCTGCCCCAGTAGCTACTCTGTGTGGGGGCTCTGACCCCATATTTCCCTTCCACACTGCCCTACCAGAGGTTCTCCATGAGAGGTCTGCCCCTGCAGCAAACTTCTGCCTGGACATCCAGGCATTTCCATATGTCCTCTAAAATCTAGGCAGAGGTTCCCAACCCTCAATTCTTGACTTCTGTGCACTTGCAGGCTCAACACCATGTGGAAGCTGCCAAGGCTTGGGGCTTGCACCCTCTGAAGCCACAGCTCAAGCTGTACGTTGGCCCCTTTCACGCACAGCTGGAGTGGTTGTGATACAGGGCACCAAGTTCCTAGACTGCACACAGCATGTGGACCCTGGGCCCAGCCCATGAAACCATTTTCTCCCAGACCTCTGGGCTTGTGATGGGAGGGGCTGCCTTGAAGAACTCCGACATTCTCTGGAGACATTTTCCCCATTGTCTTGGGGATTAACATTTGGCTCTTCCTTACTTATGCAAATTTCTGCAGCCAGCTTAAATTTCTCCTAAGAAAATGTATTTTTCTTTTCTATTGTATTGTCAGGCTGCAAATTTTCTGAACTTTAATTCTCTGCTTCCCTTACAAAAATTAATGCCTGCAACAGTACCTAAGTCACTTCTTGAGTGCTTTGCTGCATAGAAATTTCTTCCACCAGATATCCTAAATTATCTCTCTCAAGTTCGAAGTTCCACAAATCTCTAGGGCAGGGGCAATACGCCACCAGTCTCTTTGCTAAAGTGTAACAAGAATCACGTTTGCTCCAGTGCCCAACAAGTTCCCCATCTCCATCTGAGACCACCTCAGCCTAGACCTTATTGTCCATATTGCTATCAAGGTTTTGGTCAAAGCCATTCAACAAGTTTCTAGGAAGTTCCAAACTTTCCCACATTTTCTTGTCTTCTTCTGAGTTCTCCAAACTACTACCAGAGAAACAAAGACCATCCTCCAAAGAGAGCTTTTTTAAAGCCTCTGTAAACTCTCCTCTACTTTTCTCAATAAAATTGAATCCCTGACAGCTTGTGCTTAGTCTTTCTCAACCTGACAGGAGGGTTTCCAGGTAACATAGATTATGATTATTTCTTTAGCATTTCAACATCAAATTTCTTTTAAAACTTCCCACCATTTATCCTTATCTAATAATCTTCTAGCTGATTGAGCAGCCCAAATCATGTTTTCCCATGGCTCTCATACACCCCATATATTGTTACAATGAGGGGGTAAAATTTGCAATCCAAAGTGAGTCTCACTTTCAAGAAATGTAATTTTCCCTGGGGTTTTCTGAGGTCTGCCATGAGTGGACTCTCAGCTGTATATCATCTCTTCATTTCTTCACAATGGCTTTTGTCTAGTCTCAACACTTCCATGCATTTGTAATTTATAGATAAAATATGTCTGTAGATGCATATAGTTGGGTCTGTTTTTTATCCAGTATGATATTCTGTCTTTTAATTGGTTCTTTCAGTTATTCACACAAATTAATGTCTAACATGTTTGTTAATCACTTTCTATTTATTGTATTTGTTCTTAATTTCTCTCTTTCTTTGCTTTTTCTGATTTAGTTAAGCAATTACAAATTACGGGAAATACATTCTAGTTTTCATTTTGACTGATTTTTAAGAACAGACTACTGATGGCAAGAAAGAAATGTCTGTAATCGCAATTGCTTAAATGCCATGCTGCATAGGTGAAATTTTAATTATGTGGTAATAAAGCATGATAAGTCTGCAAGATAAGCACTATGGTAAATATAGAAAAAAATATGAGCAGAACACCTATCCTTGAGGGAAAAAATGTAGATAATCTAGAATTGATCCTATGTATTTATTGTCTGTAGTATTAAAATTATTAGGTATCTTCTTTTCTTCCACAACAGATGCCACTTGTAGGAAATGTATTATCTATCGGGAATTATAATAACTGTTAGCATTTACTGCATACTTGCTATGGGTAGGTACTCTAATAATAACTTCAATACAAATGTTTTAAGTAAGGCGGTCATTCAATATTCTATAAATAAAATATAGAATAAATACATGATGATAATGGATTGAGGGGAAAAGATGTTCCATTTTATAAGTGTATTAAATGTTGTATCCATTGAGGACACTGATAATATTGATCCTGTTTCCTTTCTACCTAACACAGCGTTTGAATCACAAGTATCTTCTGAATGAATTGGAATTTTACATTTTCAGGGAAGAATTTAAAGGATTTAACTGTAAAAATAGAAAGTTATTCTCACGTAAATATTTTTAAAATGTGATCCTTGATGTGAAATCTATGTGTGTATCTCTCTTACATATATCTTTCTTAACAATTAAAGATGAGGAAAAGGAATAAGAATAGATCTTAAGGAAATATTCAATTAAGGATTCTAAAATTATAATAGAAACTTAAATGAAGCTTTTTTCATTTGCTTACTTCCAGACAGTGAATGTCTTAAGCATGCCAAAGGAAAACATATTGAAGAGTATGCTGGACTAAATGGTGATTAAACTCTCCAAAATTTTGCTGTTCAAATGGTGCCATTCTTTGTTCTCAATCATGCATAAGTGTACAAAGGTACCACTTTTTTTCTTCTTCATAGTCCAATATACTTTATTTCCATTATCCATCCTTTCACCTGCAGTCTTTGTATATTGGCAGCTTTCAGGAGTTGTAATATAATTCCTCATCCTTATTCTTAATGTCTTCTGGCATCTGCCATATTGGATTTCATGAGAAAAGAAGAAATGTTTCCTTGAACAGTTTAAAAATCTATCCTAAATATATTGTTGTGTATTTTCTTTCACTTTTTTCTCTATTTTTTTTTTCTGCCACAGCTGTAGATTCATCCATATGGTACCTTCTCAAGAATGCAGCCAATTTTCTTGTATCATTATCTAATTCAGAAGTGTTGTGACTTTTGTTATTTTGAAGCTCTTATACTTCTGAAATCATGTGTTTGGGGACTCTGTTTTTGCAATTTCTGTTTTTCATCTCTTTAAAGAAAGCATTGTTTCTAGTTATATAATGAGCCTGAAAACAAGAAAGTATAATTGGATTTGACCAAAAGAGATACAAAAAAAGAATCATTGCTGCCTCCTCTAACTGGCTGAATAATACACATATTTCAGAAATCACTCTGAAATACTTCTAAACCTAAACTGAGTAATTGACTCATACTATCCTCTGACCTAATTTCTTCTATAAAGTGGAAGGCACATGGCCGTAGATAGACATGAGTTCAATTCAAACTCCACATCTTAAATTTTACATTTCAAAGGAAGTGATCAACCACATATAAATGTTGCAAAGACTTAGCCTAAAACAGCTTAGCAACTTTTAAACAGTACAGTTACATCAAGACTATAGAAGCACTGTAATGTTGTAGATTGGGTAGGGTGGAGGGGTTATGTATGGGGGATTCTTATGAGGGTAATTTTGGATAAGGTTACCAATATGCTCTTAATACCTCTTCCTCATGCCAATCCCATCACAGACACACACACACACACACACACACACACACACACACACACACACACAGAGAGAGAGAGAGAGAGAAAGATTGAGTTGATACCGATTTTTCACCTTAAGCCTAGTGAGAGATTATTCAACAGGACCATTCAGAGGTTTGATATGTGTCCCAAGTGTGTTTATAAGGTACACTAAATTGGTATCTTGCTTCTGCCTAGGAAATCTTTCAGCATAAAGAATGAGCTAGCTAGGAACTTTGATGGCAATGTAAAGGAGAGCTGCTGATGCACTAGGATTCAGTTTGAAAAATCTAGGGTTAACAGAGCTAATAATGAGTTAAATGACTGGCTTTCTTAGGGCTGAAGGAACAGGCAACCTCCAGAATAGAGTACTACCTTGAAGGAGTTCAAAGCTATAGCTACACAGTGGGAAAAGTGAACAAAAGGGATAAAGCAGACCATAGTCCTTTTCTGAGGCAACTGGTTCTAGCCAGAGGATGCAGAAATAAGTTTTACCTTCCATCAGATTGGAAGCTTTGATGATTATATGGGAGTAGGCAGTTTTAATTAATAAATGAAACTGTCTTTGAAGCAAATTCACCTGGACTGTCTACTACTTACCAGTGTCCAAATAATCTTGTTGCTGTCCAGGGGCAATGGAAGAACTGCATCCACTGAGATGGTTTAAAGGGACAATAAGAAATAGAAATAAAATTGCTCTTATTTTTAAACTCCATAAGTCTTGCTTTATTAATTCTATTATGTTTATGGCCTTGAGCAAGTTATGGAAACTCTCAATGCCTCATCTGTAAAGTTAACTATTAAAACTTTATAATATTGCTACAAAGGTTCAAATGTTTTTTTAAAAGTTTCAAGAATTATTTAAATTATGTAACACTGTGTCTAATTGATAATAACAAATAAATAGTATCTACTGTATTTTTCCTAGCTTACTTGGGCATTTCACCTATGATGAAGATACATTTTGCCATATTCACTGGACTTGAATAGAGGTACTGCCTTCACACTGCTTGACAACAAATATTGAGTATTTGCTTTTCACAAGGCATTACTAGGTAATTTTTCATATTTTTTCATCTAGCACCCAAAAAAGGCCATATAAAATTACTGGCATTTGTACCATGATATTTAATGCATTTTGAGAGTTAGAGATGTTAAAAAAAACTTGCTCAAATCACAGAGCTAGTAAGAAGCAAAGCCATAATTCTAATCCTCTTCTCCATACTACATGACCAAGACATCTTTCTAGTATCTCCAAGCTATTAATAATCATTTTAATAGATGTTCTCTCAAAGTGTCTAACAAAGGACAGAAGAAAGATGCAACTGTTTTCTGAAAAGATATAGCATGAAATAATTTTATTTCATGTGTTATAAGCACCCTTATGCCTGTAGACATACTTTTCTTTTTCAATAAGTATGTCAGCATTCTGAGTCTCCAGCCCCATATGTACAGAACTCTGAGTGACCAAAAAAATATATGAGGTTTCTGCTCTTAAGGGATTTAGACCCTTCTTAGGAAAATAAGATCAGATATAACTGGATAAAATCAGCTGTACTCAAATGTGGCAGAAACAGTGAGTGAGTGATAAGGAAGGAAAATGCAAACAAGTACTTGTCTGAGGTAGAGTTTTAGCAAGAAAGAAAAGTAGAAGAAGGTGAGTTTGAGGTGGGCCTGAGAGAATGAGAGGGCTTCAGAGAGCCTGATCAAAAGCAGCAGGCTCTTACAGAGGAGAGGAAGAGCAAAAGTATAAGACACATTCCGGGTTCAGGTTTGTGATGGGTCTGAGTTTTTCATTCTGAATCTATTTAGATGGAAATCCAATATGGTTTTACATATAAAAAGTATCCATTCTTAGAATTATTGAGATAATAGAATTATACATGACATCATAAAAAAGTATAAACGCTTGGCTGAATAAAGCTGAGTTATGTTTTTATTAAAAAAAAAAAACAGAAAAAACTGTACTGACTGTACTGATGCAGCACCCAATCATGTTTGGGCTATAACCTAAGATAAGATAACAAGTTGAGAGTATTTATTCTACTAAAAAAAAATAAATTTTATGTTAAAGTGTATGTAGAGTCAAATAATTAGAATATTGAGAATAATGCTGCCCATATATTTTTAAATTCACATTTATCTGTAACTAATAAGAATTTTCAAACATAACATTTTTAAATAAAGCATTTCATTAGTTTTATGCACATTTGTTTTAAGTAAAAGCCACAATTTAAAAATATACAACATCTTCAAGCCTGACTTTTAACAGCACCTAAATTCTTAGGGCCAGTGTGTAAACAGGTAAGGGGAATGTTTCTCAAATTTTTAAACAAATCAGAATGGCAGAGAGAAAGAAGATGAAACAGGGACAAAGGAAAAGAGATATTGTAACTGGTAGTAAAACACATGAAGCACACAGTAAGCTCTGTTGAATTGTCAGAAATTTTTCAATGGTTTCAACTGCAAATTATCTTCTATATTCCATAAAACAGTGCATTAGAATATTAAAGCTAGCATTTTATTTGTGTTTATGATCATGTCCCTGCTCCACACAGAATGACACCTACACATACAATCTTATGAATGTGCAAATAACTTAGTAGATTAAATCTCTAAACTTGTACTTTAAACCTCTAATTCCTAACTCTTTTTCATTGACGAGATATCAGTAGCATCAAAATTTGGTGTTGGACAAAAAAAAAAAAAAGGACCTGAAAAGACCTGACTTTGAACTTTTCTTGACCTTGCATGAAGGGCTTCATTCAATTCCCCATCACATTCCTGGACCAAACTGAGGGTTGGGCTGCTTATTCTCATGGCCCAATAACAAGATGCAGACAAACTGGGAAAGAAGAGAATTCAGTTCTGTAATTAGGTACAGGGAGAAGGCTGGGAAAATATCACCAGACCAACACAAAATTACAAAGTTTTCCAGAAATTATATACCTTCTAAGCTATACGTCTATGTGTAAGTGTGCATTCATCTAAAGACATAAGTTATTAACTTCTTCTCATCTATAGCTAAGGTCTGAGTCCTGAAGACCTTCCTCTGGAGCCTCAGTAAATGATATGGTTTGGCTGTGTCCCCATCAAAATCTCAACTTGAATTGTATATCCCAGAATTCCCACATGTTGTGGGAGGGACCCGGGCGAGGTAATTGAATCATGGGGCCAGTCTTTCTCATGCTATTCTCACGATAGTTAATAAGTCTCACCAGATCTGATGGGTTTATCAGAGGTTTCCGCTTTTGCTTCTTCCTCATTTTCTCTTGCCGTCACCATGTAAGAAGTGCCTTTCACCTCCCATCATGATTCTGAGACCTCCCCAGCCATGTGGAAATGTAAGTCTAATTAAAACTCTTTTTCTTCCCGGTCTCAGGCATGTCTTTATCAGAAGTACCAAAACAGACTAATACAGTACATTTACTTAATCTAGATGGGTTCAGGTACTGGGGGTGATTACCCTTATCTTGTCTCCTGCTAAGTCATGAAGGTTTGGGGAGTTTCTTTAGAGCCCCAGTAAAACTTGTTTGCGGAGGTCTGGGGAATTTCTTCAGACCACCAATAAAACTTGTTTAATCCTAAATGGGTCCTGTTAAGAATTTATTCATTTTCTTGTCAGGCTTCAACACTCAGGAAAGGCCTAGGCAAGACTATTCATCAGCATTTGTTACATTCCAGATTTTGCATAAGGGCATTGGTTCCTTCAGCTTTTTAATATTTAACCTAACTACTCAGTCAGTGCTGAAACAGTTGTGATGGAGGCCTGCCTGTTCAGCTGTTAGTGAGACCTGGCCTGCCACAATCATGCTTCATTGAAGAACAAATTTTTAAAAATAAAGCAAACAAAATAATAACAATAACATGTGATAACAAATGGCATGACTTGTTTACTGAGTATGGGATGTATATGTTGCTAAACAAGCCTGGATTTGGAAGCCGGTTCCACCACTTAATTAGCTATTTGTCCCAGGAGAGTGATTATCAAACCTGGGTACACACCAGTCTCTTGGGAATTTTGTTAAAATGCAGCTTCTAACCCAGCAGGTTTGGGGGTGTCTAAGATTCTACATTTCTAACAAGCTCCCAATGATACTTACACTGCTAGAACAAGGACCACACACCTAGTTGCAAGGTTCTATAGCAAGCCACATAAGATTGCCAAGGCTCACATTCTACTCTGTACAGAAGATATTATCTCCTTTGAGGATTCCTGCAAATATGTAAATGTGGTGATTAGCACCATTGGCTGGGGTGCAGTAGATCTTCCATAAATGCCTTTGGTGCAACAGGTAACTTACAGACATCTTTCTACCATCTTTAATATGGTTTTCCTTGGGGAAAGTTTGCTTAAATCTAAATTTTCCTTTGAGGGGTAGTCTGACAGTTAAGTTAACAATTCCTGTAAAATATTCAAAGTAACTGTGATTAGGGTATTGCAAATTCCTTGCCAGTTTTAAAGGGTTAATTAACAATGATAACTTCAAGCATTATTAAAGCCCTCACCTTGAGCTATTAACGAAATAACCTTGAGGTAACCAGCTATCACCTAGACAAAATGCCTTATAAGGCTTGAAATAATGACACCACATTGTATCACCACCAAATCTGCATTTCAAAACCAGCAAAACACAGCTGTCTGTCAGCCTGTCCAAAATCATTCAGCTCCAACCTAAATGTGTTTTTATGCTTTTCACCACAAATTTTAACAGTGACAAATGGAGAGACGGCTTCTTTAACCCAATGAAACTCTCACCACCTCTGAGAGAGTCCCTCTCTCTCATTTTAAATGTTTCCTAAAACAAGATGTACAATGTCTGTGTCACAGAGGATGTCACAGCTCATTAGTCATCTAATCCTGCACCTCTGAGAAGCCTGGTACCCACATGGGAAGAGAACAGTTCCCTAAGGTGGTGACTTCCAACGCTTTGAAAGGACGTCTTACTGTCTAACTCTACTTAAGGTATTTTCAGCTTTTCCATTTCAAAGTACATCTTTAACTACTATATTAATAATCATGAAGCCATGTCTCCCTTGAGAAATGAACAAATACACGTTTTGTCATGAGTCTGAATTCATTGGTTCTCCTTTAATATTAATGCCTCTAAATTTGTTTATTGAGTGTCATTTTAGCATACTTATTTTAAAAACTAAAGAAAGGATATTAACAATATAATTCATGTATGAAATGTTTAATATTTAACACTACCTCCTAGCTGCTCACAATCTAATATATTAATACAGACGCATCAATATGCTAAAGGAAATGCCTCACGATGTTAGAAAATGTTATGGACCCAAAGGAGCCATGTCTAGTTAATTACTAAAGAGTAATCTCCATCTGGTAGATTCTGTCTTCCCTGGCTTATTCTCTGATAGGTCTCCGGATGATCTCTGAAACAGTCTCCTTAAGCACGCAAAGGTTCCAGAGGTTATTAGTAGTAATTGTGTTGCATAACGGAGGGAATTCTGTTTAGCGCAATGGAAGCAGCAATGCCATTATTAGTTGATTAGCATGAACAATCTTTGACAATATGTAGCACCAACTATGACTCCAACTGGCAGCAGCTCATTATTCTGACTGCTATTTGATTTGCAGTATTATCAACTACAAAGTGAGCAACATGGACGAGGAAGAAAAGCAGTAATTGAAGGATATTTTTATGAGCACGGGCCAGCGGGAGACATGAAGTTTCATTGTTTAGGAGAATGAATCTGCCTTAAACAATTGAGATTTGGGGGTTATATTTAGAGGCTAGAATTCTATTAAAATAATGCATAAAACTTGCTATCATTCATCCTACCTTTAGGATACATATCACAGGATATATTTTTTGGTCCAATTAAGTAGAAAGCAGGAAAAGCATTATTGTAGGTTTATAGTATTTATCAAGGGACAATTTTTATAGCAAACAAGATGAGAACACAAGAAAAAGGGAACACTATGAAAAGGAGTCATTGCTAAAAGGATTTTGAAAATTAAGTAACACAGGAGTTGCTAAGAGAGAAAATATATTTTCTAGGTAGACAAATGCTACATTCTTGGAATAATCTAAACAGAAACATCTTAAGTTTATAAGGCAAATATTTTCAGATGAATTACAATGCTGATATCACCAATAACAAGAGGGCTTTGTTTTGGTTTGGTTTTGAGGCTTTTTGGTTGCTCCAAATGATATCTTATGATGCTTATGTGGACAAAAAGAGTCAAACTCTTTAAAATATTTTAAGAGATTTATTCTGAGCCAAATATGTGAGACCATGGCCCATGACACAGCCTTTAGGAGGTCCTGAGAGCATGTGCCCCAGGTGGTTGGGATGCAGCTTGGTTTTATACATATTTTAGGGAAGCATGGCCCATCAATCAAATACATTTAAGAAATACATTGGTTTGGTTCAGAAAGGTGGGACAACTCAAAGCAGGGGCTTCCAGGCTATAGGTAAATTTAAACATTTTCCGGTTGACAATTGGTTGAGTTTATCTGAAGACCTGGGATCAATGAAAAGGAACTTTCAGGTTAAGATAAAGGATTGTGGAGACCAAGTTTTATTGCACAGAGGAATCTCTCAGATAGCAGACTTCAGAGAGAGACAGCAGGTTGTAAAATGTTTCTTATCAGATCTAAAAGGGTGCCTGGCTCTTAGTTGATTATCTCCTGGATCCGGAAAGAAAGGAAGGAAAACAAAGGGGAAAGGGGATTCTTTATAGGATGGGGATTCTAGTCCTATAGAGACTTTGCAGGGAAATATCAAGGTATGGCAAGGAAATATATTTTGGGGTTAAATATTTTTTCCTTGTCTTGTAATGTGATGCCAGAGTCGGATTGAAAAGTCAGTCACAATGTATAGGGTCAAACAAAACCCGTCTGATGAGAATGTATGGTTTGTAGGGCATGACTCCCTAGACCCCTTAAGTAGGAATTTAGGCAAGATAAAAAATCAGAGTTTAGCCCTTAGTCCCGCTTCTTGGTCAAAAAGCATTCCACAGAATACATATGCAGGCCAAGAAAACAGCAACAGGTCCCATGGCACTAGGAAAGCTTATTCCTAGAGTTGTCTGATTTGGCCATCTGGCAGTGTCCCATGGAGCTAGGAAGGCTTATTTCTAGAGTCCTCTGATTTGATGGCCTTAGTTTTAAAAATTAGTGATTTGCATAACCAGGGGGGGACATGGTCTGACCTGATGTAATAGCCAATTGTTTAAGGTGTGAGATGGAGTCAGGCCTAAGGTTAAGTCTTAAAAAAAAAAAAAAAAAAAAAAAAAAAATTCCGGATCACATCTATTTTCAGAGCTATCATGACCAGGGTCTTTAACTGTGCCTTTACCTGCTGCTGTCTCTGGCATAACATTTACGAGGAATGTCTACGGTTAATATAGTAACAAATATCATAAAGATAGTGAAGATTTGAGCATCCAAGATTACAGGTAGCATCTGACGGCAGTAAACAACCCAATTAGCCAGAAAAAAACCCTGAATGCAACATCATATTCTTTGATCAACATACAATATGTTTACCCTCCTTATTAAGGGTTATTTGAACCCTATAATAAATCTTTTTTGAAAATTGTGTGACCAACATTAAATTAGAATTTACTAAATTTAATCTCTCTTTCAACCAATTTATTTCCATAGGTATAGCCTCTTGAGAAGGGTATAAATTAAATGCAAGAAACACCTGGTCCTCAGTGTTTAAATTATTATAGACTTGTTAACAGTAGACAAATCTATTTTTCCCACCACTTTTGTATTGCACCATATACTAGTATTTGGGAGAGAAGAGCTTTTGTCACAGGAGAAGTCATAATTCTACAGTGTCATTTTTTCCCTTGGCAGGACTCCCTGTGGCTGAGGGTCTTAAGAATCAAAAGACTTATAGCCAATTAATTATTTTAGGATATACAGAAATGGATGTGAACAAGCATTTATTACTTCTTACGATTATTTAAGAAAAAAAAAAAGCTGACAATAAAACCAAAAGGTAAAGTTACAACACTGACTTATTTTTAACTTTTATGTGTTAAGCTACTGTAAGCTTGGTTTCTGTTACAGACTTATAGCAATTAGCTATACAAAACATAAGCATTGTTCTGAAAAGTAATTGAAAATATGCATAAATGTATAGATATATTTATCTTGGCAACCTATAATTGGGAGTATTACACCCAGGAGGTTTGCTACAAGGTATTTTATCCTGTTAGTAAGTATTTTCCTTTAATTTTATAGTAAGCAGAAAACTTTTGTGGTTGGGTGTTGCAGGAAGTCAGGGACCCCGAACGGAGGGACCTGCTGAAGCCGTGGCAGAAGAACATAAATTGTGAAGATTTCATGGACATTTATTAGTTCCTCAAATTAATACTTTTATAATTTCTTATGCCTGTCTTTACTGCAATCTCTGAACATAAATTGTGAAGATTTCATGGACATTTATCACTTCCCCAATCAATACTCTTATAATTTCCTATGCCTGTCTTTAATCTCTTAATCCCGTCATCTTCGTAAACCGAGGATGTATGTCACCTCAGGACCCTGTGATGATTGTATTATCTGCACAAATTGTTTGTAAAGCATGTGTGTTTGAACAATATGAAATTTGGGCACCCTGAAAAAGAACAGGATAATACCAATGTTCAGGGAACAGGGGAGATAACCATAAGGTCTGACTGCCTGCGGGGCCAGGTGGAACAGAGTCATATTTCTCTTCTTACAGAAAGTGAATAGGAGAAATATCACTGAATTATTTTTCTCAGCAAGGAATAGCCCTGAGAAAAGAATGCATTCCCAGGGGGAGGTCTCTAAAATGGCCGCTCTGGGAGTGTCTGTCTTATGCAGTTGAAGATAAGGGATTAAATACGCCCTGGTCTCTTGCAGCGCCCTCAGGCTTGCTAGGATTAGGAAATGCCACCCTGGCGAATTCTAGTCAGACCAGTTCTCTGCTCTTGAACGCTGTTCCCTGTTAAGATGTTTATCAATGACAATGCGTGCACAGCGGGACATGGAACATCATCAGTAATTCTAATTTCGCCCTGGCCTTGTGACCTTGCCCTGCCCTTCCATCCTTGTGATCTTTTATTGCCCCTAAAGCATGTGATCTCTGTGACCCACTGCCTATTCATACGCACCTCCCCTTTTGAAATCCCTAATAAAAACTTGCTGGTTTTGCGGCTCAGGTGGGCATCATGGAACCTGCCGACATGTGATGTCACCCCTGGAGGCCCAGCTGTAAAATTTCTCTCTTTCGCACTCTTTCTCTTTATTTCGCAGACTGGCTGACACTTAGGGAAAATAGAAAAGAACCTATGTTGAAATACTGGGGGCTGGTTCCCCTAATAGTTGGGGTGTATGCAAAAATGATACATAATGGTTTAGAAGGCAACTAAATGTGTTTTACCAGCTGTTTAGGCATTTTATGCACCCCCTTCTTGATGTGGAGGGTTTGATCTTGTCCTAATTTTATCCCTCACAACTGGTCCTTACAATCTTATGCATCTACCGTTTCTGCAATAAGTCCCTGGGCCTAGAGGGAGGCAGCTTGCGTAGTTTTAGCAGCTGAGCATTAGCAGTGAAACAGATCCAGGGCTAGCAGGATGCCAAATGAGGGAGAGTCCTATCTTTGGTCTTTAGAATACCATGATTTTGGTTTCATTGGAAGTGAAACAAGGAGAGATAAATAACATTTATAGTTTGACAGTTATGAGTGTAATTCATATGTTAGAACAGAAAAAGGAACCTATTCCATGAGGGCACCAACTAAATATATGAAAAAATTATAATCTGGTACTTCCTAGAGGATTACTGTAGCCAAGAAATAATGATTTAATCTTCACTTAAAAAGTTAGGGCTAAAATATAGTATTAAGTGTCACACTTTCCCTGAAAAAAATTTTTTTTAAACTATTATTGAACTCATGCAGACAACTATAATGTTGGAAAATTACAATCTGAATTTTGGAGAACTCAGGAAGTTAAATTTGCTTGCAAAAACATACTTTACCCAAATGACTTAAAAGAAAACGATTTTCTTGACCCTCCTTTAAGCAGAGCAGCAGCTTTTAAAACAAGAGGTTTGTTTTCCTTGGAAATGCCATTTACAAACCAAACAGCTCATGGGGGCTATTTGGCACTATAGAATTTAACAGCTTCTTACAATTAGTCCTAGGGAAAAAGGCTCTTGGCTTATTAGGTAGCCAAGATTACGTAAGATTTTATGTAAACCATTTGTATTTATCATGGAACTTTTTGGGAAACATTATTTCTATTAGCATAGAGGTAGCTTCAGTCAATATTCCATACCAAGGCAGTAAATGCCCCATCAAGTAGAAATTCTCTAGCTCGGTGGTTGTTATTGAGAAGTGCTCACAGTTTTTGCCCTCGGCCCCGATAAACGCTCCACACAAAAGGCTATGCAGTGGAGAATTTATGTGAGCAGAGTTACGTGTCTTCAGTTTTATAGTACTAGAAAGGGGAAAACATCCCCCAGTTACAGATAGTACATGTTTTCATAAGACATTTAGGTAAAAGGGGTTACAACTACCTTACATAAAGCTTGTTTAAACCTCTTACATTTTATAATTCTATTAACCTGTATGTTTTTATGTTCTGGTTCCAGGGAGACTTTTTTTTTTTTTTTTTTTACCCCCAGACCATTTTACCTTTTCTGGTGAAAAGGGTTTGCGTTTCCAGCAGGGAGTTGCATCTTTAAGACCTACGAGGGATGGCAGATTTGATAAGGCTTCTTAAATAGAACAATGATTCTGTGGGAGGGGCACCATGAAAAAGGGGCCTCCTTAATCCCCAAATTTACCATGATCTGGGTAATAGATATATTAGGTGAGAGGATATCCCAATTATCATAAAGCTAGTCCAACATGGCTTGCATAAGAAACATATTAACTGCTTCATCTGGGGTACTTCACTTGGTATTTTATAGGGAGAGTTGGGCAGTCCCCTTCTCAGGGCAAAACAGACCTTATAATGGCATTATCTGGCCCACTAGGCTGATTGCTTTCTCAGGAATAACCCCCTGTACATTTGGATTCCATATACTTAGTGTTTCTTCAGTAATAAGCTGCCGGTCCTGCATTGATTCAAACAAGCTCTTAAATTCTGTAGCATTTAAAATTAATAATTTTGTCCTTAAAGTGGTTATTTTTACAATCCACTAAAGATTTTTTTTAAAGAAACTGAATTATACCAATCTACAAAAATGGAACAATTCCTTTACATTACACCCTTTGGTTTTCAATAGTTACTTGGTTTTACCCTTTTCCCTGTTTTCTTGGTAACCATAGGGCTCAGAGTTTTGTTGCCCCATATAAAGATGGAGGTATATATATAAAGATAGAGGTATTATAGGCATGCAGAATAAAAGGCATGTTCAAAAGATACTTTATTTGCCTGTTTTCAAAACAATTTTTCTCCCTTAGATAAGTAGTAAAAGTTACAGGAGCCAAGGAAAGGTGAAAGAGAGAGCCATCATTTAAGGACTTTTCAAAAGAGAAAGAGTGGCACTTTTAAGATATCAATCTGAAGAATGTTAAAGAATGTTAAACAGCATTTAAAAATTTAAAAACTTCTTGCATTAAAAATAAGTCGATATCTGTAATACAATCTTGTTTTAACGAATTATTTAGTTTTGTAATAGTGCATTTTTTAATATTAAAGACCCATCTCTAGAAAGATTATTATGATTTCTTTTTGATTATAGCCAACTGAATTATACAACCCCTTTAAAAAATTTATCTTACTAACCTTATTATGACTTACATAGTTCATTCACAACATGTTTAGGCTGTTTTGTCTTAAATATCCCTCTTTCTTGTACAATCCCATCATTTTTATTTTAGGACAAAAATTTACCACACATTCTTATATAAAATTACTTTCCTTTTTTTTTTAAACCAAAAATACCTCCTTATACCTTGAACTTTCTTTACATCTCTTATTTCCTGATTCCTGTACCTTATTATATATATAACCCTTAAATAAGCCTTGAATTAGACAAAGATATTTTACCTCTAATAAGAACATTTAAAAAAAAGTTTTCCTGTAATTCTTAAATTGGAATTGCCCAGATACTTTATATCAATTAATAACATTAGATCCTAAATTATAATGAGTTTGTTTATAAGCATTTATTCCATTACATTTACCTGATTTAGTAGTTACCTAGATTATTTATTTAAAAAAACTGTGATAGCCAATATTTACACTTATTTTTCTATTAACCATTTTTATAGCTGTGAATTTTAGGTATTTATTTAAGTAATAAAACTTATGGTTAATTTTAAGGGTACTTATACCAATAACTCAGTATTTAGCTGTTTTCATTTAAGCCAGCAATATTTTATAAGCATATACAAGCACAGATTATTTTGTCTTGGGGTGGGTTTCATAGTTTATAACCCTTCTGGCAAATCTTATTGTATTTTGCAGGAATAAACATGGAACTACTTGCTTAATAAATGCAAACAAAATGCTAACAATTTTAAAGACATCGCTGATATTTTACCAATAATTTAAAGCCAGTTTATTTAGTAAAGATTTTACTTAAGTCACATGAACTTGAAAAAGCATTTGAGTGGTTTTCTTATCTGATTTAAGTGTTTTTTAAAAGCCAATTAGTTCAAGTTCTTTATATATTTTTACTAGTGAAAAGATTGTGTACACACACATAAATATATAGACGTATTAGGCATTGTGATAGAAGCACATGGCACATGTTCTTATAGACTTATAAAGACCTACTTTTTTTCCCCTGCATTTAAAAAAAAATCTTACCCCAGGCAGTTGTTAGCTAAATAGCCTTAAATTTGCATATTAAGGCAACTTCAGATGAAAATCAGATAGCAAAATTTACATCATAAGGTACAAAGAGAAAGTCTGGTGTGCTGGAGGGAAATTAAAATGGATTCAATTGCCAACTGAACATAAAATTATAGAAGTCTATCATAAAGGCCTTTAAATATATATACACACACACACACGCACACACGAAGTTCCCATAGCTATTACTTCAGTACTATAGCCATGAGACAAATACAACTTTGCCACCTTGCAAAAAACACTGTTAGATCCAAACGGTGGTTTTTATCTCAGTAGAAAAGTAACAGCAGATTAAAGCAGGCAGAAAAGAAAATAGAACCTAGGTACTCTATAGTTCACAGGTCGGCCTTAGGACTCTCTCCTTAATGTAAGCGTGCACAAAGACCATATTACTTCCATTTGATATAAACCCTAGCAAGTACGGGTGCCATAAAACCTACGGAGTGCTCGAAAGGAAGTCATTCTTGTTTTCTCCTTTTTTTTTCTTTTTTTGTTAAAAGGAGGAACTGAGCTATAGCCTAGGGTTTTTGTGTGGTGGATCGATATGCATGCTTCTTGTGGGCAGGACTCCACAGTGTGTCACCTCTTACATGTCTCAGTTTCTCTCCAGAGGTCCATGACCTCTCAGAGGGTTCAAAACGCTAGATGATTAGCCCTTATATGCGTTTCCTGGACGAGCCATTTTTAAAATTAATTTTGTTTTTTTTAGGGATTTCTCTGCAGGGCCACTGCATGTTGTGGGGGGTCAACCCCCCAGACACTCCCGCGAGGCCCCGGGTCACCCAAGGGCACCTTTCGGCTGCAAGGAGCAAATGTCCTTTCTCTTTGGAGCTGAAAAACTCAGTCTCTCATTTATCTATGAAAACAACAGTTCAGTTCCTCACGCAAATGTGCAGAGACAAACCAAATCAGGATACGTTTTAGGAGAAAAAGCAATATAGAATTCCCTTTAGAATGAATCTCCCAACTAGAATTGGGATCCTTAAAACAACAACTCCCTAAAAGAAAACCAGCTCAGAATAAATCAAGGACCCCCAAAGCAAAGGGAGGTCCAGGGCTCAGGAGGACTTATCAGTTCCACCAGAGGAGAAACTCGAACTCGGTAGGGCTTCAATGGGCCTCTTCTAGTATCTTAGCTCCAGTTTCAGGCAACTCCTTCCGGGTCCTGAGTCTTCTCTGAGGCCCCACGTGTTTGAGCGCCGGATTATTATCCATGAAAAGAGTCAAACTGTAAAATATTTTAAGAGATTTATTCTGAGCCAAATATGAATGACCATGGCCTGTGACTCAGCCCTCAGGAGGTCCTGAGAACATGTGACCCAGGTGGCTGGGGTATAGCTTGGTTTTCTATATTTTTAGGGAGGCATGAAACATCAATCAAATACATTTAAGAAATACATTGGTTTGGTTCAGAAAGGCGGGACAACTCAAAATTGGCGAGGGGAGGGGAGGCCTCCAGCCTATAGGTAAATTTAAATATTTTCCGGTTGACAATTGGTTGAGTTTATCTGCAGACCTAGGATCACTGGAAAGGAACTTTCTGGTTAAGATAAAGGATTGTAGAGACCAAGTTTTATTATGCAGAGGAATCTCTCAGATAGCAGGCTTCGGAGACAGAAAGTATCTTGTAAAATGTTTCTTATGGGACCTAAATGGGTGCCTGGCTCTTAGTTTATTATCTCCTGGATCTGGAAAGAAAGGAAGGAAAACAAAAGGGAAAGGGGATTCTCTATAGGATCTGGAAATTGCCTTAGCAGGGCAATTCAAGGTATGGCAAGGAAATATATTTTAGGGTTAAATACTTTTTCCTTGGCTCGTAATGCTATGCCAGAGTCAGATTGAAAAGTGAGTTACGATATATAGGGTCAAATAAAACCCATCTGGTGAGAATGCATGGTTTGTAGGGCATGACTCCCTAGATCCCTTAGGTAAAAATGTGGGTAAGATAAAAAAATCAGAGCTTAGTCCTCACTTATAACATTTTTTAAATTACAGAAATAAAAAAAAAAGCAAACATATCTGGAGACTGTCAAAGAAAATTTGCACCAGACAGGGCTAAACAGGCAAGGAAGACCTTATTCAAGACTATTCCAATAGAGGTCAAGGCTACTGCATTTTGGAAAGAGATTGAACTCAATTTCATCGAAACACAAGGAGAGAGAAATTTTAAGCACTGGGGTAAGCTGGTAGAAAAGTACTAGAGGACACAAAGAGAGCTGGTGGATGTGATTAGGCCACCTGTGTTTGCTAATTGTCCATTACAGAAATTAAGCTCCTGCTTCTCACAGAGACTGAGATAGATACAGGGTCCTTATCTCTTTTGATAATTAAGGGAGGGTTCCTGCGTCGTACAGCTGGCAAGAGGCTGGGATCATATTTATCTCTCAAAGGGCGAGAGAATGAATGAATGAATGAATGAATGAATGAATGAATGAATGAGGGAATGATTTATGTTTTAGCTTCTACTGTAAGTTCAGGGGTACATGTGCAGGTTTGTTACATAGGTAAACATATGTCATGGGGCTTTGTTGTAGAGATCATCTCATCACGAAGGTATTAAGCCTAGTACCCATTAGTCATTTATAATTGCAAGTTTTCTAAAGTAAATTCTCTAAGCAAAGGGAGGGAGGTCAGGCTGTAATCAGGAAGAAACCTGTATAAGGAATAATCAAGCTCAGGGGAAATTTAAGCCATCTTGGTAAAGCCCCACTATACAGAAACATCTATTAAACTTTTGGAGAACAGTCATCTAAGACCTGAAACTTTTTTATACATAAATCCACATTGGATATGCAGTGTAAATTGATCTAATTATATTCTAAATGCTATGTTTGCATCTGTTTGTTTTATTTGACAACATATCATGGAAATCTATCTTCTGTAAACATACAAACACAGCACTCCTTAAAATTATTTCATTGTATTAAATCCCATGATGTAACCTATAAATTCTTGGTCTGTTTAATCTTTTTTCTTCCTCTAAACACCAAGAGCATTGTCTGTGTACCCGCTTGTGGCATTTTCTATCGACCATTATGTACTACTGTGGATTTATTATGCCTTTTATTCACTAATTAACTCTAAATTCCTAAAAGTAGAAACTTTGTCTATATTTCTCATTGGTCTCTGTATTTCCTACCAAATCCATAGGTGAGTTTTGATAAAAATAAACATTATTTATGTTGAATGCATGGCTAATCCAAATAAGAACAAAAAATACCAAACAAACTAGTTATAACATTGCTTTAAGCTATTAAGCTTCTGAAAGTAGAGGAGGTTCTGAGAGATTCAAAAAAATTTTTTTTAAGTTTTTTCTTTCCCCTTTCTTCCCTTCCCCTCCCCCAAATGCAGCTATTTAGACCCTGAAAAATTCAAAAACAAAACAAAACAAAAACACCTTGTGAAGTGGTCAGGATATGGAAGACCCAACCGGGTCAAGCTAGAAAAAATGGGTTCACAACTTTATTTGCGGTGGTGGAATCCTAGGTCACTCCTACCCTTCCTCCAGATATCTTACAGAAATTAAACAACTTCACACGACTTTGATGCTATCCTTCTTGAAAGAAAACGTGCATCCTTTGCCCTTGACTTCAAAATGTTGCAAAAAAAAAAATTATCTACTAGAAAAAAAAACATATCATCTTGCAAATACATTGTTCTTAGCTAAATATTTTATTGCTTTTGATTTTATATTTTTACTTAATTCTTGATTTTAATATTAACATTAAGGGATTCAAAGCTTAATGTTTATGACAGGTTAATTACTCAATTCACAAGTTGTGCATCTATTTACATGTCTATTTTCAAAGCTAAACTTGAACGCCACATTTGAAGTTCTAAGTTAATTTCCCATGGCTTTGTTGGAACTAAGACCATGTTGACACACTTGCTGAGCCTCATCCTGCCTGTGAGGTGCACTCTATAAAATTCCAGAAGATTTGTAAGGTGCACACACATGAATTCTAATAATAGGATTAAGGGAGAAGGTTTTTCAATTTTTTTTTTTACAATAGTTTAAATGAACAAACTTCTAAGTAAGAAAGAATTTTTTTTTTCAAAACAGTTCAAGGTAAATATTGTCTTTCTTTCACAAATCTTTATTTTCAACCTATTGTTTGTTTTCCAGACCCTAGACATCACATACTTATTCAAGGAAACTTACAAGATAATATAGAGAAAAAACAAAAACTGGATAAGATAGAGAAAAAACAAATCACAGCTGGGTCTTCATCTCTTTCACGGTTATTAATGCTATGAAAAACATTAGTGAGTATCAGAAATAAAACAGGCATCATTTTCCATATTTGTAGAAAACTTATCAGATAGAGCTGTTTCATTAGTCTGAATTTTTAACAGATTGAGGCATATTCACTTGAGCATTTAGGTTAGAAATAGCTCTTCAGTTTGGTCCTCCAGGATGTCAGGGTCACATAAACAGAATCCAGCCAAGCATTTTTTCTCACTGGCCACTTTGGTTTGTCAGTATAAATTCTACTCAATAATAATAATGTGAAACTCTCCATTCTGTACAGGAAAGTTATTGTTGTGCTCCCTGGGAAGTAAGGCTTACCCGGATTATATTTTTTCATGAATCTTTGTTATTCCCTGAGAGTCATACTCACCACTACTTTTTCAAACTTTATTGCTTAAATAGAGGATGGAGATTGAAAATTATTTGGAAAATCAACAGCCAAATAAATCAACAAAAGTATGTTTGGTTGGGGCACATCGTACCATTTACCAGCTGTAATCAATGCACTATTAGAAGTTTTGGAGGAAAAGGAGGAAAAATCGCATCATGCTTTCAGAGCCGAGAATTCAGAAAAGTGTAGGACTGAAGGTGGTACATTTTCCAAACAAATAGTCGGTTTGGAGTGGGTGAGGTGAGATAGGATATTTCCATAGTATAGCAACCCTTGGGTTTGCTGGAAGATCAAGAAGCTAAAACACAGAAGCTAGAAACCCTCTCTTTTCTAGGGGTCATTAACATGAATTATAAGAACTATTTTCCCTAAACATATTCTTACCTTTCAAAAATTTAAAATTAATTAGAATTCCCAAGATTTAATATTTCAGCAAATACAGAGATTTGAAGAGGTATAAGAAAGGTGCTTTTTCTTGAGTTATTTAGTTATTTCTTCCCAGCACAACACGTGTTAGAATCTTTACTGATGCTCACTTTTTTTCATGTTCTCCTCAAGATAATAGGGACATCAAGTTCAGGTTGTGAAATTCAGCCTATATGGATGTGGTTTCCGGATTGCCAGTTCTAAGGTGTTAAACAATGTATTTGGTCTTTCTCTGAGTTTCACAGTGATAAATTTGTGCTAATAATTGTACATAATTTATTTGGTCATGAGATTGAAATACATGTAAGGAACTTATTGTAGGGCCTGGCATAGAAAAATATACCCTAAAATGTAAGGCATAATAATAATTGTTATTGCTATTACTAGTAGTGTTTTTTTATCAGAGCACTGAACTGCGCTAAACCATTTTTAATGACATCCTTTAGTGGAGATTTCAAAGAATCTGGAGAAAATTAAATCCGAAATTGATTATTGCCAGAGGTGACTCTGGACCTTAATGTGGGCAGGGATTAAGTGAAATGGGGACAGGGAGAAGCATGTAAGTTGGCCTTCTGGACAGCACTTATTAGTTTGTCCCAAGGGACATAAAGATGCGTTCTAAAGACAATTGGAAGATAACTTCTTAAGAGTAGCTTCTAACAAGTTTCACAAACTGAAAAAAAAGTTAAGAGTGACAAAGCAATGAGGTAAAGTATATTTGTAAATAAAAAGCAGGATGAGAGATTAATATGCAATCTAGAAAATGTTTAAAAGTTGCAACGTTTTAGTGTTCATTCAATAACCTCCCAAGGAGGCTAGAGAGAGCCACAATGGAGTAGGGGTAGTTTGTCTAGTCAGAACCTTCTTCTTGATGAATATTTTGAATCATCAGAGTCTTCTAATTTGATAGAAGTTGCATAAAGGATTAATAAGACATCTTTTCTGGCACTTCAGTCTGGGTCAGGTGGCCTTTCTGTGCATGTCCCTGGTGCTCTGTGTATTCCTATTACAGTGCTATAACACTGTAATGTTTTTAATCTGCTAGTGTGTACTACACAGTACTTATCAAACATTCTCTGAATTTGAATCAAGACTTTCATTAAAATGCAGATTTGGATTCAGGGGATCTGGGCTGGGCCTCAGATTCTGCATTTCAACAAGTTCTTTCCAGGTGATACAGATGCTGCAAGTTGGTGACCACACTTTGGGCAGCAACGCCTGAATAAAAGGCAAAATTCACAACGGTAGAAACTGAGGCTATTTTGATTACCCTTGTAGCACTACTGAAACAGCTACAAGGTCTGGGGTAAATATCCAAGGTTTGTCTCTCTTGCCAGGAAAATTTAGGACAGGGACACATATGAGGAGTTTAGGAGTACAGGTTTAATAGACAAAAGAAAGAGAAAGGAAACAGCTCTCTTTCTAGTGAGACAGAGGGGACTTCAGAAAGGAAAGACTCGCCAGCTGCGGATGCACTGGATTTTATAGTCAGGCTTGAGGAGGCAGTGTCTGATTTACATAGGGCTCACAGATTGGTTCTATCAGGTATGACATTCACAAAGCGCATGGGGAAGGCTGGTTGCCCCACCCTGATCTTATTATGCAAATTAACTTTCCCTGGGCTAGCACCTCTTGTCTGCTCCTTGCTGTACACATGGCTGGCAGAGAAGGGAATATAGTGGCGTCATTTTGAATATGCCATTTTGGGGCAGCTTTACATTAAAAGGAAAACCTTACGGAGGACTCTCCTACCTTCACTATCTGCCTAGGTGATTTCTTCTTAACTCTTTCATCACTATCACCTAGTAAGGTGGCTGCCACAGAGTACATGCTCAATAAGTATATGGTCTATCAATGTAGGAATGAATCATGTAGGACATGATTCATGATCTCTACGTAACTAATCGTTGAAATGGAGGATCAATATTAATTTATGAAGAATTTGGGTTCCACATTCTGATCATGACTATATGAGAAAAATCTGTTCTATAATGTTTTTAATGTGAAACCACTTTTTGGTTCTGTCAATGGGATGATGGCTGCTGCCTGTGTAGCTGTAAACTGCTTTTCTAGACTCCAGTGGCCATATTTTCTTCTTAACTACACAAGTGATTTGTAGGTATCCTAATGAAAAGATAGAAGGTGAACAGATGGCATGTGTTTCACTTAGATCCATGAATCATAAAGTTTGTTAATTCTGTTTCTCCTAAGAGAAGCAAAATCTGTATTTGTTGTAAATGATATTAAGGATCTCAAACATCAATTTTATAATCATCTGTGCCTACTAAAGTTGACCTTATTCAAGACACATAATATATTGATGAATACCATAGAGAAAAACTAAAAAGTAAAAGAGCTTTTTGTAAACGAAGAATTACGTGTTGTCTAAGCTGTAAAATTTGTACTATGAGAGTCCACTCCTATGGTTGCACTTCCATTTGTCCTCTTATATTTAGAATCATTTTGTTTCTAATCTCAGTATCATTTTAGAATCACTTCCCCAATTATGTGTTCTTTCCAACTTTTTAATCCTCTGCTTTGAATCCCCAAGCTGCCCAACTATGCCAGAGAATTACACACCATTCGAAGGACATTTGCTAGCTCTATACACATGAATTCACATAAATCCCTCCATTAACTCAGTGTTGGTACCAAGTAATGTCCCTAACATTGCAAGGAAAAAATTTCATCCTCTTGGCTCAAGCCCTAACCTCATCATGCCAACAAATTTGCTTCCTAACTTAAAGAAGTCAATTTATTTTCCTTTCTCTTCTTGTAAAACCTCTCAGTATTTTCCTTTCATATTTCTCTCACTTTGGTTTTGAGGTAAAACTATCTTGTTCCTCGCCTAAGACTACCTCCTCCATCTGCATCTTTGGTTTCCTGTTCTCCCGTCAATTATGAGACTATAATTTATCAATTATCTGCTAGCATGCATGTGTGCAATTAGTAAACTCTGTAGACAATACAGAAGCACCTGTAATCATTCTAGCATCCTCAGTATCCTAATAAATAACATAGATAATATGGTAGCCTATCATCTCATACATTATAATAAAGTTTGCCTGCTCATCCTTCTTAAATACCCTTCTCATCTTTCCCCTTTGCTTTACTTTTAGATATGCACTTCCTGCCAATTTCTCCTCCTGTCCTCATTCTCCTCTGCTATGTGTCCATGAAAATTTTCCTTGAAGACCTCCAACTACATGGAGCAAAACTGACCAAGGGCCCCTGGTGCTATGCTCTGAATTCATAGCCACAGTGGCTCAAAGACCAAGTTTCCCACGAGCTGCTTTTAGGCAATAGCTGAGTGTAATAGAGATACTAAGACCAGTTCATTCTTGGAAGCCCTAAGATTTTTCTGATGGCCAGTTTTGACTTAAAGATATCCTGAGGGCTTTGCTGAAATTTAATTTGACTGCAGAGGAGTCTGGGAACTTCTACTCTCCTCCCCTCCCTTTCTTCTTCCCTTGGGTAAGACTTGCATCACTGCCTTGTGACTCTCCCAGCTTTCTCCTGCTCCCTCCTCATTATCTCTCACAGGCTATTCCTATGACAAAAGCCATGCATATTTAATCATATCTTGGTATCTACTTCTTGGGAGACCTGGGCTAAAACTCCAATTAAACCTGATCTTTACTCTTTAGTGTTCCAGTGAAGATTATCTCTCTAAGGTCACCAATAACTTCTCAAGTGCCAAACTACTCCTCGTCCTTTTGACTACTCTATTCCACTTGTACTTTTAAGAAACAATTTATCCATCTTAAAATACTGTCTTCTTTCAGTTGGACATAAATTTATCCTCTCTTTAAATCTCACAGCATTATTTTCTTAAGATCCATTTTTGCTTTTCCTAACACCTTAAGCTAAGGAATTCTCCAATATTTCAGCCTTGAGGTATTTTTCTTATCTTTCTCTGCTCTTTCTCTTCTTGGTGCTACTCTTGCTCATACTTTCAACACAACTTCCTACCTTAGTACCGTTAGGAATACGGTACTAATCCTGTACTGTATTCCTAAAATTTCCCTATATTTGAGAATATGTTTTTCTTGATTTCAACTTTCACATTCAAAATCTCCCAAACTAAATGCAACTTATGTAAGCACAGTTCCTAAGCCAGCTTTTACTTCTGGCTGGCTTTATAGCCTCCTAAATTTATTCTCAAATATAGGGGATACAGTAGACATTTCAATTTTTTGTTAACCATGTTTGAACATCCTTTCTGTATTTGGGTAAACTGCATGTATTATGATTCCTGCTTTCAGAGAGAAACTAGAAAACCCATGTCCCCATACAGTCCTCTTTGTGGTCATGTGACCTGCACTTTGTCCATCACACACACTTCTATAACAGTTGGATTCAAAGATGGGGAGAGCGCAGAGGCATTTGCATTTACATAGATATAAAAGACCTTGAATCTCTCACTTCATGGATTCTGTTCCTGCCAAAGAATCCTCACCACTCATTTAACACACCTGGTCATGCCTCTCTGCATTGCTTAGACCGTTTGTCAGTCTCAGCCTCTTAAGCATATCCACCTTCAAATGTATTAGCCAGCCCTCTTTGTTATCTTTATTAGCCAGACTCTTTATTATCTACTCTTGAAAGTGTTGTCCATGGTTTCCATCATTATTTCCCACTTGCCATGTACTTCTCTGCACTGAAACTGCTCTTACAATGACCACTATTGATATTTTCGATGTTAATCAAATGACAAATTTGCTCCTAATGTTATAAATCTTTAATTATAATTGGACATTGTTAATTTTTCTCTAATAGTATTCCCTTGGCTTTTGAGACTCTACATCCTACTAAGTTTCCTTCATGGGTGATTCTTCTTAAGCCAGACTCTTAAATCTTGGTGTCCTTCGGTTTCTTTTTTCTCACTGCAAATTTTATCTCGGAAGAATCAACCATTTTCACGTTCCTGATTTTCAAAACCATATTTTCAGTCTGGTTCTATTTCTGAGCCCCTGACCCTAATATCTAATTGCTACTGGATATCACTTCTGGATTATTGCCTTGCTACTAAAAACTCATTATTATTATTTCCCCTTCATTCTTATATTCTTTTTCTTCTTTGACTCATTCCACCAACTACACTGTTACTCCACCAAATCATAAGGATTAACGTTTTTTCTACCACAATTGCTACATTTCATAAGCCACAAAATTTTATGTCCTTTATCTCTTGATTCGTCTATTCTATTAATTTTGCCATTACTATAACTGTATTCCATATCATTATTTACCTACATTTCTGTGATACTCTCCTAACTGGCATCACTATTCTTCCTCTCCAACTGGTCAATTGCTCATACTGTGCTCAGAATTTCTCTCATGTTAATCTGATCATGGACCTTCTTTGCTTAAAGCTTATCCAGTTCCCAAGTGCTTTAGAGCAAGTTCTAACATGGAATTCAGGACCATGAAACCACCTAACTTTCATGTTCACCATACTTTCTCACACATGTGTTCTAACCATCCTAATTGATTTCCATTTTGGTGGCATACTCTATACTCTCTTGTCTCCGAATTAATGCCTTATATGCCCATTTCTTCCCCTGGATAAATGTTCTTATCTCTTTTCTTGGCATTTTCTCTGGTTCCCCCAGGAAAAATTATAAATTACATGCTCCTTTTATATCCCTACAGAATGTCATCTTTCACCCTTACAGACCATAGTACAATGTGTTTCTGTTTACTTTCTAGTGCTCCTCTACACTGTTCAGTATGTGAATTTGACATTAAATGCCCCTCCTAGCTTTCTTATTACCAGGCATATTATAGGCAATCCGTATTGTGGAATGAATGAACATGTGAATGAATGTTGAATTGAATTATTTCTAATCCCAAATTGACTTTTATATCTTCTTGCTTTGAATCTCCCTAACAATTCTGTACTAACTTTATTTTATTATACTTTGAATTCATTATTTGTGAGCTGAACCTACTGTCACTATATCACCTCTGCAAAGTAAGTCACATCGCAGAAGAATGAAATTCCATTGAGCTCTTGTGTCAATTTTTGCAAACAGATCTTTCCCCAATCAATATTAGAATTAATGAAATTCCACAGGGGAGGCAAAAGGTCAGGCACTGATCACACATTACTGATCACAGCATCTGCTGATGTTTCTGTAGAATTTAAATCTATAGACTAATACCACCTTCTTGCTTTTAATATGCCTGTGAGGATGTAGGGAAAAAACACTTCACAATCATGGTTGAGAAGCTAAATACAATCGTTTTAGAAACTCAGACATATCAGAATGGAAACAGGATATTTCTGCAGTTGTTCTTCTTTTGTATAATGCATATCTGTTTAGGTACATAACAGCTGAAATTTGAAATGTCAGTTTTTATTAATGAAAGAGAGACAGTAACAGACTTGATGAAAACTGACCTGATCTGCACATCAAATGACTGGGTAGGTACACAGAAAAGAATTTATTCTGCAAATGCAATTTATTCTGAAGATGACTGTGGTTCCTCTAAGGTATTATAGAAGAATATTGAGGTTTTGTTTAAGATAATAAGTTAGTTATTAAGAATCCAAATCTGTGAACTGAATCTAATAGCAGACTAGTTAAACTATATTTTAGAGAACCAGAAAGAAATTGGTAATAAAGAGGAAGCAATTATTCTTCTTCGGTATATTGCCCATTCTAATTCCAAATGTTTAACTAGAGACTGTCAGACCAATACTTCCCTTGTCACATACATAGGGTTTAAATGCTACATAACAATTGCTCAAATGGGGCCACTTTGGAAACATAATTTGAACTAATAGAATTTTTGGTGACAAAATATTGTCTTTATTTTAGAGAAGCATGTCTTTAGAGCTCAGGATGAAAAGCAAAGGGAAAAATATAAAAAGGATCTCTATAGCATATTGGACAGAGCATAAACAGCATTTATTATATGTATGTATTTCTATCTTGTACTACACTTAGAGCTTCTTAAAAGAAAATAGTGAAATTCCTTTCTACTTACTTCTATTCCTATTTGCTCAAGGACTGAGTAGTAAATCGATAAACATATACTCTTATTAAGACTGTGTTAACATAACAAATGATGATACAAGACTGGCTAGATATGAGACTAAACAATATAAATTTTAAAGTTTTAAATAATTTGATGAAAATTAGATTGTTCATTTAGTATAGATAAATGTCTCACACAATACTTAATCCAATCCCACATTGAAAACACAGTAATGCAATACAAGAGTGGTAATTAAATATAAGACATAAGTTGTCAGAACTTAGTCTCAGCCTTAGCATACCATTGCATGGTCCAGCCTTGGCCTTTATAGTTAAGAGAAATTTGAAATTGAAAATATTCTTTTCCCGGGCAATAGAAACCAAAAAGACTATATTTTGCCTCTTTGTCTCAATTCCTGTTTCTTGGTTCATCCTTCATGTTTTTCATATATATATATATATATATATATATATATATATATATATATACACACACACACACACACACAACACACACACACACATATATGATTTTTACATCTCTCTATAGAGATACAGAGAGATGTAGAAATTCATACATAGAAATATAGCAATTCATATAGAAATATACAGAATTCATATATAGAAATTCACATATAGATATATAGATGATAGATACATAGATATGAAAGAAAGAGAAAGAGAGAAAGAGAGATATGTTGATTAATCATTCCTGTCTTTTGTGGACCAAATAATCCCAATGCTTTTAACTTTACTATTGTGAAATTCTGGTAAATGAATGTGACTACACATAAATGAAGACTTTCACCATGGCACTACGTATTTTAAAAATTGCCTGCTCTGGCAGAAAGACATTGATCAACTGAGAACAACATTTTACCAGCATAATGATCACACTTTGAAGGCTGGTAACTCCAGTAATGTTTCTGTCATTCTTTTAATTTTAAACTTCAAAATTATACCATATAGGGCAATGAATTACATTTCAGTTCTGCCTTAGAAAAATCACTGGATTGCCCTTTTGTCTTGAATCAGAGGGATATTATCGAGCACTTCAAAGTGAATGGCTATCACATCTATTGACTCTGCAACCTCACTGAGTCCTTACTATCTTCTCTAGGAATAGGACCCAGGGTAGTTTATGAATAATTATTGTTATAGGATTTGGAAGACAGAAGAGTTGCTACATGACAGAGTTTTTTTAACTAAGTTGTATGTATACTGTGATGTATATTTAAAGCTGAGGGTAGGAGGAAGTATTAATAGTTTTCAGCCCATTTCCAAAGAAAATCGTAACTTACAAAGAAAACATTAAGAACTAGTTTATTGAGCACACAAAAATGTCCCACGGTCTTTCACACTGCTTTTATAGTATGGAGAAGAAACAGTTCAGGATAGGAAACTGTACCTGCCATTTGTTGAGTGCCTACAATATGCTAGGTTAGGTAATATACATGCAATGCCTCTTATTAATATGACAGAATATACAATGAATACTGTTATTCTTATTTATGCTTGTGGAAAGGGAGCCTAGATTGATTAGGTAACTTGCCTGATGACAAATAACTTGTAAATGCCAGGGCCATGACTGAAATCCTTATTTTCCCACATGAATGTTCATGCTGTTTTTGCTATGCCATACAGCCCAACTGTAAGACTGGCTATGGCTAGAGCAGACCAATAAAGTCACTCAACTCTTATATTTAAGCCATTCTCTACAGTGTTTCAGGAACTTCCTCTTTAGGTCATTTATAACCAAAAGACACAAACTGCTGCTCACGTGTATCCATTCAATATGCTGAAGAAGCTTCTATGTTTTACTTCAAGTAAGATCACCTTTTAAGTTTGACCATTGATTTTCTTTAAAGGCAAACAATACCATCAGACTAGTTTTTCTTTTCTAGAGAGTGGGTCTTCAGGGGAATAAAGTGCTGGCACTATACATAGACCATATCGACGGGACACATAAAAGTGGATTATTTTGTTTTTATTACTTGAGGAAAGTGCACAGTGGCAATTAAAGTGCCTGGATCTCTCAGCTCAAATCTATTTACTGTGGCTGATAATGGGCAAAGTAGAAGATGTGCTCTATTCCAAGAGTAGAGAAGGCTTTAAATAGCTTTTTAAGTGAAAACAAATAGTAGGAAAAGGTATGCGAGAGAATTCCTCTTTGCAGGTACAGGAGATGTACAAATCCCATTATTTGCTGATAGGGTTTGTGCTACAGCCTCCCCCTCATCACTTTGAACTGCTTGCAGCTTCCCACGTATGTCTCAGAAGCTGGCCTCCTGGGTGGCTGTCAGCAGGACATCCATCTGTTTCATGGCTTCTCTTTAAGCAGGGTCTGAAAGATCACATCACATGCTATTGGATATTTCCAGTCGATATTAAAGGAATGAAATAATTATGATATATGTTTTCATCTTGTTTTATGCATTAAGTACAGTCTTAAAACTGATTGCAAAGTGCTCCTTTGTACAGTAGAGTAAAACAAAGCTTTATTTAGACAATCCACACAATACTGAATTCCGAGCTGCCTGCGATTGCTGCATCCTCTTTACTTGTGTTACTCAGCATGACCCTGATGGTGGCAATGTGGGACTAGTGAGTGAACAGAAATGTCTAATAGGTGGAGGAAAGGCAATCTGAAAGATGTGCTCTGTTAATACTGCTTTCACATGTTTGCATGGATGGCAGCTACTTCATTAAGAGGAAATCAGAGGATGGCATCTAACTTCAGGTAACCACCACAACAAATACATTTGGAAGGAGACATGGGGTACTGGTTATTGTCAGCTTTGTATCTACCTAGTACTCAGGGGTTCTCAGTCTTGGGCGCATATTAGAATTATTGGGGGAATTTTTAAAAATTGTTCTTGGCTACACCAAGAACAATTCAATCAGAGTATCTGGTGATGGAACCCAGGCTTCAGTATCTTTTGTGTTCCCAGAGGATTCTAGTGAGAAGCCAAAACTGAGACCTGCTGAGTCAAACCTATTTGTCAACAGCACCAGTGTGGACAGTTTCTTATGTGAATCTTAAGATATCCATGTGATTCAGTTTCAGAACAATATTGTATTCAATAATAAGAAGCCTGAAGTACTTAAAAAGAAATTTCAATGTTCATGCATATATCCAAAGGTCATTTTGAAAGATTTATATGTGTAGTTTCCTTAAAAAAGTTACTGAAACATACCTTTCCTCTCCCATATATTCCCTCACACTCTAGATCTTTTCACCCAGCACTTTTACATGCTCAACAAAATCAACCTACCCTCAACCCTTCTGCTCTTCTATCTTCCTTCTCTCTTTCATCTCCATTTCTCACCATTTCCTTCCATTTAATATTTTATTATTTAGATTGACATACCCATCGAAGAGGAATCCTTCCTCCTTAGGGGGAAAGGAGTGGAAAATGGGAGAAACTGGGCTGACAATTCTATTTTTCTGGCATTATTTTCCATATACATGTTGTGCTGTTACAATTGTTTTGTGATGTTTTTTAACCTAGTATCCACGTAAAAGGTCTTTCTCAGGTCTCTATTAATAGTGCTCTCCTTTAAAATCCTACCTTATCTGAAATTAACATTGACAAATATGTGTTATTTTCCTCTGTGCATTGTTTTATTTTAATATCTACAGTCATTACTTCATCTCCATAAGATTTTCTTCAAATATATCTTTATGATAGATTCAGTTCAATTATTCAAGCTTCTATATTGTAAAAATAAAAAACAAAAAGACACAATTTTTATGTTTGTTCTCTTTTAGTATCTTTCTTATCTGTTATCTTCTGTCATTATTTCTTAAATCTTGGGGAATTTTAAAATTATCAACGATTTCACTGAACTGATTTTCAGCAGTACCAATTTCTTTTCTAATTCACTCCATAATGGACTTTAATTTTGTTTTGAAATTTGGGTTTTGCTATGGCTTGGTATTCTTATCAACTTTCTTCTTCGGTGCTTTTGTTTTGAAATTGGATTTTTCTTTTATAAATGTCTTTCCTATTTTTTAGAAGCCACATCCTCTTGAACTCAACTGAAGATATACATGATAAAAAACAAATTGACTTTCCTCATCCCTAACTTCAGTATGATTCCTAGAGTACATTTTCTTTGGAAGTTTTAAAACTGCTTCCTTTTCCTGGAATTAATTTTCACATATCATGTTGTGTTTTGTGCTGTATTGCTTCTCCACTTCTGTATTAGCTTCCTAGAGCCACTATAACAAAGTCCCACAAGTTAGTGACTTGAAACAATATATCTACGTTTTTTTCTCATGATTCTGAAGGTTAGAAGTAAGAAATCAAGGTATCAGTAAGGCCACGCTCCCTCTAAGACTGAACAGAAATCCTTCCTTGCCACTTCCTAGCTCTTGGCTGTGGCTGGCAATCTTTGGTGTTCTCTGGCTTGTGGCTGCATCTCTTGTCTTTATCTCTGCTGTGACACGATGTTCTTTTCGTGTGTCTCTGCATCTTCACTTAGTCTTCTTGGAGGAACACAGCCACCCTCGATTAAGGGCTCACAGTACTCCAATATGACCTCATCTTGGGCGAGGACTTCAACACTTTTTTTTGGCGGGGGGGACACAAGCCCATAACAATTTCAAAATAAGGAGATATTTATATGTATATAAATATCAGTATATGGTGATAGGGAAATTATCAATACATGTCTCTTTGTTAAGAGACAGGATAAGGAACATGTACCCTTAGACTTGATCATGGGTCTCTTGGAATCATTTAAGAAAAAAAAGACAACAACATGAAAGATCATGTTCTTTCATCTAAGCAGCAAATCAGTGGAATTCCGTGTGGCATAAGCTAATAAAAGGAAGAGGAATGCTTACATACATGTCATACCATGTTCTTATTGTCCAAACACCTCATTTATTAGATTTTTATGTTTAAAGTACTGACAACGGATAATCCCATAGCTAGGTGTTGCCAGGGTTTTTCAAATTTCTTCCTGGAGGGGAAGTTGATGAGTACAGCTTATTCCTAGCTCCACTGTTAGCACCTCACAGGTGTTCTTGTACTGCATTTCCTCTTGATTGAGGAACAGTTTTTTATTGCATCCATCTTTTTGAACTTTTGGTGTACAGACATGACTATTAACTCCAGAATTTGCACAGCTGTCTCAACCTGCCCTTACAACATCTAATATGTTAGCAGTATACCTACTAGCATGCAGTGTGTGCCCTCAATTCCCTATTGCATTTGTGTTTATGTGAGTTTCAGTCTTTTAATCCATGTAAGGGATATAGAGAAGGGCATACCCAGGCCGGGTGCAGTGGCTCACGCTTCTAATCCCACCACTTTGTGATGCCAAGGTGGGCAGATCACGAGGTCAGGAGTTCGAGACCAGCCTGACCAACATACTGAAGCCCTGTCTCTACTAAAAATACAAAAAAAAAAAAATTAGCTGAGCATGGTGGTGCGCACCTGTAATCCCAGCTACTGAGGAGGCTGAGGCAGGAGAATCGCTTGAACCCGGGAGGCAGAAGTTGCAGTGAGGAGAGATCGCGCCACTGGACTCCAGCCTGGGCAACAGAGGGAGACTCTGCCTCAAAATAAATAAATAAATAAATAAATGAAAGCATTTATGAGTTTTTCTTAGATAATGTGGTGTGGTGAAAATGTTATTGCTAAACAAATCCCATGAATAATTTGGAATATACAGATATACACACATGTATGCATATATATGGGTACACATGTATATAATTTACATATATAACTATATTATAACACATTACATATTAATATTTTATTTAACATGTTAACAATATTAATATTACATACTAAGTGTTACTTTCAATTACTTAAAAACCTGTATTAACTCTCCTTAATATTTGTGATGTGTTTTGGAGCATCTACCTCATGAAAGGGACTAACCTCAGAGCACTAGATTAGAGAAAAGCTTGTAATACTGATAATTAATGAAAGACTTTTATTCACTATGGTTGGTATTATTGCTGCCATCAGTATTGTCACTTTCCAGGTTCTTTGATATTTCAGAAGATATTCAGGTATGTGGTACTAAGGGGAAAACATTAAACATTTGGTCAGAAAAACCTGGCTTATGACCTGGGTTTGATAGTTTCTAGTTGGGTAAACTTGAGAGCAAATACATTCTCTAAACTGGATTTCTTATTTGGAGAGAAGCTTAATCGCTACTACTGTCCAGAATTCTTAAAAATAAAATCAAAAGAACATGGAGAATGTGCAAGTTCTTTGTAACTGTAAAAAGTAGATAAATGTAGAAAAATTTGCTTACTCTATTTTTGTAATAATGATGAGAATCAGAAGACCACATTTATTGAGCATTAAAAAGAAAATTTTTTTGTTACCTAAACATAAGCTGTTAGGTTGATTTGCATGAACATCCTTAAAGTATACAACAAAATGCTCCAGCTCCACTGTAGATGGAGTAAGCATCTTCTATCTTTCCAGTAAATGCCTCTCAAAACCCTGAACATAAAGCATGAAGAAACTAACCATGGACACTGAAAAAAATATGGCACTATGTGTACTGGGGAAGAAAACCAGAATCTGAACAAAATCAAACTAGTGAAGACTGTCCTTTTTCTCCAGTATCTCTCATTTCATATTCATAGCAATATGAAACCCAGATCTCACTGTTGGATGCAGACAAAAAGAGTTCCAAGAGAAACAAAACCTTTTTTTTTTCTCAGAATAATTGGAAAGTGGCTACCTTAAAGGTCAGAAAGAATGGAGAAAATCCCCTGGGGTTTATTGTTGTTGTTTTGTTCTCTCCCACTTCAGCCTCCAGCAAATCCCAAGATGGCCACAGCAGCTGCAGCAGCAGGAAAATGACGGCAGTGGCAATAAGGTCTACAACTCTGTGAGAAGGTATTTCTTCTCTATGATCACAGGAACTGTGATCTGAGAGCATGGAGAGAATCCACATTGGGTTCTCTCTTTGTGTTCGTTTCTTGGCCTTAATGGCAAATACATAGTAAAAAGTACACAAATGAGTGGGAAAACTGAAGGCTAAATTTTATAACCAATAGATCAAGAAAGGTGACTCAGGGAGCTGAAAAATGTCAGGAAAATCGTGAGGAGGAGGGATCTTAGGGAAGAGATCCTATATGCTGCATATAAACCACTGGGATCACCTTCAAACTGCATAGGCATGTATCTGAGTTTAACACCATACCAAAGACTGTGAGAATGGTACTAAGGTGTACATAATCATCCATATCCCTGACTGACCATTAAATCATTCACATGTGTTGAAGATGTAAATAATATGGCAAAGGCTTAGAAAACTGAACTGTCAGAATGCTAGTCAGAACTTGTGAGTTGTACGTAACTAGATTTATTTCTAGATACAATCATTCTCCTTAAAAATTAAACTTTATTAAGATTGTAATAGCATAAGATTCAAATGTTCAGGATACAATCCAAACTTAGGTGGTATACAAAGAACTGGGAATATCTTAATAACTCTCAAAAAGAAAGACAACCAACAAAGTAAAATCTCATCTTGACATAACCAAGCTGTTATAAGACTTTAAGGCTGCTATTACTAGAATAAATACCAGACAGACTTTAAAGCTGCTATTGTAACTATGCCCAAGAAGGACGGACAAATACTTTTGAAATGATTAGAATGAGAAGGTCTCACAAGTGAAATAATAGATATTACAAAGAACCAAATATAAATTTTAACTGAAAAATGAAATAAAATAAAAATTATCTAAATAGACTCAATAGAAAAATGAAGACAGAGGAAAAAAAATCAATGAACTTGAATATAGAGCAATACAAATTATCCAATCTAAAGAACAGAGCAAAAAAATATAGAAAAAATAAAGAGAATCTTAGGGATCTGTGAGACAATATACAATGTCTAATGGGTAAGGAGAAAGACTGAAGTGCCAGACCAAAACGGTGAAGTAAAAGCAATATGGCTTCACTCTCCTACACATAAAAGCCAAAGTAAATATGCAGGGCCAAGATTATCACGAGTGATATTCCAGAACTCAAATCTGAGGCTGAGACCGTCCCTGGGGCCATAGGAAGTGGAAACGTCTGAGCAGATAGTAAGAGGAAAAGACTTCTCTATCTGTGATGCCCCTCCCTGAATCTCCCAGGCACCATTCATGGGAAAATTACACCTATGCTCAGTTTTTACACTGGAAAAAGAGGGATTGAGGCATACAGCCAGCTTCCCCACTATCTTGGTTTCCCTTGCAGGGAAACCATTTCTGCCTCAACCCACAAGAAGCATCGTGGGTGACTGTAAAGGGAAAAAACCCTTAGGGCAGCTATAAACAAAGAGGAGAGGTGGGACAATACCTTGTATCACAAAACTGCTCTTTATCTCAGCCAAAGAACACACCAAATCAGAGTGGCTGTTCAGTAACACTATGCTGCAGGAGAGATGCTACATGGATCTTGTGGTCAAAAACTTCAAGCTAGGCTTCCCACACAGCTGGGGTATCCCTTTGTGGACATTACCATTTAAGACTTGCAGTGCACTAATGATTTGCTACAGTTAAGGAAACCTGGGCATAGATACCATCTAATGCTGAAAAGGAAGCAATCTAGGATTATGGGGACTCAAAAGGCAATGACAAAGAAACCCTAAGCAAATATACGCTAGAAAGATTTAAACAAGCCAGACAGTGTAGACTGCAATAAATAACTGATTATTCAATGTGAAGCCATAGACACACATCTACAAAAAAACAACAGCTAACAGGGAACCATGACTTTCCTAAATGGACAAAGCAAGGAGCCAGTGATGAGATAGCAATGTGTGAGCTCTCACATTAAGATTTCAACGTAGCAGTTTTAAGAAAACTCCATTAACTTCCAGAAAATACAGAAAATCAATTCAGGAATTCATCAGAAAACTTTAAAAAGATTGGAATAAAAAAAATTCTAGAACTAAAAAATTTATTAGATGTTCTCAAAAGGGGAATGGATCAAGCAGAAGAAAGAATGAGTGAGCTCTAAGACCGCTATTTCAAAACACACAATGAAAGGATAAATGAGAAAAAAAAAGAATGCAGACTACAGAATGTAGAGAATAATCTTAAAAGAACAAATAAGAGTCACTGGTATTCAAGAGGGAACCAAGAAAGAGTAAGGAGTAGAAAGCGCATTCAAGGAAATATTAACCCCAAATTTTCCAAACCTAGAGAAAGAAAGATGTAAACATCCAGGCACAGGGAGGTAAGAGATTACCAAACAGATTCAACCTAAATAAGACTACCTCAAGGCGTGTAATAATCAAACTCTCAAAGGTTGAGGACAAAGAGAAGATTCTAAAAGCAGCCAGTGAAAAGCAAGTAACATATAAAGGAGCTCTGACTTGTCTGACAACAGGCTTCTCAGAGGAAATTATACAGGCCAGGAGGGAGTGGGATGACATATTCAAAAGACTAAGAGAAAAAAAACCTGCCAAATGAGAATGTGGTAACCAGAAAACCTTTCCTTCAAACATAAAGGGGAGATAAAGTCTTTCCTAGAGAAATAAAAGCTGAGAAAATTCATTACCACTGGACCTGTCTTATAAGAAATGCTGAATGGAGTTCTTTACTCCAAAAGAAAAGAATGCTAACCTGAAAAAAGAAATACAAAAATAAAAATAAAAATAATTTTGAAGGCAAAAAACTCACTGGAAAAAGTGAGTACACAGAAAAATTCACAGTACATGAATACTGTGATTGTGCTGTGTAATCTACTCATGTCTCTAATATGAGGACTGAAAAACAAATCTACCAAAAGTAACTACAGCAACCTGTTAAGCAATAGGCAATAAATAAAGTTGTCAATTAGGACAAAAATGACAAAATGTGTGTATCAGGGGTATAAGGTGTAGACTTCTAAAGTTCTTTCTTTTGTTTATTTCTTTTTATTCATTTGTGATCAAAATAAAATTGTCATCTGTTCAAAATAAGTAGTACTATTGTTAAGATGGTTTTTGTAAGTCTCGTAGTAAACCACATAGCAAAACCTGTAACAGATACAATGAAAATAAAAAGCAACCAACTAAAACATAATACCAGAGAAAATCATTTAACTACAAAGGAAGACAGAAAGACAGACAGAAAGGATTTACAAAACAAACAAAAAAAAGTAACAAAATTGCAGAAGTCTTTACCTATTAATAATAACAATGACTATAAATGGGTTAATTTTTCCAATTAAAAAACAGAGTGGATGAATGATTTTAAACTCAAAAGGAACCAACCATATGCTGCCTACAAAAATAACTTCACCTGTAAAGGAACATAGACTGAAAGTGAAGGGATGGAAAAAGATATTTCATGCTAATGGAAACCATAAAAAGCAACAGTCATATTTATATTCGATTAAATAGACATCAAGTATAAAAGATAAAAAGGCTATTATATAATAATAAAGAAAGCAATTCCACAGAGTGTATAGCAATTATAAATATATATGCACCTTACATTGGAGCACCCAAATATATAAAGCAAATATTAATAGATCAAAGTGAAAGGTAGACTGCAATACAATAATAGTAGGGGACTTCAACACCCTACTCTCAGTAAGGGACAGATCAGACAAAAATCAGCAAAGAAACTGAAGTTACACTACACTGTAGACCAAATGGACCTAACCAACATTCACAGAACATTTTACCCAACTGCCATAGAATACACAGTTTTCTGATAAACACATGGAATATTATCCAAGATATATGTTATACCACAAAAAAGTCTACAAATTAAAGAAGTAGAAATCATATCAAGTATCTTTTTTATTACAATAAAATAAAACTAGAAATCAGTAACAGGGAATTCTGGAAACTATACAAACAGACAAAAACATAACATGCTCTTGAATGATCAATTAAATGAAGAAATTGAGAAGGCAGTTAAATATTTTTTGAAATAAATGAAAATGAAAACATAAGTTGTTAAAAATCTATGGGGTACACAAATGCTGTAGAGTAAGAGGGAAGCTTATAGGAATAAACATCTACATCGTAGAAGATTTAAAAAAACTAATAATGACCTCAAAAAACTAGAGAAGAACGAACAAGTCAAACCCAAAATTAGTGAAAAAAATGAAATATCAAATATTGAGCAGGAATAAAAGATACTGAGACTAAAAAAATTACAAAAGATCAACAAAAAGTTTTTTTTAAAGTAGTTTTAGATAAAATTGGTAAGCCTTTAGCTAGAGTAAGAAAAAAAAGAAGGAAGACCCAAATATATAAAATCAGAAATGAAAAGGGGGGGTCATAGCAAGTGGTACCACAGAAATACAAAGTATTATTACAGACTGCTATGAACAACTATATGCCAACAAATAGGTAAACCCAGAAGAAATGAATAACTTCCTGGGCACATACAACCTGTTAATATTGAACCATGAGGAAACAGAAAACCTGAACAGATCAATAATGAGTGATGATGTTGACGCAGTAATAAAAAGTCGCCCATCAGAGTAAAGCACAGGACTTAATGTCTTCGTAGCTGAATTCTACCAAGCATTCAAAGAACACAAATTCTACCCAAACTCTTCAAAAATCTTTAAGATGAGGAAATACTTCCAAAATTATACAAAGCCATCACTGCTCTGATACCAAAACCAACAAGATATCAGAAAGCAAACTACAAGCCAATATCTTTAATGAGCATAAATGCAAAAATCCTCAACAAAATACTAGCAAACTGAATGAAACACACATTAAGAAGATCATTCACTTGAGATCAGAACATAAGAAGCTTGGCTGAAGAATGCTTTTGTTCGTGATACTACACTGCATTTATATTTTGAAACAATAAATCAGGAGAAGTCTTAATTCTTAAGACATTCCTTATTACCATGGTATTAGTCCCAGATGACAAAGAACTTGCATTTTAAATATACTTTTATCACCTATTCATGCATTAGAACATAAGCAGAATTACAAGAAATGGTGCCAAAGCTTCATTCAATTATCTCTTACTAGTATTCATCTTTGGTTTTACGATTAAACATTTCTGTTAATTTTTTTAATATCATTCACCATGATCAAGTGGAATTATCTCTTACTAGTATTCAACATGCAAACTGATCAATATGATACATCATATTAACAGAATGAAAGATAAAATCTATGTAAACATTTCAATAGACGCTGAAAAATTCAACAACCTTTTTTTAAAAGAAGAACCCTAAAATACTGGGTATAGAAGGAACATACCTCAAAACAATAAAGGCCATATATGAAAAACCCACAGCTAAAATCATACTAAATGAATAAACATTGAAAGCATTAGCTTTAAGAACTGAGACAAGACAAGGATGTCCACTTTCATAACTTTTATTCCACATAGTATTGGAAGTCCTAGCCAAAGAAATTAGACAAGATAAAGAAAAAAGGGCATCCAAATTGGAAAGAAGTCAAATCAACCTTGCCCACAGATGACTTCATTTTATATTTAGAAAAACCTAAATACTCTACCAAAAATGATTAGAAGTGATAAATGAATTCAGTAATGTTGCAAGATACGAAATCAACATCCAAAACTCAGTAGCATTTCTATATGCCAACAGTAAACAACCTGAAAAAGAAGGTAATAAAGTAATCCTATTTATAATAGCTATAAGAAATATCAAAAACATAGGAATAAATTCAATGAAAGAAATGAAAGATCTTTGCAAGGAAAATTATTAAGAAATAATGAAAGAAATGGAAGAGGAAACAAAAAATAAAAACATATTCCATGCTTATAGATTGGATTAATATTGTCAAAATGTAAATATTACCTGAAGTAATCTACAGATGTAAAACAATCCCCATTAAAATACAATTGCCATTCTTCACATAAATAGAAAAACAAACACACTTTAAAATGTATATGGAACCACAAAAGACCCTGAATAGTCAAAGCAATCCTGAGCTAAAGATCAAAACGAGGGACATCATACTACCAGATTTCAAAATGTACTTCAAAGCTATAATAACTCAAATAGCGTGGTACTGGCATGTAAATAGAGACATAAACCAATGGAGCAGAATAGAGAACCCAGAAATAAATCCATACATTTACAGCCAAATTATTTTAGACAAAGTCACCAACGAAATACATTGGGGAACAGCAGGCTTTTCAATAAATGGTGCTAGGGCAACTGAATATCCATATGTAGAAGGATAAAAATAGACCCCTATCTCTCACTGTATACAAAATTCAGCTCAAAGCAGATTAAAGACTTGGATCTAGGACCTAAAACTATATAACTACCAAAAAGAAACATAAAGGAAACACTTCAGGACACTGGCCTGGGCAAAGATATCTTGAGCAGGACTTAAAAGCACAGGAAACAAAAGTAAAACAAGACAGATGGGATCACATCAAGTTAAAAAGCTTCTGCACAGCACAAGACATAATCAACTTTGTGAAGAGACATCCTAAAAACTAGGAGAAAATATTTTCAAACTGTCCACCCAACAAGGGATTAGAATCCAAAATATATAAGAAGTACAATATAATAGCAAAAAAGAAATAACCCTATTAAAAATGAGCAAAAGATCTGAATAGACATTTCTTAAAAGACCTACAAATGACCAACAGGTATATGAAAAAATGCTCAACATCACTAATCACCAGGGAAATGCAAATTAAAACCACAAGCAAATCATCTCACACACTAAAATGGCTTTTATAAAAAAGAGAAAAAGTAACAATTGCTGATAAGTATGTGGAGAGATACACTTCTACCCTGTGGGTGGGAATGTAAATTAGTACAGCCACTATAGAAAACAGCATGGGGGTTCCTTACAAAACTTAAAATAGAACTATATGATTATCTAGCCATCCCACTGCTAGGTATATATCCATAAGAAAGAAAATCAATATATCAAAGAGACATTTGCACTCCCATTTATTATCGTAGCACTGTTCACACTAACCAAGATATGGAATCAACCTAAGTGTCCACCAATGAATGAATAAAGAAAGCGTACATATGGCCTGGTGCTGTGGCTCACACCTGTAATCCTAGCACTTTGGGAGGCCAAGGTGGGCGGATCACGAGGTCAGGAGATCGAGACCATCCTGGCTAACACCGTGAAACCCCATCTCTACTAAAAATACAAAAAATTAGCCAGGCGTGGTGGCGGGCACCTGCAATCCCAGCTACTCAGGAGGCTGAGGCAGGAGAGTGGCATGAACCTGGGAGGCGGAGCTTGCAGTGAGCTGAGATAGCGCCACTGCACTCCAGCCTGGGCGACAGAGGGAGACTCTGTCTCAAAAAAAAAAAAAAAAGAAAAGAAAAGAAAAGAAAGTGTACATATACACAATGGAATCTTATTCAGCTATTAAAAATACTGAACTCCTGTCATTTGCAACAACATAGATGGAACTGAAGGTCATATACGTGAAATAAGCTGAGCACAGAAAGACAGATTCATATGTGGGAACAAATAAAGTGGACCTCATAGAGGTAGACAGTTGATTGGTAGTAAGCAGAAGCTGGGAACAGTAGACAGGAGAGGGAGATGAAAAGAGGTTGGTCAATGGGTACAAAATTACAGTAAACAGAAGAAATAAGATCTAGTGTTCCATAGCAGAGTAGGATTGTTACACTTAAAAATAATTTTTGCATAGTTCAAAATATCTGGAGAACAGTTATTTGAACTTCCCAACATAAAAAGCGGGTGAATATTTGGGGTAATGATGTCCCAATTGCCCGGTTTTATTATTACACTTTGCATGAATGTATCAAAATATCACATATACCCCCAAAATATGTACAGCAATTATGCATCAATGAAAATGTCACTGTGATTAAATTCCTCAAGAAGGCTGTAATGTCACAAATGTGAAGAAATAATTATTCACTAAAAACTTGTAAAATTTTGGGAAAACACAAATATAAATCTCATAAATTAAGAAACAAAGTGACATAGTTTGGATATTTGTTCCCCCCCTCAAATCTCATGTTGAAATGTAGTATCCAGTCTTGAGGTAGGACCTGGTTGGAGGTTTTTGGATCATAGGAGCAGATCCCTCATGAATGGGTTAGGCCATCCCCTTTGTAATAAGTGAGGCTCTTGTTCTGAGTTCATATGATATCTGGTCATTTAAAAGTATGTGGCACCTCCCCTCCCACTTCCTCTCTTGCTCCTGCTTTTGCCATGTGACATGCCTGCTCTCTGCTTCACCTCTCACCATGAGTGAAAACTTCCTGAGGCTTCACAAGAAGCCAAGCAGATGCCAGGACCATGTTTCCTCTACAGCCTGCAGAGCTGAGTCGATTAAACCTCTTTTCTTTATAAATTGCCCAGTCTCAGGTAATAGCAAATTATAGTCTTTATAGCAATTCAGGAATGATCTAATACACAAAGTGTACCCCACACCAGATAAACTCAACGAAAACCATGCTCAGATACATCATAATTTAAATCTTAATAACTAAAGGCAAATAAAAAGTCTTGGGACCACCCAGAAATGAATGCCACATTACATAGTGGGAAAAAATAATTCAAAAGAGTAAATTTATTATCAGAACTAACAGAGGTCAGAAGATAGGATAAACTATTATTTAAGATGTTGACAGACAAAAAAAATCACCCTCACTGCTTAATTCCATATCCTGTAAAAATATTCTTCAGGAAAGAAGGTGAAATACAGATATTCTCAGATTAAGGAAAATTAAGACACTTTGCTTCCTGCCCTAAAACATACTAAAAGAAGTCCTTTTGATGGAAACAAAATGATACCAGAAGGAAATCTGGAACTTTGGGGAAGCTGGCAATCCAAGAGAAATTGTAAATATCTGTATAAACAAAATAAACTATTTTCTCTTATTAATTTCCTTCAATGTATTTTTATTTTTAGAAATCAAAAGATGAAGTTGGTGCAAAAGTAATTGCAGTTTTTTCCCCATTACTTTCAATGGTAAAAATCTATAAAAAGCTGGGTAGGTTACATTTAATTTCTAAAGCAACCAGTAAAAGATAACCAAAAATATATAGTTAAAAATCACAATTGCTAAAATAGAATACTAAAAAATTTTTCAATTAATATAGTATAAAATTGATATAAAATAAATCAGGACATGAGGGAGGGAAGTAGGAACTAAATGAGACAAATAGCAAATAATGTAATAGAATCCCTAAATAAAAGATAACAAATGATCACATTAAATGTAAATGATCGAATCACACGCAAGTGGGTGTGCATTTCCATCACATTTGTGGACCCCTGGTATTCAACATTCTTTATTACCTAACTAGCCCATACCTAATCTTTACGAATCTATTAGATTTTTCTTTCTTTCTTTTTTTTTTTTTTTTTTAGCAGAATTCATCTTACTGTTCTACAGAGGAATTTGGCACAGGGAAGCAAATGTTCCTGTCCTATCTCTCCTTGAAAGTTCATGTCTTTCTTTAGATTTTGGGTTAGTTGGTCCAATAGCCTCAGTATCAGGATCAGTAAAATTAGAAATCTGCAAGTTATCTAGAACTTCTTGTTTGTTGTAGTAGTGGATATTTTGTGTGTGGGAGTGATGCCCTTCCTAGATTTCTACATCCCAAATGCAAGCCCTATTATGTGAATCAAATATTTGGCAAGCTCAGCCCTAGCTCTTATTCTCCAATTTAATCTAGAACATAACTATTAAAATAATTATATTAATCTTAAAATAATTCATGTCTACAAATTGAGACATTCTCTGAAGGAAAGAAACTGTTTAACAAAAGATCTTGATTTCTAGGTTAGGTATTGTAAAGTGGGCTGAGGAAATAATGCTTAGGTAAAGAATGTTTGGATTAAAATTAGTTATGTGCTAATGTAATAGGTCTAACTTCACTTTTTATGTTAAATGGCTAACAACTTTTAAATCTCACCCCTCTCTCTTCTCCCTGCCCCACAACTGTCAAGCTGATAAGAAATCCTTCGGCACTGGCAAGGGGATTCAAACCATGCAAGCGCCTTGTCAAAATGCACCAGAGCTCTCACCCAAGCCATACCCCTAACCATACTAGAAACCTCTAGCCATTTTTAGACTTATTTGGGAGGTCTGCACCGCTCTCCTCAGAAAAGCATCAATTACGTAAGAAATAAACCTTTTAATACCCTCTGGGGGTATGTGTGCGTGATATCATGTCTCAACATCTGAACCAAATTTTCAGTGTGGGCCCATCCTTGTATTTCAGGGTTGGTGCAACAGCTAATCTGCACACCGATTTAAGCCTGTATTATTGCCAGGAATTTTGGGATATTTTCAAATATGTCACACTATATTTATGCAAATTTTTTGTTTAGGCTATAAACAGGTAGAAATAGTTACATAAAGAAATTGAAATAGCTTTTCACCAGTTCACTCCTATTTTTGGATGTTTCTGCTCTGGTGACTAATAGACAGTTCTGGTAAACAATTTAATGCTGTGAGAACTTAAGGACATATGATCATAAACCTGGTGTATCAAACCAAGCATTAGGAGGAAATAGGTAGGATATTCAAGGTAATATCAGAAGTGTTTAATGGAGGGTATATTAGCAAAGTCACAGGCAAGAGGAAAGGAAAACAAAAGACAGCTCAGTACTGGGGCAGCAACAGTAACAGCCAGTAATATTCTTTGACCTGAAGGATGAGGGGAAGGACAGTTAGCATAAGATTCATAACAAGAAGGCTTGGTGGAGAGGATATGAGGCTGAGAGTTTTGATGGGGGTACACAACCAGTTTAAGATGACCATGTAGACAGAAAGCCAAGAGAATGAGTATGTGGATATCACTCCTCTTTCCCTCTGATCTTCTGCAGGTGACCCTTCTCTTATGACCCTTGACAAAACTCAGCTGAAAGCCAGAAAGCAAAGGAAACTATTACTGCCATGTTTCCACGGAGATGAGTTAAAATGAATAGAAAGGAGATCTGGAGGTCAAAGGAAACATGGTCAGCACACTGGAGCTTCTTAATGTTCTAAGTAATTTCATGAATCTACTTTCAGAATTGTTATTCTTTTCAGTAGAAAGATGTATTCTTTGGTTTTACCATGCATAGAAGTAACAACATCCTTCATGTTTCTGACAACTTTTGGAAACTTTCCTTTTCTAATTAATTCTTAACACATTCATATGTATTACATATCTTGTGTCCTTAACCGATATTGTGTATGTATGTTTGTTGAGGTTAATCATCTCCTCAGTATATGGCACAAAAGACAATAACTCTGAAAGTCATCCCATATCTTAAGATATGATTTTTTCATCAATTTTGAACTATGGGTAGTTGTATCTATACTACACTAGAAAAGATACGTTGCTTTTAATGTCATCCCATGTCTATAACAAGAGTAACTTCATTGTTTCTGTAATTCTTTTATAATATTGAAATATTACTAAGGATATACAGTTGAAATAATCTTGAGCACAGATTTTTCTTTATTAACATTAGTGGAGTATTTTATATTAAAATATTTTTAAATGAACAGGGGCCAGATGAGAAATTTCTATCCATATGCTATAAATAGAACACGATGGATTGTGTTAATTACTTTGTTTTCAGAAAAAGTGATTCATTTTTACCAAGTACTTAGATTTACTTACCTTTCTGGTCTTTCAAATCTTATTCAGACTCTCTTCAGCAGTGAAATCAGTGTCTAATACTCTGATATTATCTTTTGTATAATAGTGTGTCCTGGCAAAGGAAGGTTCTGGCTAATTGTTAGCAGAGAAATCTTTCATCTTGTCTCATCCATCTCAATGAGCTTGTGCTACAGTGCAAAATATATACTAAACAATAGACAATGAAAAGATTACTGGGCTCATTTTCTTAAGAAATCATAAAAATTATAATTTTTGCATTGGTATCAAATAATGCTAAAAACGGATTTTTTGAAAGGAAAACTTATGAAGTTATATGTTTTTGAAAAGGAAACGAAGTCTGGATAAAGTTATATTTCCTTTTCCCAAATCTAGTTTTTTATCACAGCTACTAGTATAGGTAGACATTAGGCTGATTAATAAAAATAGCAGCATTAAAATAGATGATGATTGAAAATTAAAATTCTATGAGAATAAGTATCTAATTTCATGAAATTTACAATCTAAAAGTAAATGAAGGCATGCGTGAGTATTTGGAAGATGGTTTCCGAGTGGTAACAGAGTAATAACAGAATACAACGTCACTTAAAACATGACAGCATGTGTTTCAGCAGAGTCACTGCTTTCCTACTGTATACTTTTTTTTTTTTTTTACTAAAAGCTAAACTTAAGTAAAATACTTATTCTTATTAATGTAGGCTTTGGGCACTAAATATAAAACCTCTGATGTGGCCAAGAAACCTATACTTAATTATCCATTCACCAGGATAATAGAAAAGTAAATAATTCTGAAAACTTGTACATGATTTTAAATTTCTAGAAAATAAAGTTGGTGTCCTTTATATAAAAGCTGAGTAGTAATTTTGTAGGTATAAAGTGCATAAAGTTAAAAATGGCAATATAAATATGCAAGTGAAAACTGCATTCTATTTTTTAAGCATTCACAACACAATAAATTGAAAATAGTTCAGGTATCAAAAGACATAATGGAAATGGGGTAGAAAAAAAGACTATGGGTTTGTCATAGATGGCTCTTGCTATTTTGAAGTATGTTCCTGCAATGCCTATTTGGTGAAGGTTTTCATCAGGAAGGAATAGTGGATTTTGTCAAACAGTTTTTCTGCTTCTATTCAGATGATCATATGGTTTTGTTTTTAATTTTGTGTATGTGGTTAAGTTAATCACAATTATTGATTTACATATGTTGAACCAAACTTGCATCCCAGGAATAAAGCCTGCTTGATCATGGTGAATTAACTTTTTGATGTGCAGCTAGATTGAGTTTGATAGTATGTTTTTGAGGATTTTTGTGTCTATGTTCATCAGGGATATTGGCCTGTGGTTTTCTTTTTTCATTGTGTCTTTGCCAGATTTCAGTATCTAAATGACACTGGTTTCACAGAATGAGGTATGGAGAAATCCCTCTTCCTTGACTTCTTTTTTTGGAATAGTTTCAGTAGGAAACTACTGTACGTCTGGTAGAATTCAGCTGTTAATCCATCAGGTCCAGGACTTTTTTTAGTTGGTGGGTTTTTCATTACTAATTCAATTTTGGAATTCATTATTGAGTTTCATTTTCTTTCTTACATCATACCAAACAGGCAAAAGCAAGAAGCATTCTCCCTAAGAACTGTGACAAGACAAGGATTTCCACTCTCACAACTCCTATTCAACATAGTTCTAGAAGTCCTAGCCAGAGCAATCAGGCAACAGAAAGAAGAGTCATCCAAACAGGAAAAGCAGAAGTCAAATTATCTCTCTTCACTGATGATATGATTATCTAGAAAAATCTAAAACCCCACCAAAGGGCTCCTAGACCTGATAAATGACTTCAGTAAGGTTTCAGGATACAAATTCAATGTGCAAAAATCAGTAGCATTTCTATATACCAATAACATTCCAGCTGAGAGTCAATTTAAGAATGCAATCCCATTTACAATAGCCACAAAAAATGAAAATACCTAGAAATACATCTAAGCAAGCCGATGAAAGATCTCTACATGAAAAACTGTAAAATACTGCTGAAAGAAACCATAGATAACATAAACAAACAGAAAAGCATTCCATGCTCATGGATTGGCAGAATCAATATCATTAAAATGACCATACTGCTCAAAGCAATCTATGGATTCAGTGCTATTCCTGTCAAACTTCCACCATCATTTTCCCCAGAATTAGGAAAAAAAAAAAAGCTATATTCTAAAATTCAAATGGAACCAAAAAAGAGCCCGAATAGCTAAAGCAATCCTAAGCAAAAAGAACAAAACTGGAGGCATCACATTACCCAACTTCAAACTATACTACAAGGCTACAGTAACCAAAACAGCATGATACTGGTACAAAAAATTGATACATAGACCAGTGGAATAGAACAGAAAACCCAGAAATAAAGTCCTGCATCTACAACCAACTGATCTTCAACAAAGTTGACAAAAATAAGCAACCGGGAAGGGACTCCCTATTCAATGGTGCTTGGAAAACTGGCTAACCATATGCAGAAGAATGAAACTGGAACCCTACCTCTCACCATATACAAAAATTAACTCAAGATGGATTAAAGACTTAAATTTAAAACCTCAAACTATAAAAATCCTAGAACAAAACCTAGGAAATACTTTTTTGAACACTGGCCCAGGCAAAGATTTTATGACTAAGTCCTCAGAAGCAATTGCAACAAAAACAAAAATTGATAAGTGGAACCTAATTAAACTAAAAAGCTTATGCACAGCAAAAGAAACTATCAACAGAGTAAATAGGCAGCCAGAAGAATAAGAAAAAATATTTTCAAACTATGCATCTGACAAAGGATTAATAACCAGAATATACAGGGATCTTAAGTCAAAAAGAAAAAAAGAAATAACCCTATTTAAAAGTTGGCAAAGTATATGAACGCTTTTCCAAAGAAACATAGAAGCAGCCAACAAACATATGAAAAAATGCTTAACGTCATTAATCATCAGAGAAATGCAAATGACAACCACAATGAGATATCATCTTACATCAGTTGGAATGCCTATTATTAAAAAGTCAAAAAATAATGGCTATTATTAAAAGTCAATAATATGTTGGTAAGACTGTGGAGAAAAGGGAATGCTACATACTGTTAGTGGGATGTAAATTTAGTTCATCCTCTGTGAAAAAGTGTTTGGTGATTTCCCAAAGAACTAAAAACAGAACTCATTCAGCTCAGCAATCCCATTACTAGGTATGTACCCAAAGGAAAATAAACCGTTCTTCCATATAGACACATGCACACATACATGCACTACAGCACTATTCTCAATAGCAAAGACAACCTAGGTGTCCCTCAGCAGTGGACTGGATGAAGAAAATGTGGCACATATACAACATGGAATAATATGCATCCATAAAAATAACAAAATCACGTCCTTTGCAGCAACATGGATGCGGTTGGAGGCCATTATCCGATGCAAATTAATGCAAAAACATTAAACTAAATATTGCATGTTCTCACTTTTAAGTTGAAGTTGCCCTGGGTACACATGGACACACAAGTGGGAAAAATAGACACTGAGGACTCCAAAAGGAGCAAGGGAGGACTGGGGGCAAATTTTCCATGTATTAGTACATGTAAAACTTATGTTATTAAGTAAACAAAGCAAACTACAAAATAATGGATTTCATCTATGGTTAAATTTACTTGAGAGTGCTTACTAAAAATATAGGCTACCATCTTCACCATCTCAGAACTACTCAATCAAAAATTCAGGGGACAAGGCCTAGAATTCTGCATTGTTAAAAAATACCACTGATGGCTCTGATGTGTATAGATAATTCATAATGAAATCTGATGATGTAATATGACATATACCTTAGAAAATTTAAAAATTATGCACTTGGATAGTAGTTAATTCATTTTATTCTCTGGTCATCATACTATCTTTCAATTTAAAATAAGATCTGATGCGGTCCCATCAATGGTGTAAGGAATCTATCAAATTATTTTTACTCCAGCAAATAGCAAGAAGTTTAAAAATTATTTTAAATATTTTGTTATTTTAGAAGTAGTATAGAGTTGCTGCTTTGGGGATTATTTTTGTGAATGGTAGTGATTCTGTTAATGTGAGAAAGAGAGAACTCATGGTAGAGGGACTGTATTGCTGGTGATGATGGGATCATAATAGCTCACTTAAAAATCAAGATCACCTAAATAATTTGTGGAGCTCAGAGCAAAATGATAATGTGGTACTTTTGTTCAAAAGTTATGAAGAATATTAAGACAGCAACAGCACAGCATTAAACCAAGTGTGGGGCCCTTCTAAGTATAGGGTCTTTTGTGACTGCCCAGGTCGCACGCTCATTAAGCTGGTTCTGCACTTAATACTGTAAGAGCAAGTTGACATTTAGAAAATAATTGTGGTCTCAGCTTTTCATACACTCACTATCATTTTTTGGAACCAATAGTTCTGAGCAAGATTGCAAATAAGTCTTTATAAAGGATGTTCATTTTTCAAGCACTCTTTCCTCAGGTGACCTAATTAGTATATATTTTTTTCAAACCTAAAGCATTTCTTGGATGGTGATTTAAATGCATCCCATGGAAATTTCTTTGCTTCTGTAAATAATCTTTTAAAAATATTTTAATGTCTCTATATAGTAAAATCTATAAAATAATAAATGTATATGAGGGTAATGCCAAACATACATTTTAGAAATATCTAAGTATCTGAATATCTTTTATCTAAAATATAAAAGCCATTTTAGCCAGTTGCTATTTTTTTTTAATCTTCAATTATTCTAGGAAACAAAGAATACTTTTAACTCACAAAATTATTCATCCTTAGAGGTTCAAAGTTTTGAGCCTTGGAACAATTGTAATTTTCTCAAATCCCTTTCACTATCAGATTTCCTCTAGTGGAAGGAGAAATAATAATAATAATAATTATTATTATTATTATTTGAGATGGAGTCTTGCACTGTTGCCCGGGCTGGAGTACAATGGTGTGGTCTCGGCTAACGGCAACCTCTGCCTCCCAGGTTCAAGCGATTCTCCTGCCTCAACCTCCCTAGTAGCTGGGATTACAGGTGCCTGCCACCACGCCTGGCTAATTTTTTGTATTTTTAGTAGAGACGGCGTTTCACTGTGTTGGCCAGGTTGGTCTCGAACTCCTGACCTCATGATCCTCCCGCCTCGGCCTCCCAAAGTGCTGGGATTACATGCGCGAGCCACTGCACTCAGCCAATTATTTCTTTTTTATTGTACTGTAATGTTATTGGTGAAGTTTTCTTATTTGAACTCTTTTATGACTGGTAGAAAGTACTGGTGTCTTTTAAGTAATGGTGAAGGGATGTATTAAATGTTAAAGTCCTTTTATAATCCTTCTGAATTTAGATCTTACAAAAAATTACATAATGAGGCTTGGCTCTCACAAAATATGTACTTTCTCAGCTCCTCCCCCATCCAATGCATGTTCGGTGTTAAGATAAGAAGAGCAAGCCTGTTTTTTAACTGTAATGGACATTACTATATCCCTAACTATTCAAGGAGAGTCTTAGCTCATGGACATGTACAACGGAGTCACTTACATTAAGCCTTAAGCCACATCTGTAAATTCTCACTGTTAACAGAATCCCTGTGGTCCTGGGGCTGTGTGTTGCACCTTGTTCTAGCTATTTCTCAAAGATTTAATTCAGCAATAAGTGTATTCTGTGTGTGTTTATTATTGTTTCTGATTTTGTTTTTAATCAACTGTAGTTATAGTAATAGTAAAGGCAATTTATAAAGCACTAAATTTAAATAACATGAAAACATCCTTACAGTAAACCTATAAAATGATTATCATCTCCACTGCACTGAAGAAGAAAAATACTGAGAGGACAACATGCTCTTCAGTAAGGTGAGAATACTTTTCCTGAACCTGATTCCTCAGCTTCCAAATCCCATGACTATTATCCACACACCATTGAAGTCCAGCATATAAGTGTATAATGCTCCATCTTCACCATGAGCTTCCCTCTCCTACCCCTATAGCTACATGTTTCACTAGCTTCATCATAGTTACTCATCAACATATATTTGCTGCCCCATGAGGAACTGGTTAGTTCACTTTACACATCTTTGATCTGATAATTTTACTGTTTATTCATGCCCATTTACTATTCTTACCTTCTTCAAAGTCCAAGCAAGTTTCACCTCTGGAAATAGTCTCTAAATCCAAACCACGTGTAGTTCTGTTAACACATTAGGATATGGTTTATATTAAGTGCCAGGGTAGCAGTTACTTGTGTTAGAAGGAAAATGACTAGAGGCAGAGAAACCCATCTATGACTTATAAGTCTTGTGATATTTTACAGTGCATATTGGAGTTTTCTCAAACATTAGGGAGCTAATAGCTACCACATAGAGTTTTGTGAAGATTAAATAAATTACAGCTAAAACACCAACTATAGTAATTAACTAATGTTAACTCTTTAAAATATTTCCTTTCTATAGGTCTATTTATACATCAATTAATTCTATAATCTACATAATACATGCATTCAAATTACCTATTATGTTCAGTGCTTTAACAATTAATTATGTTGGGTAACTTGTGTTTTTCTAGGAATCTGTCCATTTTATCTAAGTTCTAATGTGCTGACATAAAGTGGTTCAAAATTCTTTTCAAGTCTTTGAATTTTGGAAAAGTCTATAAATATGTCTCTTATTTTTGATGGTAATTTGTGCCTTCTTTTTCTGTGATCAGCCTATTTAAAGGAATAACAATTTTATTAATCTTTTGATAAATAACTTGTTTTCAATAATTTTCTTTTATCTTTTTTCTCTAATTTATTGATTTATGCTCTATTCTTATTTTCTTGTTCTGAGTTTGTTTTGCTTTCCTTTTAATAGGTATTCGAGGTGGAAACTTAGATTATTGATTTTCTGTTTGCCTTTGGCTTTTAGTAGATTGGCTCTAATTTCTCTACATGTAGTTCCCTTTGTGTTTACCTACCAGGTTCTTTCAGGATCTTGAATCAATAGGGTAATTTTTAAAAAACAACAAATTTTGGAATTTTTTAGCCATTTTTTTCAAATAGTTTTTCCAGCACTATTACTTTTATAATAGTGGGCTGTAACTTTTTATGTGTATGTTGAGATGCTTATGACAAGTTTCTGAGGCTCTGTTTATTATATATATATATATAATTTTTTTTTTTTTTGCTATTTCTTGGATTGGAAACCTATAGTTCTGTCTTCAAATACATTGATTATTTCTTCTGACATCTAAAATCTTTTGTTGGCTCTACTAAATTTTTAAATTTTGTATAGTTTTCAAGTTCAGAATTTCCACATTATTTTTATAGATTGTATTTTACTATCTTTTAATTTTTCTGTACTTATTTCAGTTAGTTTCTATTAGCTTCATTTTATTTCCTGAAAATGGGTCATACTTTCCTGTTTTTTGCATATTTAGTATTCTTTAGTTTTTTGAAAAACAGACACTTTAGAAAATATATCCATACTAGATTGTGATTTATTTCTCTGACAACTGTTGGGTTTGAGTAACTGCCTAGACTTAACCTTTTGAATCTCTCTCCCCCATGGTGTGCAGCACCTCGTGTCTCTGCTCGGTTACTTTTTTTTACCTTAATCCTTGTTTTACTTGTTAGCCTGCCTTCTTAGAGATTATTCATGTGCACACCCAGCTTAATGATCAGTCGATAATTTTGGCAAAGATTATGCTCAACATCTTGGGCCCTCTAAGTCTTCCTCACTCTACCAAGTAATCTTCCTATGGGTTGGAGAATGCAGTCAGAGTTGCAGACAATTTTCACGTCTCCCTTGTTTTCACTTTTCACTGCACTAGGTTGGTTGGTTCTTGTGCATGCATGGTATTTCAGTCAGCCTGGGGTGTGTGGGAGCTTATCTCACCCTCCTGTGCCTTTTTCTTCTCCAAATATTCCCATTAAAAACATATCTTGTTGGTCTGCTGCTCTCCTTAAAAGTCACCGCAACTTTGGGATAACAAAGTTACAAATGTTTACAGTTTGTTCCCCAAAATTAATTTATTTTGTGCTTGGTAAAGTATATGTTTTTTATTATAATATCATAGCTCTCATAATAATATGGCATTTATTTTTATTTAATTTTGATTAGTTGTTCACTCATATTTTTAATCTTCAGATATTTTTTGCTTTTATAGATAACTTTGTATTTTGGTTTTGTTTGGCTAAATCCAATATGAAACCACATTTTTGCATTTTGTATTGTTTTAGGTCATGTATAACATTGTAATGGTCTTTGACATACTCCTATGTATGTGATCTCATTTCATGATTTTGTTTGTTGTTAGTTTCTTTTGAAACACCATTTCTCTTATGCCTTTTGGTATCTAAACTATTCTCTATTTTGTTATGATTGTTTCATTTGGAAAGTAGAATGTAATTTTCATTTACATGTTTATATGACCACGGTAAACTGTATGTACATTAATGCATACCTGTACAATTAAACACATTAATATTTTATTCTATTTAACAGAAGACAGAGAAGTTGTGTGATTTTTGGCAATCTTTCTTTTCTACTACTTTTCAATTTCTCACTATTTTAACCCATGTATTTGTCCTGAATTGGGAGTGTGTGTGTGTGTGTGTGTGTGTGTGTGTGTGTGTGTGTTTGCATGTGTTTAAGGGGGTAGCTGGCTTTCATTCAATTACTCCACTGGTCATATTAGCCATGTTTTTCCTTCTATATTGCTTTTAATACTGATCCGTTGATTATATGTCCCTTTTAAGTTGCATTAATATTATTACATATTGTTGTTTAAAGGTACAGCCAGTATTTATAGACTAAGGTACTATAATGTAGCCCTCTTTGATAAACCTTTCAACTTATCATTAAAATATTTATGAAGGCCCTGAAAGATACAAAATAAAAAGAAACTAGAAACTAAGAGTATTAGTTATTAAAAATACCAAGGGCAATTTTATTATTGTTACAGATAATTTTTACTAGTTATAACATGAATGGTCTGTATTGAAAAGCAATTTGTCACTTCCATTAGCTTTGTCCTAAAAATGCAACAATTATATGAAAACCACCATCAATTTAATCTTGACAAATGTATACATTTCATATAGGTATAGATAGAAGTTGGCCCTGGGGCCCCTGTGAATATAACGCAGGCCTCTCTAGTTATACATGCAACAAGGAGAATATAGAAAGGGGTCACAACATGGGGCAATTAATGTGTTCAGAACACCTGAAGTGTGTGTGTGTGTGTGTGTGTGTATCCTGCACATTTGGAGAGCTCTAACACATTCCTCTTGAGGTGAATTTGCAGGATGCCAGTGACTCCTTGTGCAATTCTGGCTATGATTGCCCTGTATCAGTGTCTCTTTTATTCTTTCTTCCTGCCATTTAGAAGAGAACGCCCCAAGACTTCTGGAAACATAGGTGAAGGGGCTGGAAATCTGCCTGGTGTCCATTCTGCCCACAATGCCAGCAGGCCCTATGGAAGGAGTGAGGAAAGCGTAGGTCAAGAGGGAGACCCTCTCATGCCTGAATTCAGCCTGTGCCCAGATAACTTGTTTGGCTTGATTATGCACCACAGATTCACACCCCTCCCACCCCCTCACACACACACACATGCGTGCACACACACACACACACACACACACACACACGCACTGCTGCCTTAAAGTGCCTCTAAACTTCCCACCTCTATACCATCATCTGGTGAGAAGTATCTTAATTTTATGTATCAACAGCCATTTTTGTTGACTCTTAGGCATTTGCCCAGGGGTAGCAGTATGAGGAAAGAAAAAGATTCATTCTGGAGACAGAAAACATGGTTCAAGCCTCCATTCTGCCACTTTTCAACTATTTGACTTTAGTTAAGCTACTTGATCCCTCTGAGCTTCACAGATCAGCCTCAAAACGCCACGCTTATCATTACCAAAGGCAGTTCTCTACTAATGAGAGAGGAATCAGTGATAAATACTGCAACTTCCCAATCTCTCAATAGACAATTCTAAGTAATAATTTGCACAGTTCCTCAAAGGTCCCTAGAAGGACTGAGCCCGTTTCACATAGTAGTAATCACTCCACTAATGCACAGTACAACGGTAAAGTTACTTATCTTCCCCATTCCTGCATTGTGCTTCCAGAGATCACCTCTCCTACAAACTCCTGCCTTCAACTCCTTGTATTAGCTTCTAGAAGAACTGAAACAAATCATCTCATTATGTTTAAGACAATCCACAGTAATTCTCCAAGATAAGTTCAACATCTGCTTGTTCAAACAGGCAGTTTAAATAATGGTGCAGTAGGAATAAGCACCTCTGCAAGTTTCAAGTCTTTGACAGTAGCAATTAATTCTGTACTTCCTTCAAGAAGTGCTATTGCTTTTGATTTTGCTGTCATGGCAAAAGGTCGACACTAAGAATGTAAATTTAGCTTTTGCTATGTAATAACCCTCATTTCATGGATCAGTGTACCAATGTGCAGATTCTGCCAGCTGCTAGGTAGGTAGATAGTTAGGGAGGGAGACAGAGAGAGAGATGTTTTCACTATATATGCCAGGACTGGTGTGTGGTCCCAATTGGACCCACACAGAGATGGACTCTGGTCAAGACTCTTTCCATCATCTAATATTTATAAGCCACATTTTGATCAGTGGCCATCATGGTAGATATGGAAGTGGTGAGGTTAAGAATTAGCTTTTCCTCAATGTCACTAATAACCTACAGAAAACCTAAAAAAAAAAAATCCCCTTTTTCACTGCACACACCCTGGAAAATGGCCACACATCTTGAAGACTCAGAGAAAGAGTTATATCCTATATTGTGGCCATGTTGCCAAAAGTCTAGCCCCCTCCTCAGACAAGGAGCTGTAGGTCTGCAAACTGAGTAAGCAGCTATGAATTACCACTATGGATGAGTCAGGTTTCTTCCTATGTGACCTGGAATGTACTTGTTTATATATGTCTAGGCTGCCCCTCTATTTCATTCCTAGTGTTCCCACCTTTGGTTCCTTATCAACACAGAAGCCTGGGAGTCAAAACACTCCAAGTTCCATTCTGTTAATCAGCCATGGAAATTGGGACCACTTGTGCTGAAGTGCTACCACCTGTGTCTACTATTCTGTGCTCCATTTATTTCTACTATAATTGGGGAGCCCAACTACATGCTGGTATCTTCTATGATCATTTTTAGTCTTCAGAGGTCAGCCTCCAAAGAACATTTTATTGTTGCTTTTTTTTTTTTTTTTTTTTTTTTGCCATGAAAGGAGTGTTCACTAGGTTTCCCTAAGGTTAAAAGATGGCTGAGTAGGTTACACATAGAATTTTCATGCCAACATTTCCATGTCCTTGAATTTCCAAAATCCTGCCTCTAGATTATGCTTGGGACGTCCCACCATCTCCATTCCCCGGAGTGACATCTTTAAGACCAGGCACACAGTCATACACATAAGCCCACACCATAATCACAAATTACAGATGACTATATTCATCCAATAACATAGGCTGGATCCAACTTTCCATTTTGTCATTTTTCATCTAACGCCCTTAACAAGCCATTTCCATACATGCTTCCTTGACTGTTACAGATACAAATCAGCAAGATTCTGCACTATTTAGATGTCTATGTTATCTCCTCCTTGAATGGACATTGTACTTCCCTGGGGCTCTGCTGGAAAATAACTGTAGTAATTGGTCTGGAGGAAATCGTGGATGGTGAGCTTGGGTCCTGAAGACAATCTGCATCTCTTTATAATGCCAGATCTCCATTTGAAGTTCTTGGAAAAGTTCTAGGCAAAGAAAGTTTGGTTTCCTCATTTAGGTGGGAGAGGGGCTGTTTTCATAGGTGACAAAGATTTTGCAGCAATTTTCAATTTAAGATTCTCAGCCATATTTGAGTGTGCCCAAATTTTTCCCATTCCATGTCTCAGAATCTCTCCAGTTCCTGTTCATTTTACTTTAGAATAAGAGGCCAGGAATGGATGGGATTTAACTGATTGTACAATACTATAACTTGTACAATCAAGGTCTGGATCTGGTCTTCCACTACATCTGCCTTGCAGCTACAGGACATAAGGGATTCCTTTAACAATAGTCCAGAGTCATTCTGCACCCATGACTTGAGCTCAGAGTGCAAGGCCTCAGTTTAACATTTTCATGTTATGAGCTCTCCGTGGTAGTTACATGCAGTTATCTTAACCCACAGTCTTTGTCATCACCATTGTTTGCAAAGCATGCATGTAGAGCAATATCCTATGATTGCCTTATGCCTCAGTATTCACTGACACTGCATCCCCCACCACCATGTGTGATTACTTCATTAATTGTGATCCCGCTCCACCCTAAAGAACCTCTCTAGCAAGTGTTCTCAGGGAAGTGACAAGGCCTCCAAGGGGCAGCCGCACCAAGTTTCCAACATCATCAGACATCTCTCTAGTGTACATGTGGCAACTGGAATAAAAGAGCTGCCAGAATAAAGGGGCCTCCGGGAGCTGAGACAATTAGCATGCCTGTGGCAATCATTGTGAAGCAGAGATTTAAAGTCCTATCCTCATTTTAAAAGTTTTACACTCATTTTCTTCCCAGACATTAGTACAACCCTAGGCGACTGGAATCCCAACAACAACTGCAAGAGAAGGAACATCCCATTTAAATTGATGAGAAATAACCCAGAATTGTGTATGTTTGTAGCATCTAGGGCCTTATATTAATACACAGAACATATCTAGGCATTTTACATTTTATAGTAAAATGATGTTAAATTTCCCTTTTCCTGGTGTTTTGGAGATTTGTGTGTGTGTCCCCAACATCTGAATACACTAGAAGGCAAAGGAAGACAGGTTAAAAACTGGGGAGATCAGGTTTTGACTCACAGCTCATTTCCCAGCCCACTCACCAGCTGCAAAACAGGAGTGCCTGGGGAGGCAAAGGGACTACAACAGAAGAGTCAGGGAGAGCCAGTTGGCAGGAAGCCAGGAACTGAGTGGACAGTTGATATGGCAAGACCAAGGTGAATTCTCCCACTACTGTGCATGCACCTGTAAATCCTCAGTTTTACAGGTGGAAAGGCGTCAGTTTGACCTTCACTATACAGAGGACACCATTAACAATGCATTAGCACATAAGGCTATGCTCTCCCTCCCCTTATCAGGCCTGAAGGGTCAAAACCAGCAGGTAACAAATACAGTAAGTGGTGTATCCAGATGGAACAAGCAAACCCAAGATGCCTCTATTCCCAACTGCAAGCTTACAAGAGTGCAGCTACAGCAATCTGGGGGTTGGGAAGGGGAAAGAGGCAGTTGGGTGGGTGAAAAAGCTGTAAATCATGAAGAAGTAATGGAAGTAATTCTAGATGTCTTTATTTTTAATACCTCAAAAATATTACTACCAATTGCTTCAGAGTGACCTGAAACCATAATGCAGTGGCTCTCCAAGTGTAGTGACACTCACTCCCGGGCAACATCAGCAGCATCTTGTAATCTGTTAGAAATACAAATCGTCAGGGCCACCCTAAACCTGCACAATGAGAAACTGTAGGATTGGAACCTAGCAATTTGGTTTTAACAAACCCTCCAGCTGATTTTGATGCAAGCTAGAGTCTGAGAACCACTGCCATAAAGGGATTTGCCTATGATTTCATGCAGGTGTGGGGAAGAAAAATCAGAAGAACTTGCTTAAGGTAGTGGTAGAAAAGAGTTTTTCACATGAGACCTTCAGGGTCCACCAGGCTCTACAAACCAGTTACATATAGCTGATTGCAGATGTTTCAATGTGGTAAATTTACAGATTAAAAAAATATCTAATCTTAATTTTAATAGTTCCATTTTTTTTACTATCAGTCCTGTTTGCTGTCTTCAGTATTTGCTCTCTATTCTGATATTTTACTGGATCTTTTGACATTTTTCCTCTGATAATTTCTTCTTTGTGTCACACGTTTGTCTTCAATGTTTTTAGTCCCACTTCTCAGCATCAGTCCAACTATTTCATGGCTCTAGTCATTATTTGAATATTGTTATGGCAGTCATCTTTATTCTTGAATGCTGAATCCTCTTTTGATTTGGGAAAAAAATCTTTAAATTTTACTAATAAATCTTTGAACTTTTCCTGGTTTATATTTAGTCATAGATGAAGTTCTTATGCAGGAATTTTTCTTTCATTAATAAGATACAAACATTATGGTCAAATATTATTCCTTGTTTGCTCATATTTCCAAATTGATTCTTTTTATAATCTTTGAAGGATGGAACTCTTTGAATGTGGCTTTGCAACGCTGCTTCATAGATCAACTAACAGTTGAGGGTAGGTCTGGAATTTGACATGGAGGGTTAGCTTGTTAAGTTTCACTAAAAGTCAGCAGCCAAGCAGAGAAAGGCCTGAGGTAGAAATGTGGAAGGAAGTGGGAGTGAGGAAGGTGAACAGCACAGTGAAGCTGCCTGACATTTCCCTGCTGAGGTCAGGTGGGCCAAATGGATTAGGCAGAGGATTAGGCAACAAATCACTATAAAAGGTGCCAAATGGATTAGGCACCAAATCACCTGCTATGCCTTGTAGAGTTGTCTCATGCATGGCACTTTAAAAAGACAACCCATCTCTCTGTAATTCAATAAGAGAAACATTTTGGAGCAAAGCATTCAAGGAGAATGTTGGTACAGTTTGTTCACCTATAACCCTGCTGCAAGCTCAACTCACAAGCCAGAAGCAGCAGCAACCACAGATTAAAGGCACTAGGTGCTGGTTCCAACAATGTATTACATCATTCCAAAAGCTAGATTGTGTGTTTCTGAAATCAAACAGCTACTTTTCTTTTCTTTTTTTTTTTTTTTTTTTTTTTGAGATGGAGTCTCGCTCTGTCTCCCAGGCTGGAGTGCAGTGGCATGATCTCGGCTCACTGCAAGCTCCGCCTTCTGGGTTCACACCATTCTCCTGCCTCAGCCTCCCGAGTAGCTGGGACTACAGGCGCCCACCACCACCCCTGGTTAATTTTTTTGTGTGTTTTTAGTAGAGATGGGGTTTCACCGTGTTAGCCAGGATGGTCTCGATCTCCTGACCCTGTGATCCGCCCACCTCAGCCTCCCAATGTGCTGGATTACAGGCGTGAGCCACTGCACCTGGGCCAAACAGCTACTTTTAATTCATCTTTATCTACACTTCACCTAGCACAGCACTTGGTAACTATTTTCAATGGTGTTCAAAGAGCCATTGCTCCTTCTTTTACCCCGTCGCGGTCAATGTAAATTTACCGATGACTTGTAAGGATATTTGTCACCTGTGAAGTACCATACAAATCTGAGGGATTATTTTTTTCTATTCTATTGTACATCAACAATATAAGTGGGGAATATTTCAGAGGAACAATCATATTGCTCTTTTATCTTTGCCAAAGGTTACATTAATTACATATCTGCTGTTGGGCAAAGCCCCCACAATGCCTTTTTGTTGTCATTTAGGATGACAGCAGGCAAGTGTAGAATCACTGAGCTCACATTACTGAAACACTTCATATGGTGGTAGGCATAGAGTAGATGCTTAACAGAAATTTCTCTGAAACTGTATGCCCATCCATTGCCACATTTCTCATATCTACTGACTCACTTCTCTTGGACTAGGAATCCTTTATTCTCACTTTTTATTTTATTAATGTAGGCACTGTTTTCTCACCGAAGGATGAAGATAAACAGCTCTTCATCTTTATTCTCTTATTATGTCTCCACATTTTCTTCCCTATTGCTTTTCCACCTTTCCCTGTCTTCTGTCTGACTTCCACTGATGAGGTAATGTCTTCTCCACTCTTGTCCTCTCTGCATCTTCATTCCTCTCTATCTATTGTATCATAATGACCTTTCTCTGCTTAAAAAGGAAAAAAAAAAAAAGAAACTTCCATAATTTTTAAAAATTTAATGCCTGGTAATCACCAGTTCACAGACTGAAGGGAATATTCCTTCTTCCACCTCCAGCTTAGGTATCATCTACTTTTTTCAATGCTTCACGATTTACATCAGCATTTTATTGTAAGTCTATAGATTTCCACTGAAACGTTTGAAACATATAAAATATTACATTTCAATTTTAACAAAAACAGTGTAAGCCCTCTGTCTAAAATACTTCTCTCAGGGACCCACCGCCACCCAGAAAGTTACAGTTTTCCTACTATCCTAGCAGATTTTGTTGCAAATATGTAGGCAGATTTTTATTTTCAGGTGGAAGTGAACTGAATTAAAAGTGAAGGTAAATCCTTCTCATCTGATTAAAAATATTATAACTATTTCAGATGTTCTATATCAAGTTCTGTATTTCTCACTGCATTTTAAATAAGGATTCATTTTTGAATGTTGATTGTAAAAATAAGATCATAAAATTAAAATGGAAATAAAGAAGTATGCCATCTCCTATCAAATAGCACATCAACTTTTATTTCTCTATGCTTTTTAGTATTTTTCTTTATGCTTTCATCCCAGTAATTACAATGCAAATTTAAGTTTTTATTGTTTTCATTTCACATTTTATCAAGAACATTTATCTGTTGCTACATATCCTTCAAAATTATCATTAAGTAATGATATACTGTTTCAGTAAGTACATGCCTCATTATTTAATTAATTATTTAATCATTTTCTAAAATTTGGTGTTTTCTATTATTAATGTAAATATAAAATGACACACTGAGAAAAAATGATGAGATAGGCATGTAACAAATCACTTTTACATACTTTAATATAAGGCATAATTAAATATATGATTCATACTTGTATTCTACATGACATTCTGCAATAACTGTGTTTCAGTATTTACAGAAATTCTATAAAATATAGCCTCAAATAAGTAATGGTCACCAAAGGCTGTCCTCTCCTTTCCTGTGTATTTTTAATCTATGCTGTCATCTTTACTGAGTTCCCATTTTCTTATTCTAGGACCCTAACCCAAAGCTATTTTATGTTTTTACTTCTGTGTAATACAATTTGGCAGTCCACTGCTATTTATTCAACTTTTGGCAGAGAGAGAAAATAATAATAATGGCAGGGTCCAATTCTGATCCAGACTAGGACAGTAAGTGTGTTTTGAGTCCAACTCTCGTCTCCACACTTGTCTGTGCATCATCCCACCAAAAGACATTGGCCATCCCCAGGGTGTTAGATCTGCCCTCTGCTTGAGAAGTGACTGTCATGAGGTTTTCATACCTTCCACACTGACTAAAGACTTCAAGGCTATTTGGGAGACTGTAAAGAGTTCCCTGTGGCTGCAGCCGTGACTGACCTGGGTCCCGATACTCTCTAAGTCTCATTTACTTTATCTAGAAATGAAGGGAATCATGGCTAGTCTCCACAGAATTTACATAGACCCTGTAGTGCAGTCATGGAATATTCTGGAAATGAGAAGAGATTGCAATTTACATGTACCAACAAAATTACTCTTCAAAGACTTTCCAGCTCTCTCAGACATTCCCAAGATAGGTTGTGGGGTATGGCTATGTAATCCAAAGTTTTGACAAGACTTACATTTAGACGCACAGGCTGTTGCCCGTGAATATTTACCTGGCTAGCCTGAACTTCAGTTTGATTTTAAAGACTTTTAAGCTATATTATAGAAAATGCAAGGTTGCATGCACAGCTAAAATAAAGAAGCAACAGTTATAATAAAATGTAAATATAAGGTACTACTTATATTTCTAGCTATAAACTGAAAAATTAGATTGTTGGGAAAGACATTTTCATCAGAAATATTTAATGGCAAGAATATAGCATATTAATATTGTATTGGAAATACTCAGCTGTTTATGGAATAACAGATTTTAAAAATTTACTTGCCATTAATATGGCTACTGTTGTTCTATATACTGTATATAATATGTAACTTTAAGGTTTACAAGTCATTACTCGTTGCTAAATTATAAGTGCTTTTATCTCTTTTCATAAATCAACACTAATAAGTAGTTTTTTTCTAGTATGACAGAGTTAGATATAGTTCCAGATATAGTTCTCTATTCCTGAAAACTAGAGTAGAAAAAAACGTGTAAGTGTAAAGAGTATATCAGTCAAGTTCTTCATGAAAGCCAAATAAAAAGATTATGAACCTTAAGATCTTTCATGAATAGTTTCTCAGGTATCCTACATCAAAACTTGTACAGGTCCCATATGACAATAATTGTCCTTTATTCATGCAGTTATACATTCATCAATACACTTATACCATCAAGATTTTTATTATTATTATGTGATAGTAGTGGTTATAGTGCTGAAAGAGCAGAGGTTGTACTTCCTCAAAGGAGATCCCTTGATTCTTGAGAATACCTAAAAGAAATGTTTTGCTTCCAGCAGCAAGGCTCACTAGGTATTCAGAGAAAATCCTCTAAAGTAATCCTGAACAAAATGAATATATTCCAGAGGCTGGGGTAGGGGGATGGCTTGGAGCCTGGGGGAGAGAGGTTACAGTAGGCCGAGATTGCACCACTGCACTCCAGCCTAGGCATCAGAGCCAGACCCAGTCAATCTGTTTCTCTCTCTATAGTTTATATATATAATTTATATAAAATATATTTTATTATATATATTTATCATACAATATAAATTATATGTATCATATATATTATATATAAAATACATAAGTGTGTGGGTGTGCCTGTGTGTCTGTGTGTGTTTGTCTGTGTGTGTGTGTATTACAATGTGTTTGACTTGGTGGCAATTCAGAAAAATTCATCTGCAATGGTAAGGAAGCATGAACCCAAGACACTAGCATCTGTCATATCTGGTGGCCTGTGGTGCTAATTTTAATGGCTATTGGCAGGGACAGAAGGCAAAGAATGAATTCTTAGAGAATGAAGTCATATAACCTATGTATCACAATGAACCCGAAGCTAGCGATTTAGTTTAAAATGATTCCAGATTGTGATTTATTCTAGGTTCTTGGAAGAAGCAAACACAAATCTCTCAGCCCACAGATAATTATAATAATGTTTCAAAAGTATAAATTCAAAATCAAAATTCTAGACATAGGAGGAAAAAAGAACCAAGAGCATGACTCATCAGAAAGAACAGAGAAGCAGATCGCCAATACTGAAGATATAATGTTACATTCATCAGATTCGCAATAAAAAGAAATTATTTTAATATTTTTAACAAGACAAAGGAATTACAGGAATATTAAAGCACAGAGACTATTCAAAGTTGACAAAACTAAAGTGAAAAGAGAATCAATAGCAAAAGAAAATAGTAATGTAACAATTGGGCTAAGCACCAGATTGAACACATTTGAAGAGACAATTTATGAACTAGAATATAGAGCTGAATAAATTAGAATGCAACCTGGAGATATGAAAAGATGGAAAACACAAAAAAGAGATAAGAATCAAGGAAGAAAGTCTGAGCCATTCCAACATATTAAGTCCAAAATACTGTAATAGAGAAAATGGACAATGAAGTAATATGTGAGGGGATATAGCTGAGAACTGAAAAGGCACTAATTCTTAGATACAGGAAGCTCAAAAAAGTCCCACCCAAAGTAAGTAATAAAAAATCCACATGTAGAAATACTATAGTAAAACTGCAGAAAACCGGAGACAGAATTCTTTAAAGTAGCCATGAAGTAAAAACAGAATATCTGCAAAGAAAAGACAATTTGATTGCTGTCAGATGATTTAATTTTCTTCACTGGACTTCAGATGCAGATTAAGTTATGGTTATATTGCAATCTTATTTGTTCCCCCAAGGCTCTTTAAAAATTTTTTTCTAAATCATTTCTTCATTGTTTTTCCCATTTTTCATTCTCATTCTCCCACCCCATAAATATTCTAGTATGTATCAAGTGAATAATCATTACTTGCATGTATGTGTTCTTGTAAAATTTGTATAAAATAAGAAGATACTAGGTTATCTATCTCATTTTGCTTCTTACTTTCTTTACTCAGCTCTGTTGTTAGGATCCATTCTTTCTATGCTGTGTACCTCTCTCATTTCTTCTGATTGCTGACTAGAACTCTATGGTGTACATCCACAGTAATTTAACTATCTTGGTAACCAGATTGTCTCTAATATTTCACCATTAGCAAAAACAAAAGTAGTTGAATATATACATGCACCATTTACAACAGCTAAAATTTGGAAGCAACTTATGTGTCCATCAACAGATGGATGGATAAAGAAAATGTTATACACAATGGAGTCCTATTCAGCCATTAAAAGGAATGGGATCCTGTCATTTGCAACAATATGGATGGAACTGGAGATTATTATGTTAAGTAAAACAAATCCAGCACAGAAAGACAAACATCACATTTTTTCACATAGTCATGGGACATAAAAATCAAGACAATTGAACCAATGGATATAGTGAGTAGAAAGATGGTTACCAGAGGCTGGGGAGGTTTGCAGGGGTTGGGGGGAAGGTGGGATGGTTCATGGGTACAAAAAATATATATAGACATAATGAATGAGATCTACTATTTGATAGCACAACAGGGTAACTATAGTCAATAACTTAATTGTACGTTTTAAAATAACTTAAATAGTGTAATTGAATTGTTTGTAATTCAAAGGATAAATGCTTGGGGGGGATGGATATCCCATTCTCCATGATGTGCATATTTCACATTGCCTGCCTATATCAAAACATCTCTATGTTCTCCCTAAATATGTGCACCTACTATGTACTCACAAAAATTAAAAATAAAAAAATTTAAAATTAAAGTAAAAAGAAAGTTAATTTACTTAAATTTGATTTTCTTAAATAAGATAAATGCAATAAAATTTTGATTAAGACTGCATTAGATTTTTACATTAATCTGGAAAGAACTGATTACATTAGAATTTCCTGTCTAATAATGAGGACAATTCCTCTCCTTATTTAGATGTCCTGTGTCTTTCACTGTAGCTTCAGTGCTTTCTTCACAGAAGTATTATGCATGCTAAAGTAAGTTGTCTAGATATTTGTATTTTTCTCTTATGTAAAGTCTATCTTTAATTATGATTCCCAGTTTATATTAGTGTGAAAAAGATTATTTTGATGTTAATTTTGTATCCAAAGTTCTAAACTTCCCCCAGTTTTCTAGTAGTGTTGTTGTTGATCTGTTTGGTTTTTAGATAATCATATCACCTGACAAAAATAACAGTTTAAAATTTTTATTTCCTTATAGCATTGGGCAACACCACCAGTCTTTATTCAAGAGTATGGCAAAAATGTGTACTTTGTAGTATTCCTGATTTTTAAAAGAAGTCATCGGAGGTTACTTCAGGTATTTGATATATAAACTTACATATTTAAGAAAATCTGCTTTTATTCAAAGATTAAGAGTTTTTAATCATTAATAAGCATTAAACTTTTTAAAGTATTTTTCATCAATTGAAATAGTTATTTAAATGTTCTCTTTAAAGTTTATTCAAATGGCAAATTTTAATAATTTATTTCTCAATGTAGAACCATCTTTGAATTCCTAAACTGTACGATTGACACTACATTTGGTAAGTTAATATTTCATGAGAATTTTTGCATGTATGTTCATGAATAAAATGGTCCACTAACATTCTTTTTATATAGTTTGACTATAATATGGTTAATGAATTAAGATTAAATAAATTATAAAATGACCCACGAAGCAATCTTTCTCTATTGCTTTCAAAAACATATATGAAAGCAATTATTTCTTTAAATAATTTAAAGAAAATATCTGAAAAATCATCTTTTTTTCCCCACCTTTGAAGGGGAAAATTATTTTTATGTACATAATACCACAGAAGTCTATTCAAGTTATCTATCCCTCACTGTACCAATTTTGATTATTTTATACATTTTAGTAATTTATTTTACCCCATATTTTGTCATGTAGAGTTGTTAATAAATCTTCTACTTGCTATGTTATTATGAATTTTTTCAAATTTTCTCTTTTGTTAATTTGCATATTATTTCTTGTTAGTCTTGCCAATAATTTATCTATATTATTAATTTTTAAGGAACTAGATTTTATTTAAATTTTCTAAACTTTTATTATTGTCCTGTATTTCATTTATTAGACAAATTATTCTAGATTTCTTATGTCTTTCTTTTTACACTTTTTAAGTTGAAAGCTTAGGTTATTTGCTTTTAACTTATCTTGTTTCCTGATATACACATTTTAAGTAATATATTTTTCTAAATACTGCTTTAGTTCTTACACAAAAGTGAGCATTAAATATTTTCATTTTCATGCAATTCTAAGTATTTCTAAAATCTGTTTTTTCCTTTGTAAAATAATAATTTATAGTGAGGTACTATTTTGGTTTCAAAAAATAAGAGATATCATTATGCCATTGAAAATACTAGTTTTTAGTTTATTAAACTTCTTTAATAAAGATAGTTTGATATATTTTGTTTGAAATTAATTGAAGTTTTCATTCATAATCTAATTTGTGGTTCTTTTAAAAACATTTTTGTTTGCTTCTAAAATATGACCAGAAATAGATATTTCATATATACATATGTACATATGTATTATTAGTAATGGTATTGTTCATATCTCTAATTTCTGCATAATTTTGTTAACATCTTCAAATATGCAGTTAATTTATGTGATTCTCTCTGTAGTTTTACCAGTTCTACTTTGCTCTAATTTAAGGCTGTATTGTTAAGCATATTTTTATCATTTTTTTGTTTCAGTAGAAAACTGTATTTTTCTCTTTTTCCTTTACACAAATAGATTTACATATTAAAATAACTGGCCACATTTTTTTTTTGGTTTATATTTTCCTGGTATAAGCTTGCCTATCCCTCTTTTGAAGTTTGCTGGGTTTTTGAATGGCAAGATGCTCTTGGGTCTTTTTTGCTTCTTAAATCCAAGCTCAGAGACCATATATTTTAATTGACAGTTAAATATTTATATCAAGACAGGAATAGGTTTAAAAGTTATTTCTAACTTTACGGTCTCAATTGTAAAAGAAGTATAAGTAAAATTCTCAAATTGTATAAGAAGACTTCAACTACTCTCCTACTTCATATTCCCAAAATTTGAGCTCAAGACCCCCATCTCTCCTTAGCATCAAAACATTGTCGCTCTCCTCTAACTCTCTTTTTTGGCTTCTAAGAGGTTCTTTATATTGTGTGGGGTAGGGAAAAATAAATGTTATATATGACCACTTATTTTATCACAAAATCTTTCACGGCTTGCATTTGGGCTGTGGCTTTTTAATTCAAAAGCTAAGGATTTAACATCTTTGCTGTCTGGCACCCGCCTGATATAATAGATATTTTAGATCAACAACCAGATGGAGACTGATCACTTGTTTGGGGAAAAGGAAGTACAGCGATTAATGCCTTCCCATTTCATCCACTGCACCAAGAAGTCTATTCTAATTTAGGGTGACAGTGAATGTGGTCTGGCCAGCGAGCCTGTAAAGTTCTTGAAATCAGAGACTTTTGCTTATTTTTATTTATTCTGTGCCCAGCTCAGTGTTTGGCATATCAGAGGCAACAAGCAATACGTATTGAATGAATTTCATAGTAATACAGTAGCTCACACTCCACCAATAATGTGGAAATGTCAGCTTAAAAACTTAACTGCATAAAGTCTGGGATAACATTACTGCAAAATTAATGAAATGACTAAAAACATCAAGCATGTTTTACAGACCAGGAGTCCCGAGAATTAGCTACATAATCCAAATCTGTCCCAACCCAACTGTACTTGATTATTAAATGGTGGTAACTTTCTGATGTGCCTTAAAATGTTATCAGAAATAATTCTGAGTCCAGTACCAGACAGATCTGTCAAGGTGGAAGCAACAATTCCAAGAATCTTCCAGGTGTTGACCTCTGCTTCACAGACTCACTCCAGGAGGATTCTGTTGATCTGGGAGCCTCTGCTTTGCTGCCTGCTTGCTTCTTTGGCCTATAGGGGACTTCCTACCATATTCTGCATGCACATGGCCTTCTCCACATTTCTCTCCTGCCCCCCTAAGATAATAGCCTGCTATCTTTGAGAAAAGTGACCAGCCAGAGGAGAGGAGCCACATACCAACGAAGTTATATTCAAATTTATTTTAATTCAAAAATGTTACAGCAATTTTACTCTACTTTGTTATAGTCTACTTATAATAAAAGTAATTGGGAAGGAATGTCTCCCGGTTTAAACCTAGGCTGGAATAGAAGATTTTTGCTTAGCATCATGTCCATGACCTTCATCTAGGAAGCAAAATTATGATTTGTGATAAAACACTTGAATAATTTTTTGATAGACCTAAATGAGATTAAGAAATTCTGGGACACTAAGGTTGCCCATCCAGCTGGGTAAAAACGCTAAAAATACATACATACATACATACATACATACATACATACATACATACATACATAAAAACATACAAACATACATATAATAAAATACATACATACATATATATATGGGTCTAACAATAATTATCTAATCACTTTGTTAGATGATACCTTTGAATAATCTTATTTTAAGAACTCTTTTTCTTTAGGAAAAGTTTGCTGCGGGCTCTCCTCAAGGAAGGTAGTCTTGGAAGCCCAGTTAGCAGTAGAGAGGCAGTATTTCCAGTCCAATGGCAACTGTGCAAGCTAGCAGCAGTGATGAAAAAGGGCAGGGGGTAGGGACTTCCACCACCTATTAGCAGTTGGAGGAGGTGGTGAAGCAAAACTTCTTGAAGGAACTGTGTCTAGTAATCCATGGGCGACTCTACGATGTTCCCCACTTTGAGGATCCCCCTGGCAGAGAAAAGGTTCTGCTGGAACAAGCTGGTGCAGATGCAACTGAAAGTTTTGTAGATGTAGGCCACTCCTCTGATGCCAGAGAAATGCTAAAGCAGTACTATAATGGTGCTGTCCATTTGAGTGACCTCAAACCTGAAAATTGTGCAAGGATTCTTCAAAAAATGACACATGCAAAAGTTTCTGGCCATATTGGATTTTCCCTATCATAGGTGCTATCCTCTTAGGTTACCTGTCTCACTCCTACATATTGGAAAGCAAATCCTCCTGATGGACCTTGTTGAAGTCCGGAAAGCATATCTACTTTGGAATGAAAACAAGAGACTTGCTCGGGAGCTGCAGAAATGCCCTCTTCTCAAATCCTGCCAGTTGTATTCTCCCCCCTTTGGAGCCAGGACAGTTGGCCAGACAACCACCTCAGATCTGGGACCACTATCCATCTTTCAGATTATTGCTCCCAAAGTACCTGTTCACTGTTCTTTGTCAAACAATTGCTGGTGTTTCTTTTCTTCACTGGTTTCCATGAGTACCCTTTTATTTCAAAATTTTCTGTTCATAATTGTAGTTCATATGTTATAGTGACATTGCTCTTTGTCAAAAATGCCTGCTTTCCAATACTTTTAAATGCACATTAGACATTCTTAACAGGGCAACAATCTAATGCTGAACCTTTTCCTTTTCCATGTTTCTTTCAAGTAAAATCTTTTTAAAAATTCTGATTTAGGGCCAGGTGTGGTGGCTCATGCCTGGTATCCTAACACTTTGGGAGGCCAAGCTGGGAGGATCTCTTGAAGCCAGAAGTTTGAGACCATTCTGAGTAACATAGGGAGGCCCCATCTATATATTTTTTAAAATCTTATTTAATTTTGTTATTATAAGGAGTTTAATTTATGGAGTAAAAGTATGTACCTATTACTTAAAACTGCCAGATGATTTTTGTTCCTTGTATGTGTGTGGTAAAACTATAAAGAACTGTGCGGTCATTTCCTCCCTCTCGAGCTAGGGTAGAAGGCAGCTCTTCACACCTCAAGTCCGGCCCCTTCCCAAGTGGCACTGGACAAAAAAACTACATTTCCCATTTATTTCTTGGAGGTGGAAAGAAACAAGGAAAGAGGGGGACGAATTGGGGTGACAGACCCTTGGTGAATTCAGAGTAATCTTTCTTTAGAAAAATATTGAAAAGCACTACTGCAGGATAGGAGTTTAGAGAAAGCACCAAAGCTTTCACTTTGGTTTGGCAGCAGTTTCTAGACATTTGGTTTTTTTCTCTTCTAGCTATCTTTTACTGGTAAAATACAAATGTATAATTATGTCTGTAGAGCTTTGCCAGAGATTTTCCCTGGTTTTTTTTATTGATTAGTAAATTTTTGATTCTCCATTTTCCAAAAGTAAGAGGCTCCAACTTGGCTTTCTGTCTGCCCACCAGTAAAGTAACTTCCATATAGATGGTATTTGAAAGTAAGAGTTCTTGACAAGAGACTGTCTTCCATTTCATCTCTATTTTACCTCCCTGTCTCCAATGTGTGGTTTTGTTCTGTTTTTCCATGAAAACAAAAAAAAAGTGGTAGATTTAAAAAAACGTTTGCATAATCATTATTCTGCACCTGGAACAAACTGGGGATATGGCAAGTCCAAAGATAAACAAGCAATCATTGTATTCAAGAAGCTTATGAAGCAGATGACATCTTAACTGAATCTTTGATTTTACTGACTCAACAAGAACCCAGACTTAGTGAAGGATACTGAGAAGTAGGGAACTATGCTTGAAAAACTGAGAGACTTTATGTCCTCAGGTCCACTGCCAGGAAGCTGAACACATTATCCTTTTAGACCTCAATGGCAGGCTACATTTAAACATTTCCCTCTCATGTTTATGTTCTTTGACCTATTCCTGGAGATCTCATTTCCAGTCACCCAGTTAAAGCTATCACATCTAAATATAATCCCAATAGAAGAATGAATTTAGTAACATCTGATATGTTACTCTCAAAAGATTTATTCAGAAGAGTTTGTAGCCTCTTATTATTTTCTTTTTTGTTCAGTCCAGAACCAAAGTACTAAATGCCAGTTAATTACTCTGCTGACTCAGAACCTAAAGAAGTTGTATGTGTTTAGCTGAATATCAAAGCAAAGAGAGAGAGAGAGAGACAGAGACAGACAGACATAAAGAGAGATTCAACTCAAGCTGCAGATGGTACCAAGATGAACCCAGCTAAGACGTGGTTGGTTCTCTTCCCCTAAACAAGGAATAATTTTTAAGTATATCTGCCATGATATAACAGGTTAACAACATAACATTAACTATTTGCTTCCAGCTTTTAAAAAAGACAGCTTTTGTTTAAGGCCTAGATAAAATTCTTGGTTCTTCATGGCTTTTTTCACAGCCTCCTGAAAAGGCAGTATTTTTCCAGTGCTGAAGGAGCTCATAATTTAAACTGGCTGGTCCTGTCAAATTCAACTTGACAGAGCCACTGAGAAAATAAAGTCTATATTTCATTTGATATTTACAATACACATATTTCAGGCATTACAATTATGAAACCTACACTATTTTATTTAAAATAAAACTAAATCTGAGCACACATACCTATCCAATATCCCATGTCATTAAACACAGGTGACTCTATATAAAATGCACTCAAGTGTTCAAGCCTTTATAGGAATTAATGAAAAGGGAGGATCTGAGTGAGCTAAAGTAAACATGAACTGTAACTTAAATAGTTTGACTTGGTATATTTTACAGGTTATTTAAATTTATTGAACCACTTCTCCAAGAGAAATTGCTTTGTGCCCTTATAAGAGGAATCCCATGCAACATATACATATGTAGTAACAAGTTAATAGTCATCCTATCCTATTATTGTGGCATTTAAATTTGTATTGTGATTTTTTTTTCTGCTGAAAAGTTAAAATTAACATAATAATGCAAGATGATTCCATGGAATAAGTGAAGTGTGCTCTTACTAAAATTAGTAGATTAGAATCTGTTTTATCAATTATTTTACTGTATGATCAATATTAAGTACACAGAGTAATGTACTAAAACAATACAATGTATATAATGTTTAGTTCTATTTAACTAAACATTCATCATCAAATCATTTAGATCAAATTTTTATAATCAACAAAGAATGCAAATCAAAATTAAGTCACAAAGAAAACTGCCTATTGTGCAAATATTTTAACCATGAAAACTATTTTTGGTCAAAAGTATATTTAAATTACAAACAAAAATGTTATTAACACGAATGTGTTTGATAATTTTTTTAAAGTTCAAAATAAGTCATTGATGAAGAAATCATAATAGAAATTAGAAAACATTTGCTGCTGAACAACAAACATGATGTATAAAAACAAAATGTTATTGAATGCTTACATTAGAAAAGAATTAAAGATTAATAAGCCAAGCATCCATATCAAGATTTTAAGAAAATAAAAAATACCAAGAATTTAAGGAAATAAAAAATGGAATAAACTGGCCAAAAGTGGTAACAAATAAAGGATCAGAAAGTAATATCCTAAAAACAATGCGGTAATAGGGAAGATTAAAAAGAAAATCAAGCAAAGAAAATGGTTCATTGGGATTTTTCTTCTAGCCAAGGTAGAGTAATAAACTCACGAAAGTGCAAAAAAAGAAAAGGAAGACGGGGAAGGAAGGAGGGCAGGAAACAAGGTCATATAAAAAATAAGGATTTGAAAGACACCAGACACAAATGAGATGAGCCTTCCTATCATCACTGACACAGGGTATTGACTTGAGAATGTTTTAAGATTGCAGCACAGGGAAGCAGAGCCCAGGTAAAGCCCAGCAGATTGCCTGACTTGAGGGGATGGAGCTGAGATTTTAGGAAGAATAGGACACTAGAGTTCACAGGATACAGTACCAAAGAGAAGAGATATATACACAGAGAGAAAGCTCTGGGGACCTGCAGAAGAGCCCCTTCAAGTATTCAGCACAGCACTGATCAGCCTGTAAGTGTGAGGAAACTACCTCAGGCCAATGAAGGAAGCACCTACTCACAATTAAAGGTACTAGTGCCTGATGCCCACATAGAGCCAGGAATAGCACCTGTTTGTACCAGCCAGACTGGACGACTCAAGATTCATAGGGCAGAAGGCAGTGCATTCAGAAGGGTCTGGCTTCAGTAGTGGGAAATAATTATTTCTAGAAAAACCTCTTCTCCAGTCTCTCCTGCAAAATATACACAAGATTCAAACAATTCACTTTTATTCCCAAGGAATTTAACTTCATTCCAGAACAAAGCTCAAAATTTACAGGAATACAAAAATACCCAGCACCCAATAAGATAAAATGTACTATGTCTTGTGTCCAAACAAAGTTTACTTGGCATGCAAAGTGGCAGACAAGCATTATCTATAATAAGGAGAATAATCAATAAATCAAAACCAACCCAGAATATAGATGTTAGAGTTAGCAAAGAGCCTTTAAAAAATTACTATAATGGCATTCCTTATGTTAAAAAACTTAGAGACATCAAAGCTATAAAGACCCAAATCAAACTTTGAGAGGTAAAATCTGCAATGCCTAATCTCTGAATAGACCAATAACAGGCTCTGAAATTGTGGCAATAATCAATAGCTTACCAACAAAAAAGAGTCCAGGACCAGATGGATTCACAGCCGAATTCTACCAGAGGTACGAGGAGGAACTGGTACCATTCCTTCTGAAACTATTCCAATCAATAGAAAAAGAGGGAATCCTCCCTAACTCATTTTATGAGGCCAGCATCATTCTGATACCAAAGCCTGGCAGAGACACAACCAAAAAAAAGAATTTTAGACCAATATCCTTGAAGAACATTGATGCAAAAATCCTCAATAAAATACTGGCAAACCGAATCCAGCAGCACATCAAAAAGCTTATCCACCATGATCAAGTGGGCTTCATCCCTGAGATGCAAGGCTGGTTCAATATACGCAAATCAATAAATGTAATCCAGCATATAAACAGAACCAAAGACAAAAACCACATGATTATCTCAATAGATGCAGAAAAAGCCTTGGACAAAATTCAACAACCTTCATGCTAAAAACTCTCAATAAATTAGGTATTGATGGGACATATCTCAAAATAATAAGAGCTATCTATGACAAACCCACAGCCAATATCATACTGAATGGGCAAAAACTGGAAGCATTCCCTTTGAAAACTGGCACAAGACAGGGATGGCCTCTCTCACCACTCCTATTCAATATATTGGAAGTTCTGGCCAGGGCAATTAGGCAGGAGAAGGAAATAAAGGGTATTCAATTAGGAAAAGAGGAAGTCAAATTGTCCCTGTTTGCAGATGACATCATTGTATATCTAGAAAACCCCATTGTCTCAGCCCAAAATCTCCTTAAGCTGATAAGCAACTTCAGCAAAGTCTCAGGATACAAAATCAATGTACAAAAATCACAAGCATTCTTATACACCAATAACAGCCAAACAGATAGCCAAATCATGAGTGAACTCCCATTCAAAATTGCATCAAAGAGAATAAAATACCTAGGAATCCAACTTACAAGGGATGTGAAGGACCTCTTCAAGGAGAACTACAAACCACTGCTCAAGGAAATAAAAGAGGATACAAACAAATGGAAGAACATTCCATGCTCATGGGTAGGAAGAATCAATATCGTGAAAATGGCATACTGCCCAAGGTAATTTATAGATTCAATGCCATCCCCATCAAGCTACCAATGACTTTTTTCACAGAATTGGAAAAAACTACTTTAAAGTTCATATGGAACCAAAAAAGAGCCTGCATCGCCAAGTCAATCCTAAGCCAAAAGAACAAAGCTGGAGGCATCACACTACCTGACTTCAAACTATACTACAAGGCTACAGTAACCAAAACAGCATGGTACTGGTACCAAAACAGAGATATAGATCAAAGGAACAGAACAGAGCCCTCAGAAATAACTCCGCATATCTACAACTGTCTGATCTTTGACAAACCTGAGAAAAACAAGCAATGGGGAAAGGATTCCCTATTTAATAAATGGTGCTGGGAAAACTGGCTAACCATATGTAGAAAGCTGAAACTGGATCCCTTCCTTACACCTTATACAAAAATCAATTCAAGATGGATTAAAGACTTAAATGTTAGACCTAAAACCATAAAAACCCTACAAGAAAACCTAGGCATTACCATTCAGGACATAGGCATGGGCAAGGACTTCATGTCTGAAACACCGAAAGCAATGGCAACAAAAGCCAAAATTGACAAATGGGATCTAATTAAACTAAAGAGCTTCTGCACAGCAAAAGAAACTATCATCAGAGTGATCAGGCAACCTACAAAATGGGAGAAAATTTTCACAACCTACTCATCTGACAAAAGGCTAATACTCAGAATCTACAATGAACTCAAACAAATTTACAAGAAAAAAACAAACAACCCCATCAAAAAGTGGGTGAGGATATGAACAGACACTTCTCAAAAGAAGACATTTATGCAGCCAAAAGACACATGAAAAAATGCTCACCATCACTGGCCATCAGAGAAATGCAAATCAAAACCACAATGAGATACCATCTCACACCAGTTAGAATGGCAATCATTAAAAAGTCAGGAAACAACAGGTGCTGGAGAGGATGTGGAGAAACAGGAACACTTTTACACTGTTGGTGGGACTGTAAACTAGTTCAACCATTGTGGAAGTCAGTGTGGTGATTCCTCAGGGATCTAGAACTACAAATACCATTTGACCCAGCCATCCCATTACTGGGTATATACCCAAAGGATTATAAGTCATGCTGCTATAAAGACACATGCACACGTATGTTTATTGCGGCACTATTCACAATAGCAAAGACTTGGACCAACCCAAATGTCAAACAATGATAGACTGGATTAAGAAAATGTGGCACATATACACCATGGAATACTATGCAGCCATAAAAAATGATGAGTTCATGTCTTTTGTAGGGATATGGATGAAATTGGAAATCATCATTCTCAGTAAACTATCACAAGGACAAAAAACCAAACACTGCATGTTCTCACTCATAGGTGGGAATTGAACAATGAGAACACATGGACACAGGAAGGGGAACATCACACTCCAGGGACTATTGTGGGGTGGGGGGAGGGGGGAGGGATAGCATTAGGAGATACACCTAATGCTAAATGACGAGTTAATGGGTGCAGCACACCAGCATGGCACATGTATACATATGTAACTAACCTGCACATTGTGCACATGTACCCTAAAACTTAAAGTATAATAATAATAAAATAAAATAAAAAAAGATACATTGGGTAGAATAAGTAATAGATCAGACATTGCAAGAGTAAAAGTTAGCAAAATTTAAGGCATAGTATAGGAACTACCCAATATGAAACACACAGAAAAATATTAATTAAAAAAAATGAAGACTATCAATGAGTTGTGAGAGACAACTTCAAACAACCTGATATACATATAGGTGTAGTTCTCAAAGTAGAGAGAAAAAAAAATTGAAGACATTGTGGCTAAGTTTCCAAACTGATAAAAACTATACATCCACAGATATAAGGAGCTCAACAAACTCTAAGTACAAGTTTTCCTGAAGACAATAAAACACATAATATCCAATTGCTCACACTAATAATAAAGAGAAAATCTCAAAAGTAGCCACATTATTGTACATAGAAAAAAAGTAAAGATAACATCAGAATTCTCCTCAAAAATAGTTCAAGTGAGAAGATAGGGGAAGACCATTTTAAAGTGCTCAAAGAAAAAGGAAAAAATCCTGTCATCCTAGAATTGTATATTCAGTGAGCATATCTTTCACCACTGAAGACAAAATAAAGACATTTTCAGATACAACATACCCCAAAAGCTGAAAGACTTCTTAAATAGCAAAACAGCACTATAAAAATTGTTAAAGGAAGTTCTCCAGGCAGAAGAAAAGTGATACCAAATGGGAATGTGATTCTACACAAGTTAATTAAAAGCACTAAGAAAGGTAATTATAAGGGTGAAGTTTTTTATTATTTAAATCCCTTTAAAAGATAATTAATTATTTAAACAAAAATAATAATACCATAAGTTGAAATTTATAAGTTATGGAAAAGTAAAATGTACACCAACAATAGCATGTCATGGGGAGAATCTGAAGTATAATATTATAAGGTTCCTAAACTATATGTGAAGTAGTAGAATACCGCACAAAAGTAGATTATAAGTTAAATATGTATACTATGAACTCCAAATCAACTGTAAAAATAACAAAACAGAGTTAATAAGCTAACAAAAGAAATAAAATACTAAAATATATCCAGCTAATTAAACAGAAGACAGAAAAAATAGTACAAGGGGAAAAAGACATATGACAAATACAAATAAAATAGGAAAATGGTAACTTGAGTAATCATACAATAACCTAAAATATAAGTTTTGAAAATAAACCAATTAAAAAGCAGATAATTCTTAGATTGAATGAAGAGTTAGACCTCACTAGATGTTGCCCACAGAAAATACACTTCCCTTATAAAGACAATATACTAATAGGTTAAAGTAATAGAAAAGGATATGCCATGTTAGCACATGCAAAAGTAAATCTGAAGTGGCTATATTATTTTAAATTAATAAATACTAACAGAAATTATAGAGAATATAATTTCATATTAATAAAAAAGCTAATTCATCAAAAAGGACATAGCACTCCTACACCTTTATACTCTTTGTATCAGAGCTCCAAAATACATGAAACAAAAAACAAAACCCAATAGACATAAGAGAAAAGAGCTGAAGCCACAATTAATAGTCAGTATTCAATACCCTGTCTCAATAAATAATAGAACAAGTAGACAGAAAATTCATAGGGATATAGAAGATTTGAATAATAAACTTATTTGACATTTATAGCATACTACTAAATGAAAGTAGATTGTTTTCTGAAAAATATACAATATTTACCAGGATAGACTATATTCTGGGTGATAAAACAGTATTAAATAGCTCTAAAATGATACAGGTAATAAAATAGGTTCTGTAACCATAATGAAATTAAAATTAGAAATAAGTAACAGAAAGGTATCTGGAAATATCCTCAAAAATTAAAAAAAAATTCTAAATACCACGAGTCAAAAAAAGGAAAATTAGAGAATATTTTAAACTGAATGAAAATGAAAACAACATATCAGAATTTGCAAAATGTTACCAAACCATACTTAAGGGGAAATTTATAGCACTAAATGCCTACATTAGAAAAAACAAAAGGTCTTGAATGAATGATTACAGGCTATATTTTAAAAGTAAAAACAGAAAAGCTACTAAAACCAAAAGAAGTAGAAAAGAAAATTGAAAAAAAAAATTTGTTTAAAAATTATTGAAACCAAAAGTTAATATATTAGTTTCAAATAGCCAGAAAGAGGATATTGAATATACCCAACATGAATGATAAATATTAAGCTTATTGATATGCTATTGATATGCTAATTATCATGACCTGCTGATCACTATACATTATATATACAGAAGCATCACTATGTTTCCATAAATATTTACAATTGTTGTTAATTTAAAAAAAGAAAATTTAAAAAAATCAATGAAACCAAAAGTTTATAATTGGAGATCAAATTGATAAACCTCTAGACAGACCATTCAGGCAAAAAAGAAGACTTCAGTTACCTACATCTGGAATGAGAGATGTGACATCACTGTAGATTTTACAGATATTAAAATAAATATAAGAAAATATACTTAAAATTATGTCATTAAATTTGACAATAGAGATGAAATGGTACTTTGAAAACGTCAAGCTACTAAAATTCACTCATGAATAAATTGAATGAATATATACATATGTATTTAAATTTATACATATAAATCACATAAGTATAAATAAAACATATGTAAATATATATATAATTGACTTTGTAGCTAAAAGCCTTTCTATGATGAAAACTCCAGACACAAATGGATTCACTGGTGAATTTCATCAAACACTTCAGGAAGAAGTAGTACTAATTCTAAACAAATTCTTCAGAAAATTGAAGAGAACAGATTACTTCCCAGCTATGTCTAGACCCCATTATTATGCTGACATCAAATGCAGACACACATGTGACTGTAAGTCTATACCCCTCATGAGCCTAGATGTAGAGTTGAAACAAAATTTAACTGAGCCCAGTAATTTATAACAAGGGTAATATATCATGACCAAGTGGGGTTTACCTTGGGAATGCAAACTTGGATTAAGATTTGAGAATGAGATAATATAAACTCCATTTTAAAAGTTTAAGAAAAACAATCAATAGATATAAAAACCGTTTGACAATTCAACATCCATTCCATTTTTTTCTGATTTTAAAACCTCAGCTAAGAAGAAATGATCAACCTAATAAAGAGTATCTATGAGAAACATTTACAAGTAATATCTTATCTAACCATAAAATATCTTACCTAACCACATTTTTATAAAATAAATATCCATGAGTCCTTACCAATATAAATAAATGGTTGAGTAAATACATGGGAAATAATACATATCCCATGCAGAAAAATTCCAAGTAATTTATGTGGATTTCCACCAAAGAGAATTATAGCTCCTCACTCCTTCCAAAGTACATGCAATATGGACATAATGGAAGAAAAAAAAAAAAGTAACTTTACAGTGGAGAAAACTGACAAGTATATGACCTCAAGCTAGGTAGTCAAGGCTAATATCAATAGTGATGAGACATCTTAGTAGTCCGTACTCTTGAAAAGATGTGATAAAAGTGGCATTTTATCTCTCTGATCATCCTCCCTAAAATGATAATCCCAGTAGAATCATTAGGAAAACAACAGACAAATCCCATTTAAAGGACCCTCTACAATATTCCTGATCAAAAGCAGGATCAAAACTATTAAGGTCATCAAAACAAACCAACCAACAAACCTGAAAAACTGTCACAAGCAGGAGGAGCCCAAAGAGACATGACTACTAAATGGTTTCCTGAATGGAATTCTAAAACAGGAATTAGGGTAAACCTTTTTCAAAATCTGAAAAGAGTATGAATTTTAGTTAATAATAATATATCAGTATTAGTTCAATATTGGTTTTGTGAAAAACACATCAAAATAATATATTAATAATAGGAGTAACTCTTTGTGTGGTATATGAGTACCCTCTGTACTTTCTTCACAATAATTCTACAAAACTAAAACTATTCTAAAACAAAACATTTAAAAATACAAACAAACAACAGCAAAACAAATGACATGAGCAGCAACCTGGAAGATCTTTAATGGCCAAACATGGAATAATGCCAGCAGCAAAAGAAATAACACTATTTAAAGATTATAACACAAATAATAAAATAAATATCCATGAATGAATACACATATAAATGGCTGAATGAATAAGTAAATGGGGAGAAGAACAGAACTCTCTAACAGAAGATTTCTAAATGATATATACATGAATATTCCCCATTCCAGGACATGGAGCTTAAATCCTCTCCCCTTGAGTGTCTTTTGAACGTAATGGTTCACTACCAAAGAAAAGCATGGAAAAGAAATAGTAACTGTAAAAAGAAACCAGCCTAGATAATCTTACCCAGGGGAATAAAATTAACATCACAAGGAATAACTTACGCTAATATTATATATCCTTGAGTTGATGCAATTCAAAGGTTATTTCACTTCTGTAATATTCTTTCCCCAAACACATAACTCCAGTCTAATCATGAGAGCTAAAATTGAGGGACTTTCTACAAAATATCTGATTAGTATTTTCACTAAATAATTAAATATTTTGGACTAAATTTTAACTCTTCAAAAATGTTAATGTCACATTAATCAAAGAAACACTAAAAAACTATTACAGAATGAAGGCAACATGGTATTATGAATTAGATTCTGGGAAATGGAAAGTATACCAGTGGCAATCTGGCAAATCTCAATAAATTCTGAAGTTTAATTAATATTGCACCAATGCTAATTTCTTGATTGTGACAATATTCCATCGTTAGAGAAGATATTTACATCGGGGAATCTGATTAAAAGGTAATGGGTACAGTTTTATAACCTTTTAAACTTTTCTGTAAACCTAAGATTATACTAAAAGTTGCCTCCAAGATATGAAATTAGAAATAAATATAACAATTTATAATTTTTATGTCAAAAATGAATGAAAGAAAACGAACATCTATATAAATGGTACATCTTGCTCAGAAAATAGGAAACTCAATATTGTTTAGGTGCCAAATCTTCTCAATTTTATCTATAAATTCAGTGCAATTTCAACTCATATTCCAACATGCCATGTTGTAGATATTTACAATATGATTCTAAGATTTTAAGAGAAAAAAGAGACAAAAATGAAAACAATTGTAAAAGAAAAAAAGAAGTTGAAGGGCCCACAATTTTGTAGGTCCAATTTCAAGACTTACCAATCTTATAGTAATTAAGAAAGGTAATGCTGAAAATAAAGAAATAGGTCAATAAAACAAAATAAAGAGATAAAAATTAGAGTACAACAAATATAATCAATTGATTTTCTACAAAAGTACAAAGGCATTTCATTGGAGAAAGTATAGTTTCTTCAACTAATGATGGAACAGTTGAACATCCATTTACAAAACAATGAACCCTGACATCATATGCCAAAATTAACTCAATCTGTATTATAGCCTGAAGTATAAAACATTATACTAAAAATTCTTCTAGAAGAAAGCAACAAAAAATTTGCATGACCTTGAGTTTGATTAGGTATTTGAAATAGGACTTCAAAAGCATGATTCCTAAAATAACATATTAATAAGTTAGACTTTACCAAAATTAAAACCTTTTGATCTGTGAAAGAAATTTTCAGAGAACAAAAAGACAAGCCACAGATATTGAGAAAATATTTGCAAATCTCACATCCGTTAAAGTTGTGTAACTAGAAAACAAAAAAAACCCCTAAAACTCAATAAGAAAGCAACCCAATAAAAATGGTACATCTGAATAAACTCAGCACCAAAGATACGCAATTGGAAAACAAGCATAGAAAGGGATGCACAGATCACTTAATAGAAAACTGCGATTAAAGATAAAATTACATACTGCAGCATACCTATTAAAATGACTAAAAAGAGAGAGAGAGACATAAAATACCTTTCCAGTATTTTTCAAAAGTGTCAAGGTCATGAAACACAAGACAAGACCAAGAAGCTGTCAGAATGGAGGAGAAAGAAGACAAGATGACTGTCTTCGTCAGCTCAGGCTACTTTAACAAAGTATCGTGCTTGTAAAAAGGGTGAGAGAGTTGTCTGGGGTCATTTTTAAAAAAGGATTCTAAGTCTCCTCATGAGGGCTCCACCCTCATGACCTGATTATTATCCAAAGGCCTCATCTCCAAATACTATCACACTGGAGGTTTGGAATTTAACATGTAAACTTTAGGGGCATACAAACATTCAGTCCATTGCAATGACTCAACGCAGTAAGTGGTAGTCTGGATTGGATCCTGAAACATAGAAAGACATTGGTGAAAAAATTGACAAGATATGAACAAAATCTGCAGTTTAGTTAATGGTATTGTACAAATATTATCTTAGCTATGAAAGTGTATCATGATAATGTAAGATGTTAATATTCAGAAAGCTGGATGAAGGGCATATGGAAGTCTGGACACAAAGTTTGGGATTAGTTTGTGAAGGTTTTATTTCTTTGTTACTAGTTTTAATGATGAGCTAACAATGGTATTTTCTCTCCTGGAAGCAACAGGAGAAGGAAGTTTCAGTAGGGAGATGTGATGATTGCTTTGATGTTATTTCTACTTTTCTAATATAGAGAAACTAATCAAAAAATAAAAATATTACCGACAATTTACTCTGTATTCAATTATGATCAATTGTCAGTTAAAGCAGTTTAGATGAACATAATTTAATATTAATGACAACACAAAAATAATGATTTCTTATCTTCGATGGGGGCAGTTTTAATTTTGGCAAACAAGCATTACAAGTTTCCCAGAAAATTTTAACACATTAAGGCTGGAATTTTAGAGCTCCAGTTCAAATACCTTCACCAAAAAAGCTGAGTCCTAAAGTGGTGAAGGTCACAGCTTCAAGATGAGCAGAGGCTAAAAAACAGTTTTACTGACTCCCCAGTAGTGTGCTCTTTCATCTTTGGCACCTGGCAATCAGGCAATGATGACCACTTAGCTGCTGTCTCAGTCCATTTTCTGCTGCTATAACAACACCATAGACTGCTTAATTCATTTAAGAAGAAAGAGATTTGGCTTATGGCTGGGATGTCCAAGAGCATAGCACTGACGTCTGTCAAGGGCCTTTGTGTTGCTTTATAATATGGCAGAAGGGCAAGCAAGCATGTGAGACAGAGAATGGGGTCTGAATCTATTTTCTCAGGAGCCAATTTACATGATCACTATACCACTCCTGTAATAAATAACCCACTCCAGTGATAGTAGGTCTGCTCTCAGAAAGCAATCACCTCTGAAAGGCCATACCTCCCAATATTGTTACATTGGTAATTAAATTTTAACTTGAGTCTTGAAGGGAACATTCAAATCTCAGCAGCTGTCTTTCATGCTGACACTCTAGAGCCCTGGAGAAGTAAGACTTGGAATCAGTGTTTGGGGATGCACCAAAATGGGTACAGTGGGACCAGACATACTGTCTTCACAGTTGCTTCTTTTGGTCTCTGGAAACAAAGTGACATGAAATCTTTACTGCTGATTTATATTTGATGAGATGTTCTGTTTAGTATATATCTATACTGTGCATCAATTTTTTTTCTGCTTAGCACACCTCATCTCTTAAAATTTTTTGCTTGTATTATCATTTGTAATTCACACACAATTATGTACAGTTATGGAGTTGAGTGATTATTTGATACATGTATGCAACGTGTAATGATCAAATCAGGGTAATTAGCATATCTACCACCCCAAATATTTATCATTTCTTTGTGTTGGGAACACTCAAAATGTGCTCTTCTAGCTATTTGAAAATATAAAATAAGTTTGTTAATTGTAGTCATTCTATAGTGCTACAGAAAACTGGGATTTATTCGGTCCTATCTAGCTACAATTTGTGTTCATTAGCCAAACTTTTGCTAACCTCTCCTCACCCCTACTTTTTCCTACTTCTGCTACTATTCTACCTGATATTTCTATGAGATTAGACTTTTCAGCTTCCATATATACATGAAAACATGTGGTATTTGTCTTTGTGTGCCTGGCTTATTTCACTTAATATAATGACTTTCAGTTTCATCCACATAGCAGGAAATGATAGGATTTCATTCTTTTTCATGGCTGAGTAACACTTCACTGTGTGTATATGTCATATTTTCTTTATCTATCTGTTGATGGACACTCAGGATGATTCTACATATTGGTAATGTGAACTGTGTTGTACTAAATATTGGAGTGCATCCTTGACATACTGATTTTCCTTCCTTTGGATATATACCCAATAGTGCAATTGCGGCATCATATGGTAGTTCTATTTTTAGTTTCTTGAAGAACCTTCATATTCTTCAATAATGGGCATAGTAATTTACAATCACATAATTTACAAGAGTTCCCTTTTTCCCACAGTCCTATCAACATTTATTTTTTATTTTTTGGTAATAGCCATTCTACTTCAGGTAAGATAGTCTCATTGTGGTTTTGATTTGCTGTTCCCTGATGATTAGCAATGTTGAGCAACTTTTCCCCTGAATTTTTGGCCACGGTATGTCTTCTGTTGAGAAATGTCTATTTACACCCCTTGCCCGTTTAAAAAATAGATTACTTGCTTTTGGATGGTGAGTTGTTTGAGTTCCTTCCATATTTTGGGTGTTAACATCTTGTTAAATGAATAGCATAAAAGTATATTCTCCAATTCTGTGGGTTTCTTCACTCTGTTGTTTCCTTTGCTGTGCAGGAGCATTTTTGTTTAATATAATCCCATGTGTCCATTTCTGAATTTGTCATCTGTGTTTTTGAGGTCCTCTCCATAACATCCTTGCCCAGACCAATGTCCTGAAGCATTTCTGTTTTCTTTAATTAGTTTTACAGTTTGAGGTCTTATATTTAAGTTTTTAGTTCACTTTGAGGTATCTTTTATATATGGTGAGAGATATGGGTCTAGTTTTATTTTTCTGCATATGGATATCCAGTTTCCCCAGCATCATTTGTTGAAGAAGTTGTCCTTTCCCCAATATATATTAGTCCATTTTCAAACTGCTGTAAAGAAATGCCTGAGACTGGGTAATTTATAAAGGAAAGTGGTTTAATTGACTCACAGTTCCACATGGCTGGGGAGTCCTCAGGAAAGTTACAGTCATGGCAGAAGGTGAAAGAGAAGCAAGAATCTTCTTCACAAGGTGGCACGAGGTGGGTGGCAACTGCCACTTTTAAAACCATCAGATCTCAGGAGAGCTCCCTCACTGTCACGAGACCAGCATGGCTAAATCACTCTCATGATCCAATCACCTCCCACCAGACACCTCCTTTGACATGTGGTGATTATAATTTCAGATAAGATTTGGGTGAGGACACAGAGCCAAAGCATTTTATTCTGCTCCTGGCCCCTCTTTTCACATTTCAAAACAAATCATGCCTTCCCCAACAGTTCCCAAAAGTCTTAACTCATTCCAGCATTAACTCAAAAGTCCAAGTCCAAAGTTTGATCTGATGCGAGGCAAGTCCCTTCCACCTATGAGCCTGTAAAATCAAAAGCAAGTTAGTTACTTCCAAGAGATACAATGGGTGTATAGGCATTGCGTAAATATTTCCAGTGGGAGAAATTAGCCAAAACAAAGGGACTCCAGGCCCCATGCAAGTCCAAAACCTGGTCAGGCAGTCATTAAATCTTAAAGCTCCAAAACCTCCTTTGACTCCATGTCTCACATCCAGGGCACGCCAATGCAAGAGGTGGGTTCCCCTGGCTTTGGGCAGCTGTCCCTGTCCTCTGCAGGGTATAGCCCCCATGGCTGCTTCCATGAGCTGTTGTTGAGGGTCTGAGGCTTTTCCAGGCACATGGTGCAAGCTGTTGGTGGATCTACCATTCTGGCAGCTGAAGGATGGTGACCCTCTTCTCATGGCTCCACTAGGCAGTACCCCAGTGGGGACTCCGTGTGGGGGCTCCAACCCCACATTTTCCTTCTGCTATTGCTCTAATAGAGGTTCTCCATGAGGGCTCCACTCCTATGGCAGACTTCTGCCTCGACATCTAGGCATTTCCATACTTCCTCTGAAATCTAGGTGGAGGTTCCAAAACCTCAACTCTTGTCTTCTGTGTACCCAGAAGCCCAACACCACATGGGGCCACCAAGGCTTGCGGCTTGCAGCCTTTGAAGCAAGGACCTGAACTGTACCTTAGCCCCTTTTAAGCCATAGCTAGAGCTGGAGTGGCTGGAACACAGGGCAACAAGTCCCAACGCTGCACAGAGCAGCAAGGCCCTGGGCACAGCCCATGAAACCATTTTTTACTACTAGGCCTCAGTCTGTGATCGGAGGGTCTCCCATGAAAGTCTCTGACATGCCCTGGAGATATATTCCCCATTGTCTTGCCTACTAACATTCAACTCATTACTTATGCAAATTTCTGCAAGAGGCTTGAATTCCTCCCCAGAAAAATGGGTTTTTGTTTTCTACCACATGGTCAAGCTGCAAATTTTTCAAACTTTTATGCTTGGCTTCCCTTTTAAATATAAGTTCCAATTTTAGACCATCTCTTTCTTTATGCAAATGAACTTAGGCTTTTAGGAACAGCCAGGTCACCTGTTGAATGCTTTGCTGCTAAGGAATTTCTTCCACCAGATATCCTAAATCATCTCTCTCAAGTTCAAAGTTCTATAGATCTCTAGGGCAAAGGCAAAACACCACCAGTCTCTTTGTTAAAGCATAGCAAGAGTGACCTTTACTCCAGTTCCCAATAAGTTCCACATTTCCATCTGAGGCCATCTCAGCATGGACTTCATTGTCCATATCACTATCAACATTTTGGTCAAAACCATTCAACAAGTCCCTCGAAGTTCCAAACTTTCCCACATCCTCCTGTCTTTTCTGAGCTCTCCAAACTGTTTCAACCTCTGCCTGTTACCCAGTTCCACATTTTCAGGTTATCTTTGTAGCAGTACCACACTCTGATGGTACCAATTCTTTTTATTAGTCAATTATCACACTGCTATAAAGATACTACCTGAGACAGTATAATTTACTAAAAAAAAAAAAAGGTTTACTTGACTCACAGTTCCACTTGGCTGGAAAGGCCTCAGGAAACTTATAATCACGGCAGAAGGTGAAGGAAGAGCAAGTACCTTCTTCACAACACAGCGATGGGGGATGGAGGGTGGAAACTGCCACTTTTAAACCAACAGATCTTATGAGAACTCCCTAAGTATCATAAGAACAGCATGGGGAAAACTGCCTCCATGATCAAATCACCTCCCACAAGGCCCCTCACTCAACATGTGGGGATTACAATTTGAGATGAGATTTGGGTGTGTATACAGAGCCAAACCATGTATTTTGGGGGACTTTGTTGAAAATCTGCAAAATCAGTTGGCTGTTGAAATGAGGATTTATTTCTGGGTTCTCTATTCTGTTCCACTGATCTATGTCTCCGTTTCTATGCCAGCACCATGCTGTTTTGGTTACTATAACTTTAGCTTTGTACTTTTTTAAAGTATCGTAGTGTGATGCCTCTAGTTTTGCTCAGAATTGCTTTATTCAAGATCCTGTATGGTTTCATAAAAATTTTAGAACTGTTTTTTCTATTGCTGGGGAGAGACTCATTGGTATTTTGGGAGGAATTACATTGAATTGGTAGATCACTTCTGATAGTATGTTCATTTTCACAGTATTTCTTCTGATTTATGAACATGGAATGCTATTTCTATATTTTTGTGTCCTCTTCAATTTCTTTAGTGTTTCATAGTTTTCCTTATAAATTCTTATATTTATTTGGTTAAATTTATTCCTAAGTATTTGGTGGTTTTTGTAGTGCTAAGGTTTGATATTTTTTTCTTTCACTTTTGTGTACTTGTTATACCAGTAACTTTTATACTTTTGCTTGTTTTCATGAGAGTTATTTTCTATTGTAGATGTAGAACTTATCTGAGCATTTCTTGTAAGGCCACCCTAGTGGTTGGTGATGAATTCCCTTAGTATTTGCTTGTCTGAGAAAGATTATTTCTCCTTCATTTCTGAAGGATAGTTTTGCGGATACAGTACTCTTGAGAGATTTTTCTTTCAGCATATTGAATAATCCCATTTTCTCCTGATAAGACTTCTGTGTAGGAATCTGCTATTAGTCTAATGAGGATTTTTACTTGCTATTTTTAGAATTCTATGTCTTTGATTTCTGATAGTTTGACTAGAATGTGTCTTAGGATTAATATTTTTTATATTATTCCACTTGAAAACCTTCAAGCTTTCTTGATCTCTCCCCAGACTTGGGAAGTTTGCAGCTATATCTTTTTTCTCTTCAAAAAATTCTATACTGTCAATATTATTTTAGTGAATCGTGACCCATAAGTTTTGTAGGCTTACTTCACTTTATCTTTTTTTTTCTCTGACTGGGTAAATTCAAATCGACCTATTTTCAAATTCACAGATACTTTCTTCTGCTTGATCAATCCTGCTGTTGGAACTCTATTTTACTTGTATTCATTAAATTCTTCAGCTTCAGGATTTCTGTTATGATTTCCATGTCTTTGAGTTTATTCATATTGTGAACTGTTTTCTTGATGTTATTAAATTACCTGTCTGTATTTTGTTGGATTTCCTTAAGATTATTTTGAAATTATTTTCTGGCAATTTTTTTTTCACTGGGATCTGTTACGAGAGTTATATTCTTTTTGTGGTATCATATTTTCTTGCTTTCTCATGTTTCTCATGTCCCTGCATTGATGTCTGTGCATCTTGTGGAACAATTGCCTCTTTTAAACTTTCCAGAGTGAATTTCATAGAAAAGACTTTCACCTGCAGTTGGGTCTTTGCTGTTGGGCAGGGTGTACTGACTCTGTTTTTCAGTAGATATAGTGGTATAGTCTACATGAAGCTTCTTCAGCTGCATTCAACATCAGCAGTAACTGTGGGTTTCTCAATGGTCTGGGGTTTAAAGGTTGGGGCAGCAGCAGTAGTGGCATAAGTTGTTAATTTTCTCAGTGTCAACCTCAAAAGGGGCTTTTGAGGTTCTTCTATTCTTGTGGGAACATAATGGGGAGACATAGCTGAGTACATCCCTCCTGGTGTCAGGTCTGACATGGCCTAAAGACAACTTCAGCAGTGCTGGGTTCCAGGCTCAGTTGTTTGAAGTGGCTATGGGGCTGGCGTCCTTATCTCGGAGTCTCAAAAAACTATTGTGGCAGCTGTGTGTTGGGGTACAGTTTTGCTGTCTGTGGCAGGATTGGATGTAGGGTTCCCGTAGAGCCAGAATTTGTGACTGAAGCACTCCCTAGCAGCTTGTGCCTGGGGGCTTGTAGCTGTAGCTCTACCCCTGGCCTAGGGGCAAGGCACAGCACTGACCAGCCTCTGGGGAAGATGTGCTCTGGAACTTTGGGCCTGGCGAGCAGGGTATGGCTGCAAATTTGGGAACTTGAGCTAATAGGGTTCAGTAGCAACTTGGTTCCAGGGCATGAGCCACCATGTTTTAGTGACTCTAGGCCCTGGGATGGTGGGGCTCAGCAGTGTTCCAGACTCAGCAAGACCAGGTGCTGCAGCAGAAAGCACCCCAGAATGGTAAAGCACAACTATCATCTGGGCCCTGGGGGATCAGGGAACAGCATCACAATGACTCCACTCCCCCAAGAGATGGGTGTCTCAATAGTTCAGACTCTAGAGGATCTGTACACCTCCAGAAAAGACGGTTCTAGAGTTGTTTGACCCATAGGGTGCGGTGTTAGGCACTGCTCTGTCTCACTAGAATACAGAGTACTATATCATCTCAGCCCTGGGATGCACAGCTGCTCAGCTCAGCCAGGGCACCAACTGACCAGGAGGCAATGTGACACTGCCTCAGGTCTGAGGAGGCATGACTATTCTGGTGGTCCTTCCGTTTCCCTGGGATGCAGGACACTGCTTCATCTTAGGCACTAGGAAGGCATGACTACTCTGAGCTACTAAGGTACTGTTTGTCCAGGAGGCAGGGTGACACCTCAATTCTAGCCTGAGGAGAAAGAGGGATAGGTGAAGCAGCTGTACCTCCACTTGGTCCCACAGGGAAGGGTGTAACAGTTGCTCACAGCTGGGCTTGGGATGATTCCATGGTGACTTACCCTCAGGGATGAATGAGTCACGGTTACTCACCCCCAGAGCAAGACACCCTCCAGCCATAGCTCCTGTTCTGACATGGTGTAGTACAGTAGCTGTGCAGGCCACAGAGGGTGGGACACAGTGTCAGCTCCTTCTCTGGGGGCATCACTGCTGTGTGGACTCCAGGCAGCCCCTTCATCTGAGCTTAGTGTCTGTGAGGGCTGCAGTTCACCCCACTGATGGTGTACAAGGTGCTCATGGGGTCTGCTGGGACCCCCTTGCTTACCTCTTCTCCATTAGGAGAAGCTCCTCCTGGTTTCCAGCTGTTCCCAGTTGGGGATGTGGTGGTGGAGGTCTGTGTTTCCTTACATTCTCTATGTCACCACCCTCAGTTTCTATACTCACCAGGGTTTCTGCCACTTCTGTAATGCACTCCAGTGCTCTCTCTGTTATTTTCACCAAATGTATTTGTTCATTTGATGTCTGGCTGTCTTTGTGAGAGAGACAAGTGCTAGGGGCTTCTACTCAGCCATCTTCATACTTCCTCTCTTTGGTAATAGCGATTCTCCTTTCCCTCCTTTACGGGATTGCTCCTCATTCACTCTGAGTTTCTAACATGGCTGCTAGTCACAGTACCCTGCCCCTCCTTGTCTGGTTTTTACTAGGCCAGAAAAAGCAAGCACTCTACCTCCCTTTACAGCAACTTCATGACAGACAAGAATTCTTCCCAGGACTTTTCTGAACTAGAGTTGAAAGGATGGCTCTCTTTTTCCCCCACATCATGACTGATAGGTACATGATACCACTCCTGCTGGTGGCCATGTCTCCCACCATGTGGAGCAGTCTAAGAGAAGGAAGCCAAGATGAGAGGCAGAGAGAAGAGAGACACGGAGAAGTGCGGTGATTGTCACAGTTTGGGTTCTCCCAGGGGCAGACGCCAAGACAGGCATGACAGGGTAACTAGTTAATTTAGAAAGAAATGCCAGGAAGGGAATGTGGCAGTGAGACAGGGAAGACGCCAATAAAGCGTGAGTTACAAACCAGTTATCACTGTGGATAATGCACAACTCAGAATGCTATTTTTTAAATTTACAGTGCCAAAGTAAATGACTTTTGGACTGACATGCATGTGCTGGCATTTGGAGAGCAGCATCTCCCTGGCCATGAGGCAAACCAAATCTTAAACTTACAAAGGATGGAATCATAACAAAAGGGCTTAACTATTGGAGTCCAACATTCACTGGCCACAGACTAGGCAAGCAGGGACAGTCTATCACTGCAACAGAGAATGTGTGTCCCGGCCCTGAGAACATGACCCACTGAGCTTATGAGTCCTCATACTTCCTCTGGGCAGCACAGGGTGGGCAGGGCCCCGTTTCTCCTCTCAAACTCCTTTTATTCTTTTTCATGTGGACCTGTATTCATTCTCTCTTTCTCACTCACATGCTCACTCTCTCTCTCTCTTTCTAATAGCTCTCAGTCATTGGGGGTTATGATGTATCTGGCACTATTTTAAGTGCTTAATATAGATTATTTCAGTTATGTAATATTCCATGCAGATTAGTAAGCATTCCAAGCTTATCATTCAGGTACTACTAATATTGTCCTCTTACACAAAAGGAAATTCTTACACAAGAGTATGTTACAGCATCCAGTATATGCTTATGTATTGATTAGTACTCAGAATTTTGAAACTATATTCTTATGTATCAACAACACTCCTTATCACCTTTTCTCAGCAATTACTCTGCTTTCACTTTTTATTTTATATATTTTTTCCTTTTTCTCCCAAAGGCACCCTGTGCTGCCACTTTCTGCTTCTGACATGTCCCATTTTACATGAAGTACATTGTAAAGAGCACTCATTTTAGATTCTGAAGAGGCTCAGGTTTGAAACAGTTCTATTTTGCCAATAGCCATTTAAACTAAGGCAAGTGGCTTAAACACTGAGCCTTTTTTCCATCTCTAAGTTGGAGCTGATGCTCTGCAGAATCCACCTCATACATCAAATAAAATCACAAATTTTATGTGTGGAACTTCTCTGTGAACTGGCAATTTCTATGTAGAATAGTTATTTTAGAAGTGGATGAATGGCATATGTGGAAGTACAGGTGGGGTGGGTGGAAGAAGTAGTATATGGCGGCACTCGGATGGTCCCATTCCATGCTTTGGACAGTTCCCAAAGCAACTTGTGGAATAAGATGCAGAGTCTGCAAGCCAAAAAGGGATTTACAATTGCTGAGGTTTGAAAAGGATCTGCTAAAATGTTTTTAGAAAACTGTTGACTAAGTAGTTTATCAATCCTCATGTTCAACCTGCACATGTTTCATGCTCTAAAGCATCTCGGCAAATGCTTTAATTACTCACTAATTATAACATCATTGAATGGCTACACTGAGGCAACCATATAATTATGGAGCAAAAAGCTCTGAGCAATTACAAGGCTGAGCATATTGGTTGATTACAATAAATCCCCAGTTCATTGTTGATATCTGTCACCTGCTTAATGTTTCTAATCTCTTGATGCATGTGATAAACCATGTGCAACATGGGAAGCAGGGTCTTTGCAGAGAAAGCCCAATTTAAGGGAGCGATAAGAACACATTTGCATTTTACTCCTGAATTGGATGATGTATTCACTTTTGTCTAGCCAACACATGGTTTCAGGAAACTTCTCTAGTGGTCCTTGCCTTCCAGGGCCTCCAAGAGGTGAGACAGTCATGTATGTGTACTACATGCATGAGTTAGCATTGATAGAGATGGGTATGGAGTGTTATGAAAGCCTAGTGAAATCAATGACCGAGTCAAACACTAGAGAAGATTCCAGAAAGTCTCCATATAGGAAATGTTATTGAGGTCTAGTTTTGAAGGATTAAAATATTGCCAACTATACAATGGAGAATGAGAGTCTCTGAGAACAAAAGATTTTCAGGAAGGATGTTAGTAAATCAGCAAAAACACATGCAGAAAACTTATCTTTTGTTGCATCCCTTAAAAATAATACTTTACCTTCAATTAAACAGAAGCAACAATAGTAACAGTTATGAATGGAGGATATTTCATACGAGAAAACCACTACAAATGCCTCTTAAAATGGGTTGATTCTCTATAGTCTACCTAGTCCTCAAGCAACCTGTGTTTCTGGAACAACCTTACCTAAGACCTTCTCTTGGCAAATTGTATAATTTTCCTCCTTGCAACAATAAAGGAAACTTGAATCAATCCAGAAAAATATGTAAAATGTAATGAGGTAATTGTAGAAAAGTCACTTCACATTCTCACATTGCCTTTAGGACAGGACTGTTCTTAGTCCTCTCCAGTTCTACTCTATTGTAAAGTTTCTGAAAGTGCCTCAGGTATTTCACCCTAATCATTTTCTTAGAGTAGTTGTAAGTATTTCAAAACATTGGATTGACATTTTCAGTATATGACATATGGATTTCTCTGGGTTATTTTTTAATATCCCATAGGCCAAAATCAAACATTTTGCTACTACGTAATTGATATTTACCTTTAATACCTGAGTGGCTTGATCATTTCACTGAGAAAACTGAAAATTAGTAATTGAGTATATTACATAAGCACAGAGCTGTGTAAGTAGATTTTTTGCATAGAAGTGTTTCTCCTCTCAGCAAAAATATATTGAACATGTGGCAAAAAAGTGGTAATTTCTTTTGAGACACAGTGACAACAGTTATGTACTGTGCTTTGCACACAGTGACATTTAATAAGTGTGTGTTGACTGATTTTGAAATGTGAGACATTACCTTGACAGAATTTTGTCTGTGCTTGTAAGGGATTCGACTGGGGATGAGAAAGGTGAAATACTATCTGAGAACTCTGCACAAAGTCAAAGATGGACTTTTTTTTTAAAAAAAAAAAAAGATGATTTATTTCATTATGGCTTTTCTCTGCATGACACTGGAGAGTCATCACTTTCTCCTAAACTCTTGCCCAACTCAGTTGCCCAATTTACTAATGAAGAGTCAATGCTCTTGGAAGAGGAAGTAAGGGAAGTAATCAGTTGAAACTTCCAAAACATTTGCTACTTAGATACTGTGAAGAAGTAAACAGTTTCATTAAGTATTATTCTATTGTTTTAGTAAAATATCTTGTGGATGTTTATAAAGAAATGTCAATTTCATAAACATCAGAAGTTAGGATGAAGAGTTTATCATTGTTTTATCACAATCTAGACCTCATTAGCACCATCTATGTCAACACTGTGTCTAGTACAGTGTACTGAAGACTTTAGGTATAAGATTTCTTCAAAACATTCTTTTATTTGAACTTTGTACATGTAGAGTCCCAATTTTACCAATTTAATTATACTTTTATTATAGATATATAGATATTAAATATAATCATATTTATAATGTATAAAATACAACATGAAAAAAATTTATAAGCAATGTCCTGCCTATTGTATCATTACCAAATAGCACAGAATAACACATTCCATATTCATGCTAAAAAACTGAATGTTTACTGTGTTTAGTCAAGATAACCACTAAGGTTCAGTTTCCCACTTATAAAATGAGAATGGAGATATTTATCCAGCTTTGTGGCAACGTGCAAAGGACATAATGGCTCAGAAGCAACTTTTTGGATTATAAAGCTGCCTCCACAGTCAGGGAATTGTCATCGTTGTGAAAGAGCTTCAGTGAGTACAGCAGAGATATGTGCCACTACTTCATATTTGAGCCCTGCAAAATAGCTAAAACAATGCCCAAATCTTAGGACAGGAGATACGTAAGTCAAAAGTGATAGACCATTTGTCACTTTCCTCATTGTGGTGCAAACTCCAGGCCAGCCCACTTGGCCATACAGAGTCTCCAGCTAAAGCTACTACATTGTTTTTCCAAAGAGTATTGCACTAAAACATTATGTGATTTAATCATTGAATCCTTGGGCACAAAGCCATGGAATACATTTATCTCTTTCCAAGCAGAACTGCCTGGAAAAGAAAGATATTAGGTAAATATAATAACAAATTGATAACGTAGATTCTAGCTTCTATATGAGTATGAAGAGTGAGTGTCTAGTGTCTCTGACCCAGGACTGGAATTTTCATTCTTTCATTTTTAAAAATCTGTGTATTATTACAAAATATTGCCATGTTCTTGTGTTATTGTCCCTTACTGAATACAATGTCCTAGAAAATAGAAAATTTGAAGAAATGTGAAAAGAAAAATAATATTTTCTGTGTACAGGAAGGATACTCTTTTGGATCAGAATGGTACTAATGATTTAATTTTATTTAATGGTCCTAATTATTTAATTTTAAAGATGCTTCTGTGAATATCTGCAGAATTTTTAGAATATAAATTGGGACTAGTATAGATCTGAAGGATCATCCCACATGTATTTGTGTCTTGATCATATGACATTCTATTGCCTGAAACTTGATTTACTATGTAAGAAATAAAACTCGGTTTGTTAAATGAACCTACTGTTAGGTCAAGGTGATTCATTCTAATCCTGAAATATATTTTTTGGAAAATTTGTTTTTCCTTGAGTCCTTGAACTTATATCCTCTCGATAGGATGCCCCAGAGACACTGAGATTTTTTTAATTCTGTGTTTAGAGAATTACTACAATGAAAAATGAATGTTGATAAAAATAGATTACCTTTTCCCATTTCAGAAGAGGAAAGCACGAAAATATTAGCAGACTGGCTGCGGGAAGAAACTGGTATCAAAAATTAGGACACTGTCTTTGCTTAATACAGGGGGCTCTCTTGGCTGTGCTTAAGGAAGCCATATCTGATCACCTGATGTCAAAGCATCTTAACTAACAAAGGGAACATGCAGTCTACATTCCTTAAAATATTCAAGAAGAATATACTATTTATACCCTTTCCTTGTGAGCTTGGAATGTTGGATCTGAAGTTCCTGGGTGATGATTCCTACTTTGTGTGAGGTGTTTTGACAAGAGTACTGTTTAAGTCATAACAGATGACTCCAACCACCCTGGCCTTTGCTTTCAAAACCAAATTCAAGTTGTCAATTGGTTTGCATGCATAAATTCAAAGGCTTACATTCAGCCACAGGGAAAAATATAATACCAAGTTCAAAACATAAGAAGTAAGGCTTGAAGAAATATGGATTTAGATATGCACACACATCCCTTCATTAGAATGCCAGAAATCATGATGGAGTTCAGTGTTAATGTGATATTTGCCAAAAATGTAACATCATGTAAAAAGTTAATTCTCCAGGGACTTTCTTTTTACAAATTATGGCTCAAATTATTAGCCAACATGACTGGTGAAAGTCCTATATTGCCATGTGGTATATTTTACTCTGTATATGCATAGGTTTAAAATACATTTTCCTGTTTATCTGAATTGTTTTCTACCCCCTTTGGAAACTTAAGAGCATATGAGCCCAAGATGGCACACAAAGCAGCTTCAGGTAGACCACATGTCCTGGCTGTGCTGCAAACCAGGTCTGTGAGTAATAACTGTTCTATTCTCTACTCTATGTTTGGTAATGTGTGGCTAGCATGTCCTTCATTAATGTTTTCAGGCAGCCATGAGCATTTAATCACACTACTTCCTTTACCCAAGTAGGCATCAACACTGTCAGCCCTCACCTATGTTTCCCCAAACTTATAGCATGTACACTTGCCTACATCAATGTATTCAACAAACAGGGATTCACAGCTGTGATACATGACTTGTTGGCAATAGCAGGATGAATAAACCACGGTCATGACCTGCATGGGCTTGAGTTTAAAAGGTGAATGGGCAAAGTAGCCAATGAATGTATTATACAAAACAGGTTGGTTCACTTGTTCTACCAGAGATTAAGAACAGACACTGTGTTCCTTCAGAAGAGGAAGGAAGTAGTGGGGGTGGGGTGGTTGGGAGATTAAGGTAAAAAAAAGCTTAGGGTTTTGAAGTGGCTCATAAAGAATGTAACAATAATGTGGGAATTGCCACTATATGGATGAAGTTGGAGGAACAAATTATTTTCCATAAACATCTTTGACTTTTTAAAGTGACCAACCATTCTGGGTTTACCCAGGACTGCAGGTTTTCTCAAGATGCAGGACTTTTAATGTTAAAACTAGGAAGGTCCTGAACAAACCCCTCACCCTACATTTTCTACTTCTTCATCAGTGTACTTGTTTATCTATGGGTGATCTGTTGACTTCATCACCTGAATCTTTTTCAAAAGTGTCTCCTCTTTTACCACTTTCACATGTGTGTTCCACCTTCATAATTGCTTGCCTGGATTACTTCAACAGCCTTCTATTTACCTTCCTCCCAGCTGACAGAGTGATCTTTCTAGCATGCAAGCCTGGTCACATCACTCCCCTACTGAGAATTCTTCAATCAGTCCTTACCACCTTCAGGATAAAATCCAACTTCTTTAGTCCCTTAATTTTCAAGCTTTAGTCTATATAATAATCATGTAAAAGGAAGAGCTCTTTAAAAAACCAAATGCCCATTCATTTATACATTTATTAATCCAACAAATATGTGCTGAGTGTCCATTATATGTCAAACACTGTTTCAGGAACCAGAGCTACAATGATGAGCAAATCAGGCAATGTCCTTGTCTTCACAGAGTATACATTCTAGGGAGGTGGGAACAGGCAATAAACAAACATGTATTGAATGCAATGATAGGTAAAGGTAGACTGCTAGGCTTAAAAAAATGGCAAGTAAGAGAAGAAAAGATGGGTATAATTTTGGGTAGTACAGGCAGGTAAGACCTTTCTGAGTGGCACTTGAGCATCAAACAGGTCTTGAGAATACGTGGGGTAATAATGTTCTAAGAAAGGAGAGCAACAAATATAAAAGCCCTGAGTTGAAGGGTGTTTGGTTCCCTCAAGAGAGAAGAAGTTTCATGCGTGGCTAGAGAGGAGTGAGCCTGGGAAGGCTGACAGGAAGTTGAGGGCAGAGAGCAACGCAGGAGCCAGAGCATCTTGAGACTTGTAAGCCATTTGAAGAGCTTTTGATTTGATTCCAATGTGATGGTCAGCCACTTAGAGTTCTGAGCAAAGGAAGGACATGATTTGCATTTTTAAAAGATTTCTCTGGCAGCTATTGTGCAAAAAGACTATACATAGAAGAGAATCAGAGAAACCATTTAGGAAGTTGTGGCAGCAGGGAAACGATACTGGCTAGGAATGCAGTGGGATCAGAGGTTTCCGAATTGCTTTAGGCTTCACACAGCATTTCCCTCCAGCAGCCATACCTCATTACTTGCATGCTGTGCTGACGCCTCTATGTGTTTTTTGCTCTGCCATAAACTCCTTTCTCCTATCCACATACCTTGCCCCAAATAGAAAGAAAAAAAAAGCCTACTAGAATGATCTTTTCAGGAAGTCATCCGCAGTTCTAGGTTTGGGTTTGGTGTTCTGCCTTCACTGCATTGCACCTGTACTTAATTTACACACTGGATTGTAATTGTCTGTTGACATGTCTATTTATACCCCATCCACGTGCATGCTTCTTTTCAATCCCTCCCTTTCTCTCACACACACCAGATGTGATCTCTTTGAGGAAAGTGGCATATAGTAAACACGAAATACATTTTATGTTGAATAAATGAAGGAAAGAGCTTGCATGTTGAAATGAAAAGATTAGAAACTGGGAGCTATTTGGAGCCATACCTGGAAAGGCATTATGAAAACAGTGATATTTGGTCAACAGACCAATTCATTTATCCCTGATATGTGTTAGGACCTACTATATGCAGATATTTTACTAGATGTTGGAGATACAATAAAAAGACAATCAGCTTGATTGCTAGTCCAATCAAACACATCTCAATTGTGACTGCAAGAGTACATTATCAAAAACACCTAAAACAGGCAAACAAGGTGCACAGAGCCTCACACATTGTGAAATAATCCCAGATTTACTTTACAGAAAGCTCTCACTCCTGCAGTTGTGCTTCAATGATACAGAGTAAGTTTTTTAAGTGTATAACAAATATTCTCTATTCTATAAGGTATAGACAGAATTGATTTTGACAGAAAATATGGAAATGCATAATTATGAGTGACATGAAACCAAACCCAGTCCAGGTCAGGGACAAGCTATAAAATAAACTCCAGGCCTGTAATAGAATCAGGAATGTGCCCAGCATAATTTCATGTAATGGAACAGCAATAGAAAACAGTTTTTGTGTACGGACACAGCAAAGACCTAAAAGCAACTTACAGGCCAGGTGGCTTGTGGCAAATACTCTTCTCTTTTAAAAATATGAGACTGATGAAAAAACCATTCAGTGAACCCTGGATAAGCCAAGCTCCCAAGTGCATGATGAACCAGTCGGGGAGACTTGACCTTTCTGTTCTCACTACGACCAGGCTTTGCACAGGACTGTGGCCTTCTACTACCCACGTTGTCAAACAGCTTGCAGCTGGAGTAGATATCTTAATTACTGACATCCACAAATGCTATGGCCAGCAATTCTCCTGGGGATTTCTGAACCTACTCAGCCACAGATGGAAGAAAAGAATCTGCTGCAGGATAAAGAACTACTTGGGTTAAAAAGCATCAAGGCAATAGTGCATGCTGTGAAAACCATAACAGCATACTGCTCCTGTCTGTGGCTGCTAAGATGATAATTAATAGGGAGCCAGAAGGTGATTGCAGTCTCTAAGAATTGATTATTGAAGGACTAGAAATTCAGGGCAGTGCACTGCTTCAAAGCACAGACTTCAGAGTCAGACAAACCTAGGTTCTAATCATACAGCTTTGTGTTTTTTATTAACAGATTGTGAAATCTTAAAACCTTTGTCTTTCTTTTTTTTTTAGTAATGGACTTTAATAGCATTACATATCCTATCAAAATTTATCAACATTGTTTCTTGAATATAATAGTCAAAATATCTTTAAAATCTAAAGTTTCTTTCCAGCCCTGTTTTTCATCCATTTGTAATGCATAGTATTATAACATATTTCATGCTGAATTCATCCATATAAGATAAAATAATGAGCATGTTTTTTCTCTTTTCATTTATTCTGTTCCTACCCTGATTCCTTCAAATGCAAACAAAATACCTAGAAGAAATCTTGTGAACAAAGAGACTAAAAAAAGGAATTGAATTCAGACCTTTCGTATTCACGAAGTGATTATTAAGGGCATTTCAAAAGCATGTGTCTTCCTCAGCATTCTCTTAAATACCTTATGACAAATATCATCACCAGGCATCAACCAAACATGAGAAGTTATCAGTTTTATATTTAATCTACTTCTGGAAACTAACCTCTGACCCATTTTAGTACTGGTACTGGTGAGTGGGCACCTTTCATCATGCCCCAATTTCAATTTTTATCCTATTTCAGGTATTCTTTGAGGCTTAATTGTGTCAATTTCAGACTATTAGCCAACAGCATTGATTATGTCTTGAGATCATGTAAATGAATCTTTGAAACCTTTTCAAACCACTTGGGTGAACACTGGAGAAAACTGCATCATAATGAAAGAACATTGGATATAGATTATAACTATCTGAAATAGCATTAACAATAAAACTTGATATTCAGAGTATTTAATTTATTCTGGTATTTATTAACTTTGTATATATGAACAACTTATTTGAGCTCTCTGAATCTCAATCACCTATGACAAGGACACAGTACTGCCTCTCATATGGAGTTCTGAGAATTAAATGAGATGAAAATGCAGAAGTCAAGTGTCTAGTGTGGAAAAGGTTAAAGTTAAATGATCATTTTCAACATGGCATCAAGAACTGACCCTCTATAAATCTCAAAAAAAAGAAAAAAAATGACATGCTCTTTATGGTGGTTTACTTTAAAATTATGTGTCTTCAGACAATCTAATGAAGGCAAATGTCAAAATCAAGAACAAGGGATAGAAAAAGGAGGGGAACCAGAGTCCCGAAGTTAGATTTTAGGCACATACCTTCCGGTTACAGTATCTTGTACATTCATGTATATAAATGCTTCACAGAATCTCAGGGTCATCATAAGTATTCAAGAAATACTCTGGCTAATGCAACAAATGAATTATTAATATGTAAAAAGAGGATGAATTAAAAATGTTCATTGTATAACAGAGCTATAAGAAATAAGACTAGAAATATGAATTTTCAACATGTAGAAAGTTCTGAATTCTGGAGTCTTTACAAAAAAAAATAACCTACACAATGTATTTTGGTAGGCTATGAAGAGCAACAGAAGATTTCGGAGGCAGAGGAGGGTTAGCAGTTACTATTATTATTAACTGAACTTTGGAACTGATTAAATGATAGAACAAGATAAAATACCTAAACGTAACTCAAATTTCAAAACGGGGAGGTTGGTGATGCAATAAATACAAAGAGGGGAGTCAAGAGAAGGAACTGATTAAAGAAGAAATATGAGTCCTGTTTCAGTAACGTTGATTTTCATAGACTCAGTTGTGAGCTCAGAGATACAAATTTGGGAGTTAGCTTTATAAAAACTATGTATTCCAGCTGTATGAATATCCTGAGGAGTTATCCTTGTAGATTAAACAGGCCTGTCTTCATAAGGTCCATGTAACCACATACATTCACACCCAGTTTGCAGCAAAATATCAAGTCATCTATGCCAATGGCCCACACTGGCCAAGGCAGTGGCAGTTTCAGGGTATTCAGGGAATTGCCTGCCCATGCAGCAATGTGCCCTAGGCACCCGTGGGAGCTGTGATGGGCAGAGTGAGTTGATCAGTCAATGGTGTTTGTGGACTTCACTAAGGCAGTTGCATCTGTCAAATGCATCAGTGTGTGGGGAACACTAGGCAAGATTGGCTGTTGAGGGAAGTTTCCACAGATGATTCTTTCACTATATGAGGGAATCATGAAAAGGGATGCAGCTGTGAGAGATACCAAATCCATTTACTGTAACTAGGAGTACAGGCAGAGTGATAGCTCTCTGCTATTAACATAACGTGCTCCACACTGCCTTCAAGTACAGTAGTCCAGCAAGAGTAATCACTCTACACGAGGTTAGCAGTAGAAAGAAAGACAAATGTCCTACATTACAGACTCTCCATAGAATAATCATGCTGCAGGTGTGGTTACGTTTAGTGGCAGATAATTTGGTATTCTGGATTGCAGTGCAATGAAAAACATTTTTAAAAGTAGATGATAGGTCTCAGTATACTTTATAATTTGGAGAATTTAATTACAAGTATACATTCTTAGTCCAAATTCTTTTCCCAGTTTCCAACTTCCTTAAAGAACATCCAAAATCAATGTGCACATCAAATTCCACTTTTTCCTCTCCTGCTCCCAACATATATACATCCATAAAAAAAAAGAGTCTAATTTCCATTCTAACTCATTATTTCTGACCTATTGGGGAAGAGGTCAGAAATTCACATTGGAACTTTAATATGTGCAAATTGCAGCTAAGTTTAAAAATAACTCTTTCTTAGAGTTCAACCCCTGGCTTTTATACTGACACCCACATTTGAGCTCTCTGTGGTTTTTGAGTCCTAGCTTTGCCTGTGGAATTCTCCAAGACTGGCCACACTCCTTAGTGACAACCAGCTTTTTGAGACATCCTTGGATGCTTTCTTCTTGGTTGCATTTGTCTTTTCAGCGCTTAACACACATTGCCTCTAGAGAATACAGCAATGTTTCTCAAGGAAGGTTGACCTGGCTGGCATCTCTACACCTCTTAATTGTTCCCTGTAGATCTCATACATATCAGACATTTCATGAGTTAGCACTAACAGGGAAATGGTTCTATTATAAACTTTTACCAAAGTCAAAATCAGAAATCTCCAATAAGAAGATATTAAATGTATCAGGCAGTGGGCTGTAAAGAAATCATTTTTCCAGCATGGTAGAAGGTTGTACCAAAGATATTCCTCAGACATACCTATGCCCTAGCTAACCTTTCTCCTTGTGAAGCAACCCTCTCACATGCCAAGGATAACAACATGGTTTGGCTGACACTTTGATCCAAAATAAAATGTTATTTCACAAACATAACATTATATGGAAATCTGTAGATTGTATAAGTTCTTTATGAATATGCCAAAGTAGAAAATAACTGTGACACTCTAACAGTTGCCTTTGCCAGGTCTGTTAAGACCCTACCTTGTACAGAGTGACATCCACATGCTGCATGTCCTACATAGGTCCTCTGGAAACCATGCGGTCCATAAGACCACGTGCTGGAGACCAAGTGCTGCCACTTCCTCCTCTGTGTTGCCACTGGCTTCTGATTAGACACTGCAACTGTGTCTAATTAGGAGTATGGCTTGCTATCTGATATGGTTTGGTTTTTGTCCCCACCCAAATCTCATCTCAAATTGTAATCTCCACATGTCATTGGAGAGACCTTGTGGGAGGTGATGGGATCATGGAGGTGGTTTCTCCCACGATGTTCTTGTGGTAGTGAGGGAGTTCTCATGAGATCTGATGGTTTTTAAAGTGGTGGTTTCCCCGCTCTCTCTCTTCTGTCACCTTGTGAAGAAAATGCTTGCTTCTCCTTTGCCTTCTGCCTTGATTTTAAGTCTCCTGCACCATGAGGAACTGTGAGTCAATTAAAACTTTCCTTCATAAATTACCCAGTCTTAGGTATTCTTTTTAGCAGTGTGAAAATGAATACAGATACTTGGTACAGGCAGAGTGCAATACTGCTATAAAGAAAATCTGAAAATGGGGAAGTGAATTTGCAACTGATCAACAGGGAGAGGTTGGAACAGTTTGAAGGGCTCAGGAGACAGGAAGATGTGGGCAAGTTTAGGTATTCCTAGAGACTTGTTGAATGATTTTGATCAAAATGCTGATAGTGATGTGGACAATGAAGTCCAGGTTGAGGTGATCTCAGATGGTAATGAAGATGGCTTTACAAATGGCAGTTTCCCTTGGTCTCTCTCCCTCCTACCACGTTATGAAGAAGGAACTTGCTTCTCCTTTGCCTTCCTCCATGATTCTAAGTTTCAAGTCATGCAGAACTGTGAGTCAATTAAACCTCTTTTCTTTATAAATTGCCCAATATCTTTATAGCAAGTGAAAGGTATTCTTTATGTAGGTATTCTTTATAGCAGTGTGAAAACGAACAAATACACTATCTTCAATCTGTAATCCACCTAAAATGTTGCAGACACCCCGAAGATGCCAAATAAATACAACTATTGAGTAGCCTTCAAGACTCTCCACAGTACTATTCCAATCTCTATCTTTAGCCTTGCCATCTATAACTCCCTTGAGTGTATGTTATGTTCAGGTGCACTGGATTAAGGGTTGTCACTGATTACCATCCTCACCTTTCCACATCTGTGCCTATGCTCTGCTGCTCTGCTTGTGGGCTTTCTCCTTATGTCCACCTCTAAATTTCCAAGCCATGTCAACACTCATCTCAAAACTGCCTTCTTCACAAATCCTCAGTTATCCTTCCTCCATGCGTGCTGATGTGACTCTGATGAACCCCTCCTGGCACTTTATTAACATGGGTTATTACTGCATTTTCCTCAATCTGCTTTTGTATTACCATCACAGCCTCCTCCTAATTTCTGTCACCGGACTTAAATTCAGCAGTGTATCCTTTGGAACCAAAATGTTTGATAATTTAAATCATATATTTTCAAAAGGGGCAAAATCCCTTTTAAAAAATCAACACAGATGCTTCAACGTGAAGTCATAGCAGTGGTTCACAAACTTTAGTGGTCAAAGCCAAAAGGAACTTTTATGAAGTCTGTGATAGGTTCCGGAAATTGCATTTTTAACAAGCTACTCAAATGATTCTGATGCAGGTGGTACTAGTGCCATTCTTGGGAAATAACTGCCAGAGAGAACAATTACTAAAGGGAGCAAGGGCAGGTGGTAGCCAATGTGTAAAACAAACAATTATCCTCAATTTAAAACTTAACTAGTTCTGGCTTCACAGTATAGAAGGCTGGTCCAAGTACAGAAAGTGGTTAGCTGTCTACGATAAAAATATCATGCTTGAAAAGTGCAGTGAAAGGGAATTACACTGGACAACAGTTCCGCACAACTTAAGAAATAGAATGTAGAACTCTTTAAAAAATGAAATAAAATAAGTTTTATTCAACTGATTCTGTTGGCTTTAGGAATAGCAGACAAATTTCGCATACATACTGTAAGAGAAACTTACTTAGAAGCAGTCAATACAAACATCAAATTATATAGTATCTGTTTAGCGCTTAAAATAGCTAAAGTATCATAAGCTAGAGGAAGAGTTAAATATGTAGAAAATAATCGAATTTTATAATTACCTGCTTGCAAAGGAGGTATTTAATTGTACATAGGAATTATCTTTTAATTCTATTGTGATTTTCTGTTATTTAAAATCTAAAATATATGGAAAATAAAATTCACATTTATAATATAAAATATCAGCTTGTCCTAAGTTTCTTCGGGCCTAAAAAGGCTGTGAGAAGAAATAGAATCACAGTAATAGCAGTGATTCTAATTTTGCTCCTACTTGCACCGTTTGCAAAAGACTCCAGTCCCACTGCAAAGCCCTCTCTCCTACTTCTGGGAGAATTCATGGAGTGTCACACATGTGCAGAAATAGATCATTTTTTAGTTTGCACAGATGCTGAGTTGCTTGGCATCATCTGGGTACCATTGTGTTTGCCAAGTTCCTAACATTTTTTGTCAGTCATCACTGAGTCCCTCCTTGTCCATAAAACACTGTCATCTTTCACAGCCCAGTCATGGACACAACTAAGATGCTTAACATCCACGGTGTTTGCAAAATGGAGAAGGCTGATTCTCTTTTGGTTCACACTACATTAGAGTGAACTGTGAATACGCTAGCTTAGGACTGATGCTTTACAGAGTTTTCAACCCCTTTTGCTTACAAAAGCTTTAATTTTCATAGAAGTTAGATATGAATCTAAAGGTGGCTACACAAGGAACTCAGTATGAATTACACACATAACCACTGCCTCCCAGTGCATAAGTTTCTCCAAAAGCTTCTCATTTATCATGTGAATGAGCTTCTGTTCCTCCTCCACTACTAGCTATGGTCAATTTTGTTTATAACCCAACTAAACCAGTCACTAGCTATGTTTTGTTGTTTAAGAACTCTATTTTTATAATGCAAACATGCTACAGTGTGGGGAAAACATATTATATTGTATAAAATACAGACATCATACCTATGAGACATGGTCTTATTTTTTATTATAAAAGCTTAACTGAGGACCTACCAACCACCTGAGTATATTTACATACATTTTGTAGCTAATGGCAGAAATAAAATAATTTCCATAAGATTTAATCCTATTGCTCATTGGTAAATATTTTTATTTGGCCTGCACAGTATTTATAATTTAAAAAATAATTATTGAACAATGAGAATAATGATAGCTTATGTTCATTAAGTGCTTATTACATAGGGCGTCACATGAATTTGACTCTTTCAGTCCTCAGAAAACACTATGAGCCAGGCAGTATCGCAAAAGTGCACGTCTCCCAGGATAAAAATCACACTGCAGTCTTCACAGCCTTCGGGACAGCACTATTTTTAAACTCCGTTTTCGGCTGAGAACAATGAGGCCCTGAACAATTGAGTAACACCAGCATCACAGCCTAGTCAGTGGCAGAGCTAGGATACAAATGTAGTGTCTCTTGCTCCAAAGTTTGCCCTGTGCTATACTGCCCCTGGAATCAGAATATTTAACTTCACAAGGCATATTTCTAGCTCCTGTAGGAAAGTCAAATGATCTGGCAATAAGAGCCCATCATTTCTGCATGAGCCCAAAGGCTGAAGGGAATGATGGGTGCTCCCCACACCAGCACACACATAACCTTTTCAGCATAGCCTCTCCCTCTCGATCTCCTCCCTGACAGGGAGCCCTTCAGCATTATCCTGCCTGGTTGCCTTTCCTATAGGAAAACCAAAGGGCAAGTGGAAGGTTTCCCTATATGCGTGTCTCTACCCCAAAAGTTAGTTCTAAAGGCCCTCCCATCACACATCCCCACAGACCTTCATACATTATGTCACTGCTTGGCCCTAAGGGCATGTGAGTTTGTGAGTCTATCTAGGCTTTCAAAATAAGAGCTACAAAATAACAGCAAATCTCATGATAGTCTCTGTAGCTACATAATTTAGACTTCTAGACCAAGACAGTAAAGTATATAGGTTTTGATCACAAGTTTTGGATTAGACAGACACAGTTTAAGTACCAACTTCACCACCTAGTAGCTGTTACTCAGGATAATTAAATTTAAACCCTGAGCCTCAGTTTCTTTTGCTGCTCCATGCATTTAATAAAATAAATGACATGCCCAACACATTCATACTGAAGGGATAAATAGGTGATTAAAATACAAATGAAACTTTGTAAAGTGCTAAATGAGAACTGCTAGTTTTATTATTTTTCTACATTAGCTCTTAGGTTCATGTATGAGTCTTTGATACTTTAATTGGAAAAAGGAAAGCATCATTATTAATCACTCAAGTTTATCTATATGATGATGATTTTGCCCTAGGAGCTTCTAACCAGGATGTCATGAAACAATGGTTCAGTGACTTGATAAAAGCAAAGTGCAAGTTTATCAGTGCTAAACGCAAAGATTATCCTGCAGAGATAGCAGAGATACCTGGCCATTGATAGTTAGGTCCTGGTCCATGGCTTTATTCTTCTGAAGACTGTGATGACTAATTACTTAAATGTGCTCTCCCTCTAACATTAACCTGGAGAAAGGAACTATTTGCTTGAAAATATACTTATTGTTTCTTTCTTGACAAAGCACTTGTAGAAGGCGGAAGGTATCAAAAATGAAACTGTTGTTTCCATTATTTTTCCATGATACTTATCTGTTTGCATTATGATGCTGTGATATTTGACTGTTGCAATATTAGATAGTTGGAGCCTAATATTATTGAGGGCCCAGCTAAGTGTTTTACAGAAAGCCATCAATAAATACTTGCTCAAGTAGCAAATGAATATATAAATAATTGAATGCACTCCAGGAAGTTCACTATATTCACTCTCATTTGCATGAGATCACATATACAACTGGCCTCCACATCAAGAAAGGAAGAAAAATAAAACAGATTAAGTCATGGTATCAGCAGAGTACCCCTTACCTCACTAGACTAAGTTCCTTCTGCATTCCCAAGGTAAGCAATGAGATGCAAATCTGGCTTTGGCTATTCTTTTGAGCATATAATTTCTTAAAGGGAACTTAAAGGGGCCTCATCACTGTTTCCATTAAATATACAAAGATTTCCTAAAGTTGTACTCAAAAGGGGCATTTCTCATGGGAACTGGATATAAAATCAAACTCCAAATGTCTCCCTTATGCCACAGCATGGACCAGATGTTCCCAGAGAATATCTGAATATGTCAGGATCAAAGAGTAGTGTGAAGTAGGCATTAAATAAGAAGCCAAGTTCTGATGAAACATAAAAGGTTTTGATTATTCCATAAATGAAAAACCATCAAGAGATACATAAATGCACAGCTCAGAATACAGATTATATTTAGCAAAAATAATTTTCACAAATTCTTATATTTTTATTTAATTCTTAAAAACCTAGCATCTGTGAGATTTTTTCAGTAAATGTTGCCATTATTGACTATAAAATATAAAAATATTTAAGTATGTTCTTATCTAATGAAAGTGTCACAAATGAGTAATTTAGGGTAAGAAGACATGCCCAAATATAGCTTATGATTTGATGGTAAAAAAATACATGGTTTAAGTATTTCAATAAAAAATGAATTTTAAGATTTATTAAAATATGAATAATTAAAGAAAACTCTTTTACTATCTCCTGAGAAATCACAGGGATTCTTCATTGTTTTCTGAGAAACATCATATAAATGGATAATTGCTTAAAACAGGGAAAAATAATAACTTCCAATAATATAAAAGGGCTTAAAGCCAAATATATTTCATTCCTTTGCCTATGTAAAATAAATAAGCAAAAAATGAGATGAAAATTTTGTCTACAATGAGACTAAAAATGGCTATAAACCTCAAGTTATAGTCTGTCAAAAATGACTGCCAAATATTTTGCCATTTGGATTAAATCAAGGTAGAATTCTAAAACTCAACATAAAATATTTTATAGTTCAAATAGCACGTCTATTTTCCTGAAAGATATGCATGAGACTTCTGAGCACCTACATTTTAATTCTTTTCTTGAGAATATTAAGTCGAGTGGGATAGGAACATAAATAGAATAGTTGACAACCTATTATCAACATAATTAAATGAAGCTGGTACCTGCTGGAGCCCACTCATGCATTCTCACACCATTCATGGGCAAATAACAGACCTGCATAGACCCAAACCGCACTCAAAGTTAGGTATTTACCTGAAAAACTCCAAAATTGGACCTCCTAATAGATACTTTCAGGAAGAGGAAGAAACATACATTAAAAATCAAGGAGATAAATACCCCAGGAAGAATGAAGAAGAGTTATTTTAGAAATCAAGAGTATAAAAATCTAAGAACTACAGAAACATAGTCAACTTGAGTAAAAAAAAAAAAAGAGTTTAAAGAAGAAAAATATAATGTTTAAAAGGTAAGATAAGATAATAAAGAATAAAACCTCTTATTATATCTCACCATTTTGAGGGTCAGGAGATTCAGACAGGGTCTGCCTGGTCTTGTCTCTGATCTGCATATTGGACCTCCAATGAGAAGACTCAAATGTTTGGTGGCCCAAACAACTGGAGCTGGTTGGGTATCATACTTTCTATACATGGTCAGCTTAGTCTTCCTCGCAGCATGGTATTCCCAAGGTAGCTGTACTATATACAGTCCCCTTAAAGACTAGATCAGAACTGTCAAGTGTCACTTCCACTATACTCTATAGGTCAAAGTAGTCATGTTGCAGCCTAGATTCAAGAAGACAGAAAATAGAATTTCTCTCAATGGGCAGAATATTTTAAAATCGTGGATATCTTTATTCTGACAGAAGTGATGATATGCTTTTTGCCAGCAGTTAAGAACATGCCCTAACTTCAAAATTCTTAGAGTCTGCCTTCTCAGATGTCTCTCGGCATCAAGTGTTACAGATTGAGTTCTCCACAAATCTGATCGTGAGATAATTTGGGTGCATGAATCTTATTGTGAGGTGCTTTTGTGATCAATACCTTTTGGGAAATAAAGGAAGCAGTATTGAGTAGAGTGAGAAGTTGGGCTGTTCTGCAATCATAACAAGGGACAGAGCTGATCTTGTGTTTCAGGAGTTGGAAATTTGACCTAAACTGTTACAAGGAACTGGGCTTTTGTAACCTGACATTTCAAGTTGTTGAATGCTTCCATAGGAATTAGGCATTTCTCTCCAGCTGAGAGCAATTTCCACCAGTGCAGTGCCTCCAAAACTGTGAGAAAAAAGATTCTACTGTGTATACATCACCCAGTTTGTGGAATTCTGTTGTAACAACACAAAGAAATAAGGACAGTAATCTTAACTTTATCTTTAAGAAAATCCCTTTAGCCATGTAACATAATATATTTATGGGTTCCAAGGATTAGAGTGTGCACATCTTTGGGCGGCATTCTGCCCATTTGAGCACTATTTAAAGCAGCAACAGCTAACATCCAGAAGCAACTGATTCCCGTTATTATTTAATTTTTCTCAAAAGCACCGATCATAATCAAAACAATTTACTTATCATTTATGAACTCCTCCTAACATATAACTTCAAGGCAAAGGTTTTATGTTTTTTCATTCATTGCTATATTTCTAGTGTCTAAAAGGTGCCTAGCACATAATAGGTATTTAAGTATTTATTGGATGAATAGATTAAAAACTGATTGTCTATAAATACAAAGAAAAAAAGTAAATTGTTTGCATTAATGTATTTCAAATCTGGTGTAACACCTTAAAATTTGACAAAGATAGCTCAAATAGGAATAATATAAAATAATGGCTGAAGGTATGGACACTACACTATGGCCTTTATTTACCCCTGCAGCGAACAGCAGAATTAGTAGACAGGGTGAAGAACACATTTTTTTCTTTTTTTTATAGAGTCAAGGTCATATATTTCCCATGCTGGTCTTGAATTCCTGGCCTCCAGCAATCCTCGTACCTCAGCCTCCCAAAGCGCTGGAGATTACAGGTCTGAGCCCCTGCACCTGGCCTAAAGAAGTAACTTGATACTTCATTCTAAATAACCATTTGTTGTTTAAATGTTTTGCAACATAAAAGCATTTACTGAGGTAATTAAAATGTGTAAAGAGAATCATTTATTTCCTCAAAACGAAAAAGCAAACAAGAAAACTTCTGACCATAGTCAAATTGACAAAAAAACAAATTCTCACAAGAATCAGTGGGCCATTAAACATAATTTTAATGTTAATCTAATAACAATATTGGACAAATCACTGGAAAATACTGTAATCGGAAAAGTTGGGTGCATTAGTCATATAAGATATTATATTAGATAATACAGGTTTTATAAAAGTTGGGTATTGACAAATAGCAAGATTAATAGAATAAAATGTAAACTACAGAAATAGCACAGAATATGTATGAGACATTAACATATGAGAAAGAATTCAATTCAATCCTGTAAAGACTTTTCAGAGTAACATTTGAATACATTTGTGTGAAAAACGAATAAAAATGTGCCTGCATATTACTCCTCATACCCAAATAAATTCTAGGCGGCAAGTAAGTTTTAATTATAAAAATAAAAACTGTAATATTAGTAGAAAAACAAAGATAAATGTTTTACATTCTTGAGTTAGATAAGGCCTTTCCATGAAAGACGTAAATCCCAGAAGACAAAATGGAAGCAATTGATAAATGTAATTATGTAGAAATTTAAAATGTATGCACAACAAAATTTCAGCCTCATTAACAAAGGCAAAATATGAAGCGCAAATCTAATTAAAATATGACTCATTTGCATGTATTTTATACATAGATCATATATTTATAGGGCAAAAGGCTAATTTTTTAATATAAAATTATTTTTTGAAATGACCAAAACTCAGATATAAAATATAATCAAAGGAAATAAACAGCATTGCCTAGGAAATAACTTAAAAATAGTCAATTGACGTACAATTAAAGAAATGCAAATTTGAACATTTTTGGTAGCACTGTTCACCAATTAGAACACTAAATGCTAAGAAATGTTAATATACAAAACTCTCATGCACTGTAAGAGAGGTAATTTGTATCATCATTTTAGAAGGCATTTTAAATGTCTAGCCACCTATTTATCACCTGTCTATATGTATGTACATAGAGAATAGCAATTCCAGCAATAGCACAACATACCTGCAAGAATATAGCCATTTTAATAGGAATATGTTTGACCCCATTAGCTTCACTCGAATACGTATCATATACTCACACAATTGTGCAAAGACAAATTGAAGATTTATTGCACTACACTCTTTGTAATTACATAAAATGAAAAATAAGTAAATGTTCAGTAATAAAAAGTATTATAAAATAAATTGGTCTTCCATATGATAGCCTGCTACACAGCTCTTTTGAAGAATGAGGTAGCAAGAAATATTTGAACGATTTTGTATTTTTTTCCATTGTAAAATTCTCCCTTTCTATTTAAAAAATATCTTGGGGAAAATACTTCGCACTTACCTTGTTTCTCCTTTGTACTAGTCTGCTCTCAAGCTGCTAATGAAGACATACTCAAGCCTGGGTAATTTATTACAGAAAAAAAAAAAAAAAGAGATTTAACTGACTCACAGTTTTGCTGGGCTTCGGAGGCCTCAGGAAACTTAAAATCATGGTGGAAGAGGAAGCAAACAGGTCCTTCACACCACGGCAGCAAGGAAGTGCAGAGCAAAAGAGGGACAAGCCCCTTAGAAAACCATCAGATCTCGTGAGAACTCACTATCATGAAAATAGGATGGGGGAAACCGCACCCATGATTTAATTATCTACACCTGGTCCCTCCCACACACCTGGGGATTATGAGGACTACAATTCAAGATGAGATTTAGGTGGGTACACAGCCAAACCATACCATTCTCAAAGAGAGAAATATATTTACTAAGCAGAGTATAGCATTTTTGTACAGTTCTTATTGTCTTTACCCTTACACTATGCAGTCAAAATACTATTTTCCAAAGTTAATTATGTTAGTCCTGTTTTCCCTATTTCTTTCAACATGGTAACGTTAATGATCTGTAATCCAATTAGACTAATTAGTTATAGTTGACAGTCTATTTGGGGTTCAAGAAATGTCATGAACTTACGGTCTGTCTAGCTTTTTTCTTGTGCATATTTAAGAGTGACACTTGTTCCCGCTCTCTATATACCCAAGTGAGAACTAGAAGTTGTGATCTGCATTACTTTTCAAGTGAAGTGTTCTTTTAAATATGAAGAAAACACAAATAACTAATACTAAAAAAATCCCCAACTCATAAATACACATAAATAAAATCATGTCTAACACAAGTATTAAACTGAATTTTCAGGAAGAGACAATATTCTAAGTATATTACATGGATGTCCTTGGTTCCCTTGGTCTGCAAGCTTCCAAAGTTTTATTTAAGGGATACTCAGCCACATTTCAAATACTGCTCTCTGCTGTCTTTGTTGCCCTTTGGGCTCTCAATGATTCCCTCAACATAGTTGGGCCTCTATCAGCCTCAGTAATTGCCCAAGCTTTTTTGAGTTTAAAAAAAAAAAAAAAGGTAATTGAATGAATACAGTTCTACTGTGGCCTTCAGTGAACTTAGTTTCCTTTGTGGGTGTCCATTCAACTTCTTAACTAATGTGGAGCTTTAGGCAAGAATTTCTATGTTTGGGGAATCAAAGCAAGTGATTCTAAATCAGGCCGCACTGAGTTCATTTTAACTATAATTTACAGATGTGTTTAGATTTTTAAAATGTACAGCCGCATATATATAAGAACAGATTTTCTTTGTACTTAGGTTTAACTGTCACTCATAAAACACACATAGTACTGTGCTCTCAATAGAACGATTTGAAACACCTGACAACTGTTGAACAAACAGTAATTCATTAAAAGCTTGGAGAAGTTTTCTCTTCAGTGGTATGAATAGCTTTGCCTTTACTCCTGGACAGAATGCTAATGCGGAGAGCCTGTGATCAAAGTGTACTGGAAATGTGCTTTTAGGACAGGGATTCGCCCCACACTAGTGTTTCTGTTTGATTCTTTCTTTAAGTAAGAATGCCACTTGCAGCAGAGGGGAAAACTGACAATTCTGAATAAGGAAATTAGTCAAGGCTGAAATGTTTTCTGATATCTTGATAAATGTAAAGGTTTTTCTTTGTAGCCTAGCCTTTGCTACCTCATTTCTCTACTATGAACAGATCCAGTGGTTGGACAGCTACAGCTTCTCTTTCTAGCTGGCAGAAATGTTCCTGGAAGTTGACAAGCAGCCCACACAATATGGTGTGTGCTCTTATTACTGAAGACAGGCTGAAAATGCATTGCCCGCTCTGGTGCTCATTGTTGCAGCTGTTGCTAATGAGGGTTTTTTTTGTGTGTTTTTTTTTTCTTTTGTGTGTGTGTGAGTGTGATAATCAAATGAGACTCCTGTCCTACGACAAGTCACATATATGGTTGTTTCTTCAGGTGTGGATCTAGGAAACCCTTTCAGACCTGTCAGTCACAATCTTAATTATAAATGGCTCCATTTTGTGTGTGTGTCTTGATTTTACATTTTAACATTATTTCTAAATGCTTTTTAGAGGCACTTAACTCTCATTTAGCCCTGCTTAAGATGAAAAAAAGTGTATTTAAATAAAAAATTAGTCCACCTTCTTAATATCTCAATCTATTTTTTAATTTTATCTGTAACATGGAACTCTCACATGGAAATATATTTAATATTTAAAATTATCTTTTCAGATAAGAGCTAATAAAATGAGGAATATTTATATATAATAACAGATGTAGCAGGTTAAATCCAAAAAATGTAGTAGGATTTTAGGTCAGCGAAATCACATATACCTCTATTTGTATTTCAAAATGTTAACAGTTGGAACCAAATGGGGGCAGGAATTCCAAAAATAAACCCAAATGTATGGTCAATTATTTTACACAAAGGATCCAAGGTATTTCAAAGAAACCAAGATAGTATTTTTCAGAAAATTGTTCTGGATCAATTAGACATCTGCATGTCAAAAATTAAATAATAAAATTAAAAGTATTCTTGACTTCACCTCATAAAAAAATTATCTCAAAATCTATCATAGACCTGAACGTAACACCTAAAACTAAATACTCATGGAAGAAAACAGGACAAAATTATTATGATCTTGAGTTGGTCAAAGATTTCTTAGATGTGGTACAAGGAGCCCAAGCTATAAAAAAACTGATAAATTGGAATTCATCAAAATTAAAACCTTTGCTCTTAGAAAAATATTGTTTAGAAAATGAAAAGATAAGTCACATACTGGGACAAAATATTGCAAAAATAAACTCTCAAAAATCAATATTAAAAAAAAAACCCAGTGAAAGATGGGAATTAGTTTCTAACAGAAACTTCACTAAAAAGATGTCATATAGTTGGCAAAGAAGCACATGAAACATGTTGTCAACATCACTATTCATTATGGAAATAAAAATTAAAATCACAGTAAGATACCACTATATATTTATTAGAAGAGTCAGAATTAACAGAAGAAAAAATAACTTGTAACAGTCTCAGGATGCAGAATAGCTAGAACTGTTACACTGTTATATATTGCTGATGGAAATGCAAAACTTTGGAAATAAGTTTAGCACTATCTTATAATGTTAATCCTGGGACTCAGCAGCAGTCCTCCTCTAGGTATTATCCCAGAGAAACAAAGACATATCTCCACACAAACACTTATATTTGAATGTTCTTAGAAGCTTTATTCATAATTGCCAAAAATGAGAAACAAAGCAATGTCCATAACTGGTAAACAGGTCAACAAATTGTGGTACATCCATACAAAGGAATTCTACTCAGCAAAAAAGGAAGTATCTACTGATTCTCACAGAAATGTGGATCCTTTTCAAAAGCACTATGTTAAGTTAAATAAGCCAGATCCAGAAGGCTGCACATGGTACAGTTATGTTTATACGGCAACCTGGAAAAGCAAATCTATAAGGAATATAATTGTATCAGTGGTTACCAGGGGTGGGAGAGAAGGGGATGGAATTGACCATGAAATGATGTAAGAAAACTTTTTGGTGTTATTAAAATATTCTATATGTTAAGCATAGTGGTGGTTCTGTGATTTATAAATTTGACAAAATTCATAAAAAAGTACATCTGAAAAGGGTGAACTTTACTGTGAAAATTATATGTTAATAAACTATGGGAAAAAAGCAAATATTACTTATTTTAGGGAATATAATTTTATTTTCTATTTGCTGTTCTATAATTTCCAATTTTTTTTTGTTTTGTTTTTTGAGACAGAGTCTTGCTCTGTCCCCAGGCTGGAGTGCAATGGTGCAATCTTGGCTCACTGCAGCCTCCGCCTCCCAGGTTCAAGCAATTCCCCTGTCTGAGCCTCTTGAGTAGCTAAGATTACAGGCACCCGCCACCAGGCCCAGCTAATTTTTGTATTTTTAGTAGACAGGGCTTCGCCATGTTGGCCAGGTTGGTCTCGAACTCATGACCTCAGGTGATCCACCCACCTCGGCCTCCCAAAATGCTGAGATTACAGGCGTGAGCCACTGCACCTGGCCAATTTCCAAAATATTTTTTAAAATATTGTAGCATTTCAGCACTGGGAAGTTGCCTTGTTCTCAATATTGTAAAACAGTGTGATTGAGTGTAGAGTTTGAAGCAGTTTTCACTGTGCTGGTTGTTAATCCAATACACCTTTCACAGATGGAGAGAGGAAGAGGAAACTTTTCTTTGGAAGAATTCAAGATTTGTACCTAGAAGCAACTAAGTAGGGATACAAGAATGTAGAAATGAAGAATTCTCCAAAACCTGTCTATAACTCAGTGTGTATTTGACACACAAAAAAAACCTCTTCTTCATCCACTATCCCTCTAAGTTAACGACTGTATTCTCTTGTGATTTTTGAAAGACAAGAAGTCAAATAGAATATAATTATTTAAATTTTAGTATAAGAAGACTAGATATTGATCTATTATGGCCCTGAAGGCTTTTGGGAATCAAAGATTTATCCAGAGAAATAACCCTTGATAATCACTAAAGGGGCATTCACTCTTTCAGGCTGCCAGAGTATAGTGTGGGGGTCCCCAGCTCATACATGTATAGAGGCCAATCAACAACAGTAACGGGTGAAGCCAACTTGGTGGAACACATTAGGCAGGGTGGACAGTAGGACTGTCTGGAGAATGTGCTTCTTTCAAAAGCATCCGTATTGAAGTTTTAAACACACTGCAGTGTAAACAAAAAACTTCCTTCTGAACATGCCACCTCAATGCCCTTTTGATTTCTGGATTTATGCAGCATAATCAAAATTCAATGTTTTTCCAGGACACCTTTTTAGTTATTTTATTGTTTCTCTTTATTAGCATAAGTTCAAATTTTATGTATGCAAAATTATTCTTATTTTTCAGGTGACTCTCTGTTTCTCACACACACACATAACACACACACACACACACACACACACACTTTTACATGGAGGTCTAATCACAAAATCTTCCAAATTTCTTTAAAAATAGTCCTTAATTTGCAGATCCAAGAAACTCAACAAAACAGCAATAGGATAAAATATGAAATACTCATTAAAAACACAATAACCACACTGTTGACATCATAATACAGAGAAAATATGTAAAATGGTGAGGGGTTAAAAAAAAACAGGGCCAAGTGAAAGTTATGCTAGGAATGCAAGGTTAGTTTAACATTCAAAATTAATTAATGTAATACATATGTAATATTAATTGTATGAAAACAATCCCCATATTTTCAATAGAAAATGCATTAAACCAAATTCGATTACTGTTCATGATAAAAACCTCTCAACAAATTAAGAATAAAGTGGAAATTCCTCAACCAGAGAAGGGCACCTATGAAATATCTACAACTAACAAGTTGAAAGACTGAATGTTATCCATATACTACGAGAACAAAAAGGAGGAAACACTTTCGACCTCATTCTAAGAGGTCAGTATTACCATGATACCAAAGCCAAAAATATAACAAGAAGAGAAAACTGCATTCCTCATGAATAGAATTAAAAATATTTAATCAGATTATACTAAAGTCAATTCAACAAAATAAAAAAGAAGTTATCAAACAGAAGCAAATGAAGGTTGTATCAGGAATGTAAGATTGTCCAGGAAAGTAAGCATGTTCACTCTTCCCACTTTTATTTAACGATTTAGTTCCAGTAATTGCTATAAGACAAAAAAAAAATAAAATATCCAGATTGTAAAGGAAGAAGTAAAACTCTATTGCAGAAGATCTGATCCTATTTGTGAAAATAGGCACCCACACAATCAGAATGAATAATTGAAAAATAAAATTAGGAAAATAATTACATTCCAAATAGAACTTTAAAACCTTAGAAAATTTAAAGAAGATACATTTATAGAAAACTACAAAACACTGATAACTGAAATTGAGCAGTATTTAAATAAACCAAGAGATACTTCACGTTCAAGGAGTGGAAGTCTCAGCATTAGTCTAATGAAAATTCTTCAAAAATTAATCTAAACAATGTGATTCATGTCAAAATAACATTAGACTTTTATTTTCTAGACATTGACAGGCTTATCTGAACATGTATTTGTAAATGCAAAGGACTTGAAATTACTAAAATAACTTTGAAAAAGAAGAGTAAATTTGGAGGACCTGCACTACCCACTAACCAGTAATCACAAGAGTGGTTTACTGGTATAGTAATAGGCATATAGATGATGGAATGGAATTGTGAGTGCAGAAATAAACCCTTATGATCAATTAGTTTTTGGCAAAGGTTCCACAGAAATTCAATGAGAAAAAAATTAACAATGGCCTGAGACAATTGGATATCCATATGTAAAAATATAAATGTAGACAGTTACTGTGTCCCAAAATACAAATATTAACTCAAAATGAAACACAGACCTAAAAATAAGAGCTAAAATTCTAAATCTTCTAGTAGAAAACAGAAGAAATTTTTCATGACCATAGGTTAGCTAAAGAATTCTAAAATCTAACACCAAATTACAATCTATAAAATGAAAAAATTAATAAATTTGACTTTATCAAAATTTAAATTCTGTGACTTTTAGGCACCATCAGTAACAAAATGAAAAGGCGAGCACAGGCTTAAAGAAAACATGTTTTACTAATATATCCAACAATGGAATTGTAACTAAATTATATAAAAACTCTTAAAACTCAATAACAAGAAGACAAACAACATAATTTTTAAAAAGGTCCACAAATATAAACAAACATTTTACCATAGAAGATACATAAGGGAGTATTAAACATATGAAAATATGTTCATCATTGTGTGTCTTCAGGTAAATACAAATTAAATCCCAGTGAGCTATCATGATCCTCCCACTTAAATGACCATAACAAAAAAGAGAGAAAATAACAATTGTTAGTGAAAATGTGGAGAACTTTGCTCTTGCATTGCTGGTGAAACATAAAATGATAAATCACTTTGGGAAATATGTTGTCAAGATGACTTAGAAATCCTACTCTCATATACCTACCTAAGAGAAATGCAAACATATGTTCCCACAAAGACTTGTGTAACAAATGTTTATAGCCAAATTACTTGTTATTAAAAAAAAAACAGGAAAAAATTCAAATGTCCATTAACTGGTGCAAGGAAAAACAAAATGTGGTATACTCGTACAATAGAATATTATTCATGAATATGAAGGAACCAGCCACTGATACATGCTATTACATAAATAAACCTTAAATATACTATACTAAGTAAAAGAAGGCAGATGCAATAATCTACGTATTGTTAGATTCCATTTATATCAAAGCTTCATAAAAAGCAAAGCTATTGAGACAAAAAGCTGGTTCATGTTTATCTGAGAATGATGGTGGGTTCAGCGATCGACCTTAAATGAGCATAAGGGAACACTTTGGGGTAATGGAACTGTCCCTATACTGGATTGTGGTGATGGTTTCACAACAGTATAAATTAATTTTAAAATATTAATTTAACTATTATAATGTGTGAATTTATAGTATGTAATTTATATGCTTACCCCCACAAAAGTAAATATAAAAACAAATAAAAATAAAAGGGAAAATAATATATATGTCAGTATCGGTTATTTTCAAATTTAAAAATTCTGGATAAAAGAAAAACTAGATTCCTAAAATGTTAGAAAAAAAAAGCTTTTCTTTGCCTTTTTCTTTCCATTTGATTGCCTAGTTTAATGTTAACACATGAAAGAACTCGTAGCAGATTTTATTGGAACTCGTAGCAGCAGTTAGGTCTGCTGACTGTTTCTGTCCTACATTTATTTCTTACTCTAGTCTTTTTCCAGCATGTCTTGCTGAGCAATGGATTACGGCCTCAGAGCTATCAATTCAACAGATAGAATCTCACAAAGTGTGTTTCACCAGATGTTAATGGATGTGATTACCCCTCCTCACAATCTCAAAATATTTTAAGAACTGATAAGGGTGGATAACAGTGGCTAAAAATAAACAGGTTTCATTACTGCAGAGCCTCTCACAATCCTTAGGATGTTATTGTAATTTTGTTTTCTTTTTACAAAACATATATTAAAAGACCTTACAGGGTCACTCAGAGAACCAGCAATGCCAATTTCAATGGCCAATTTCAAAGCACAAGCACATGATGGAAATGAAAATGGAAAACATAATTTCAGCCTGCACTTCCCTAGTCAGAGCTCCATCACATGATAGCACTTAACTACAAGAAGGCTTTGAAATGTAGTCCAATACTAGGCACATGATAAGGAGGGAATGAGTGTGACAGACATCTAGCCGGTATCCCTGCTGAAAATGAGGAAACCTCAGCTGATTCTTTGGTTTGTGCAACTCATAAACTTCCCAGCGATAGATGGAATATGTCTACCAATAGGTATATACAATACAACACTACTTCTAGAGAAGGATATAATGGATCTGACATTTTTTCAAATCCCCATTTCTACTCTTCATCATCTCAGCCCTTTATCCTCTACTATCTATGTTTTTTAAAACATTTTGTCTGAACATGCCATATAAAATAATACCTTGTGGGTGGGGGTGGGGGGATGCTTCTTTTTAAAGCACTTAAAAATTTTTCTCTAAATGCTATCATGTTATCTACATTTCCTTTAGTAACATGACTAAAACTTGTGAAATGTTTTGTTTTTCACATCACTTTTACATGAAAAATTCCATTTAATCCTCATACTTTTCCTAGGAAGCATATATTATTGTCCCTATATTACAAATAAGCTGCAGATGGTGAAGCACAGTGTACTTTTTCACTGACACTGAGAGATTGTGTAATATATTTTAGGGAGTGTCTCATAGGTGTTTTTGGTACAAGTTTAAATCAGACAAGTTTAGGGGATATATCATCTTAGTAATTCAGTGGCAATTTTGAGAACCTGGGTATATGAAATGATGTCTACACTGAAAGGAAGGACTTACTTATGTATTCATTACATAATATCCCCAAATTCATAGAGTACTTCTTTTAGGTCCCTATGCTAAATACCAAGAATACAAAGAATTTTTAAAATCAACCTTTTATGTCCTACATGGAGCTTTAAATCTAACTTGAGTGCCAGAATTAGCATGGGCAACAATAAATGGTATGTGTGGATAATTGGGTTAATGCCAAATGAGTATGACAATAAGTCCTACAAGTGTGGATTTGAAATGATGCTTTGGGGTTGGAGTAATCAGGAATTGCTTCAAGAAGCTGTAAAATTGAGAAGAGATGAGGGCATTCTTTACTAAGAAGAGAGGGAGAAAGTAAGATAATCTAGGTAGAAGGAATGGCATGAACCTAAGCACAGAAGTAAAAAGTAGCATGGCATATCCAAACAGCATTGTGCAGACCTGTTTTACCTAGAAAGACTTCCTATCAGGAAAGTGAAGACGATAAGATTAGAGAAAAAACAGATGATGGAGGTCTCTGGATACCACAAAAAAAAAATGTTTAAATTTTCCATATGGGCAGTGAGAGACAACTATTTCAGAGTAATTTTCATATATCAAATTGTTCTATTTATTTTGTATCCTCTCACCAGTAGATAAGCTCTCTGTTCACTACACTTGGAGCAAAAACTGACACTCCGTATGTAATATGCACTCAGTTAGTGTTGACCATCTGGCTGATTGGCATTTAAGGTTTCTAGGCAAGCAAATTTCCTACACAATGTGGATGAATTTATAAGATTAACTTATAATGAGGCCTGAACAGATCTATATACTGAGAGACTATACAGAAAGGCGAGTTAGAAAGTTGTGGCAATAATTCAGGCATGAAGGAAGGTTGTAGCAGATAATCATAGACATTTGGGGACAAGGGATAGCTGAAAATCTTAAATAAGAAGCAAGCCTAATTGATACATAAGTAGTTTTAAATTAAAATACAAAAAGGAAATCCCAAACGGCAAATTAAGGACTCTGAATATCTCTTCTTCCATAGAAGCAACAAGAACACTGACAGTAATTGTTAAAATCCACGTTTTCAGAACTCTCAAAATTAATCAAATGGTTGAAAATTTATGGAGCATTTATTCTTTAAGAAACGGCTAAGTCTTGGTAAGAATTATGAACTGCAAACATTATACTCCCATCCCCTCTGCCCAGCTTTGCAGTAGTCTTGAAAAACAATGGGCTCACAACCACTATACCTGTGATAACCAGTTGCCCTGCAGCGACTAAAAGGAGCTCATCAGATTTGGAGCTTCATCCAAACACCATTTCTAGACAATTTTTACTATTTAATGTCTGAAAATTATCTGGAAAATCCCTTCACAAGGGTCTTTATTTGACTAGACTCATAGTACTCAGTGGGAAAGCCCTATGCCCAGGCTGTACATCAGAAATATTTAGGAGCAACTGTTTAATGTTTCAGCTTACTCGAGGTGACAAAACAAATTGGGACAAGAGGTCATCCAAAAAACTAAAAACAAAAACAAAAACACAATTAGAATGTAGTATCTAGAGAGAACTTTGAAAAGTTCTGAACTATTCCTGAGAATCTAGAAGACTATGTGCAAATAAAGGTTGTGTACATGCCCAAGAAATACCTAAAAAAGTCCTAATATCTTACCACTTTCTGACTTTGAGGTCTTTCTGTGCAACAATGAAGTGAAGGGCAAGGCAAAGTTGTAAACTGCTGGAGCGTTGAAGGCATGCCTCAACACAAATAAAGTGGCCCTGCCCAATGGGGACGAAATTTGTTACTTCAATGAATCTGAACAAATCTGTCCAATCATTACCTGACCATTAGGCTAATCGAGGAGAGAGTTCAGTGACTGCTCTTGACAAATAATATGGGATTTCCAGAATTCATTCAGAAAAACTACTAAACAAATAAGTAATCACAAAAAAACCTCTGGGATGACCAGGGTGGTCACATTATATGATATAAAATATCCAGTTTTTGTCAACAATGACAAAAACAAGATCTACAAAAAGTGGGAAACTATGGCCCATACACAGAGAAAAATATAGTCAATAGAAATCATCTCTGAGGAAGCCCATATTTTGAACTTAATAGAAAAATACTTAAAAGTAGATGTTATAAATATGTTCAAGCAACTAAAGGAAACTATGACTAAGGAATTAAAGATAGTGTGAGAATGCCGTATGGCCAAATAAGGATTGTCAATTAAGAGGAATAAATTATATAAAAAAATGAAATTCTGCAGTTGAGAAATGTAAGTGAATGAAAAATTTACTAAGGAGACTTAGTAAATTTGAGCTAGCAGAATAAAGATGAAGTGAACATAAATACATGTCAATCAAGATAGTCTACTATGAGAAAAAGAAAAAAAAATTATAAAATTGAATAAAGCTTCAGTTCATTATCCTTAGCAATCTAACGCAGGAACAGAACACCAAACACCACATGTTCTCACATACAAGTGGGAGCTGAACAATGAGAACACATGGACACAGGGAGGAAAACAACACACACTGAGGCTTGTGGATCAGGAGTGGGGAAAGGGAGAGTTTCAGGGTAAATAGCTAATGCATGATGGGCTTAATACATAGGTGATGGGTTGATAGGTGCTGCAAACCACCATGGCACACGTTTACCTATGTAACAAACCTGCACATTCTGCACAGGTATCTCGGAACTTAAAATACAATTAAAAATATTTTAAAGAAAAAAGCTTCAGAGACCTGTGATACGCCATCATTCATATCAACAGCCATATAATGGAATATCAAAAAAAATAGAGAAAGAGAAAGAGACAAAAATAATATTTGAAGAAGGAATAGCCACAAACTTCCCACATTTGATGAAAAACACTAATCAGCATATCCAAAAAGCTTAATAAACACCAAGGATGATAAACTCAAAGATAATAACATCTAGATTTACAATAGCTAACCTGTTGAAGATGAAGACATTACCTTCAAACTAACAAAAAAAGTAACTTATGTATAAGGAAGCCTCAATAAAATTGACAATTTTCAAAAATTGTCTTATTAAAAACATGGATGTTAGAAGCAAAGGGATGACATATTCAAAGGCTCAAAAGAAAAAAAATCAACCAAGAATTGTATGTTCAACAAAACTATACTTCAAAAATTAAAGAGAAGTTAAAACATCTCCAGATAAACAAAAATTGAAGGAAAGTGTCACTAATGTGCCCTACAAGAAATAGTAAAAGAAGTTTTTCAGATTAAAATGAAATGACACTAGACATTTATTGGGGAACCTGCCCCCGATTTCACATAGGTTCTTTTCTGTTTTCCCTAAGCATCGACCAGGTTGAGAAATAAAGAGACAGAGTACAAAAGAGAGAAATTTTAAAGCTGGGTGTCCGGGGGAGACATCACACATCAGTAGACTCCGTGATGCCCCGCAAGCAGTAAAACCAGCAAGTTTTTATTAGGGATTTTCAAAAGGGGAGGGAGTGTACGAACAGGGTGTGGGTCACAGAGATCACATGCTTCACAAAGTAATAGAATATCACAAGGTAAATGGAGGCAGGGTGACATCACAGGACCACAGGACCAGGACAACATTAAAATTGCTAATGAAGTTTCGGGCACCATTATCATTGATAACATCTTATCAGGAGATAGGGTTTGAGAGCAACCAGTCTGACCAAAATTTATTAGGCGAGAATTTCTTCTTCCTAATAAGCCTGGGAGCACTATGGGAGACCGGGGCTTATTTCATCCCTACAGTTTCGACCATAGAAGATGGCCACACTCAAAGGGGCCATTTTAGGGACCTACCCTCAGGGGCGCTTTCTCTTTCTCAGGGATGTTCCTTGCTGAGAAAAAGAATTCAGCGATATTTCTCCCATTTGCTTTTGAAAGAAGAGAAATATGGCTCTGTTCCACCCGGCTCACCAGTGGTCAGAGTTTAAGGTTATCTCTCTTGTTCCCTGAACATTGCTGTTATCCTGTTCTTTTTTCAAGGTGCCCAGATTTCATATTGTTCAAACACACATGCTCTACAAACAATTTGTGCAGTTAACACAATCATCACAGGGTCCTGAGGTGACATACATCCTCCTCAGCTTACGAGATGATGGGATTAAGAGATTAAAGTAAAAACAGGCATAGGAAATCACAAGGGTATTGATTGGGGAAGTGATAAGTGTCCATGAAATCTTCACAATTTATGTTCAGAGATTACAGTAAAGACAGGCATAAGAAATTAAAAAAGTATTAATTTGGGGATCTAATAAATGTCCATGAAATCTTCACAATTTACGTTCTTCTGCCATGGCTTCAGCCAGTCCCTCCGTTCAGGGTCCCTGACTTCCCGCAACAGACAGTCACATGCATCCATATGAAGTACAGAGCTCCAGAAAAGGAAACCACATAGATGAATACAAGACATTATAAATACAGTTTTGTTCGTAATCTTTTTTTACTATCTTATATGAAGAAAAAATGAAGCAATAATTATAATGTTGTGTTTGTCAGCTTATACTATTGTGAAGGAAAAGTTAAATTTGAACTCAATTGAACATGGACACAAACAATTATCACTAAGTCCTGGAACAGGTTGTGTGAGAGCCCCTTGAGGTGTTCATCCGGCACTGTTTTGGAGAAATCTCTATTTCAATCTATTCCAATACGTTTGTTATTGAAAAACAGTAGAAAATTGCAAAAACAAGTTGACCCTTTTGTGTTCCTTGAGTCATATATTTGTATGAAGGAAAAAGCCACATATATGGGAAAAAGCTGTATGTGTGTGTATATACATAAAATATACATGTGTGTATAGATATATGTGTATAAGTGTGTGTATACATGTATATGCATGTGTGTGTATGTATACACACACATACATATACACATATACACATACATATATGTATGCTGTGCATGCATACATATACACACATATGTATGTCTATGCATATGTATGCATAGATATACGTATGTATATATGTGTATATGTACATGTGTGTATATGTACACATATACATATGCATATGCACACATAGGCACATATGTACACACATACACATATGCACGCCATGTGCTCCATAACGATCATTTTTTCAACATTAGATTGCATATGACACTGGTCCCATAAGATTATATGTGTGTATGTATATGTATGTGTATGTGTGTGTATATGGGACCACTATCTTATGGGAGCACATACACACATATATGGTGCCTTAAAACAGTGGTCCATATATACACATATACACATACATATACAGCTATAACACATATACACATACATACATATGTATGCCATGTGCTCCACAACAAAAATTTGTTCAATAGTAGATTGCATATATGACAGTGGTCCCATAAGATTGTGTCATATTTTTACTGAAACTTTTCTGCATTTAGATATGTTTAGACACACAAATACTTGCCATTGTGTTACAACTGCCTACAAAATTGAGTATGGTAACATGCTGTATAGGTTTGTAGCCTGGGAGCAATAGGCTATGCCATATAGCCTAGGTGTGTAGTAGGCTATACTATCCAGTTTTGTGTAAGTACACTCTATGATGTTCACACAGTGATGAAATTACCTAATGATGCATTTCTCAGAACATATCCACATCATTAAGTGACACATGACTCTTGTGTGTTTGTGTAAATATAAACTTAAAAATCTAAAAGCACTAGAAAATATTTATTAAACACAGAAAATACATCAATGAAAAAATAGAGAAAACAAAGACACATAGAAGTATAATTTAAAAATCAGACAAATCTTACGTTAACAATTATATTGTAATTAATTGCTATGTAATTAATACGTAAATGTTTATACACTGTACACGGATTGTCAGAAATGATTTTTTAAAGACATTATCCAATAGCATGACATATACAATGGAAATGCTATAGATTCAAAGACATAAGTAGGTTGAAGGTAAAAGTATGAAAAAAGATATACCATACAAATAATAACCAAAAGAGAGCTGAAGTGGATACACTAGTAGCAGACAAAAAAAAAAAAAAAAAATTAAGACTGAAATGCCTATGCTAATATCAGAAAATGGACTTTAGAACACACTGTTAACAGAGACAAATAATGAAATTTCATAGTGATAAGAACATCAACCATCAATCAGGCATACTTAACAGTTATAAACATTCATGCACTTAACCACAGAATCCCAAAATAAGTGAAGAAAAGTTGAAGGAATGATAGGGAAATTGGCAATTCGACAATAATAACTGGAGACTTCAACTCCCCATTTCTTTTTTTTTTTTTGAGACGGAGTCTCTCTCTGTCACCCAGGCTGGAGTGCAGTAGCGCGATCTCGGCTCACTGTAAGCTCCGCCTCCCAGGTTCACGCCATTCTCCTGCCTCAGCCTCCCGAATAGCTGGGACTACAGGCGCCCACCAACATGCCCGGCTAATTTTTTTTTTTATTTTTTATTTATTTGTTATTTTTAGTAGAGACAGGGTTTCACTGTGTTAGCCAGGATGGTCTTACCTCCTGACCTCGTGATCCGCCCGCCTCTGCCTCTCAAAGTGCTGGGATTACAGGCGTGAGCCATCGCGCCCGGCCAACAAGGAAACAGAAGACTATAAAAACAATATGTAACAACTAGGCCTAAAAGACATCTATAAAACATTCTGCACAACAATAGCAGATTACAACTTCTTTTAATGTGAACGCAAAATATTCTATAGAAGAAAGCACAGTTAGGCTTTAAACAAGACTCAATAAGTGCAAAGGATTGAAATTATACAAAGTATGTTCTCTGATCACAATAGAATGAAAGTATGTATTGATAACAGAAGAAACTTTGGGCAATTCACAAATTTGTAGAAATTTGGTGACATCATTTTAAATAACTGATGGGTCAAAGAAATCAAAAGGAAAATTAGAAAACAGTTTGAGATAAATAAATACAAAGCATTGCACTACAAACCTTATGGAATGCAGCTAAAGCAGTGATCAGAGAGAATTTTACAGTTATAAATTTTACAAGTATAAATACCTAAATTAAAAAGAAAGATAGGAATTACATTGAATCTGTAGATTGCATTGGGCACTATGGTCATTTTTAACAATATTGTTTCTTCTGATGGATGAATATGGTTTTTTATTTTTTTCATTTGTCTTATCTATTATTTCTTTCATCCATGTTTTGTAGTTATCCCTGTAAATATCTTTCACCTCCTTGGTTAAATGTATTCCTATCCATTGTAAATGGGATTGAGTTCTTGATTTGGTTCTCAGTTCTCAGCTATATGTATTATTGGTGTGTAGAAATGCTACTGATTTTTGTGTACTGAGTTTCTATCCTGAAATTTTACTGAAGTAAATTATCAAATCCAGGAGTCTTTTGGAGATGTCTTTTCTAGGTATAGGATCCAATCATCAAGAGCTAAACAATGAGTACAAATGGACATATAGAGTGGAATAATAGACACTGGAGATTCTGAAAGGTAAGAGAGTTGGAGGAGGGTGAGGGATGAAATACTACCTATTGGGTACAATGTATACTATTGCGGTGATGGTATACGAAATGCCCAGACTTCACTAAGCAATATATCCATGTAACGGAACTGCACTAGTACCCTCTAAGCTATAACAATTTTTTTTAAAAGGAAAGACAGATAGAAAGACAAAATCAGTAGACTAAACTTCTGTATGAAGAAACTAGGAAAAGAAAAGAAAACTAAACTTAGAACAAGTAGAAAAAAAGGAAATAAAAAATACTAGAGTAGAAATTAATAAAATTAAAAAAAACAGGAAAACAATAGAGAAATACCAAACTTTGGCCTTAAAAGGGGTTAATGAAATTGACAAACTTCAGTTAGATTGAACAAGAAAAGGGAGAGAAAATTCAAAATAATAACATTACAATAAAAGAACAGACATCTTGACTAAATTTATAGAAATTAAAAGGATTATAAGGGCATAGTATGAACCATCATATGACAAGTTGAGTAAGTTAGATGAAATAGGTAAGTTCCTAGAATAACACAAACTATGAAAACTGGCTTAATAAGAAATAGAAAATCTGAATAAACTTATAAGAAGGAGTTGAATGAATTTAAAACCTTTCCACACAGAAAAGCCCACAGTCAGGTGGCTTAACTGGTAAATTCTATCAAATGTTAAAATATTGATACCTCTTGTTTGCAAACTAAAATAAAAAAAAAAGATGAGAAAAGAACACTTCACAAATAATTTTATGAGGTCAGCATCGCCCTAATACCATGACTGGACAAATATCTCACAAAAGAAGAAACTACAGAGCAGTATCTCTTAGGGATATAGACTCAAAAACCCTAATGTGAAATATTAGCACATCAAAAACAGTAATATATATATATATATAATTTATATAAGTAAGTAATATATTCCATGAGCATGTGTGATTTATCCCACTATTGCTGAATGGTTTAACATCTGAAAATCAATGTAATAAAAAAAAATAAAACAATAAGTGACAAAAGCACATAATAATCCCAATAGACACAGAGAGAGCACTTGATAACATTTAAAGTCGTTCTATGATAAAAGCACTCAAGGAACTAGGAATAGAAAGAAACATCCTCAGCCTGAAAAAGGGCATCTTAAAAAATTGACATCTAACACTATATTCTATGGTTTAAGACTGAGTGCTTTCTACCTAAGATGAAGAACAAGTATTTCCACTCAAATCACTTTTATTCAACCTTGTAGTAGAGGTTCTACCCAGAGCTATTAAGCAAGAAAAATAAACAAAAGATATCCAGATGGAAAGAGAGAAGTTAAATTGCATCTATTCACAGATGACATGAACTCATATATAGAAAGTCTTAAGGAATCATTATATTTTTTTCAAGGGAAAATCAACTATCAGACTGAGAAACAAGTTCATGAGGCTGCAGGATACAAGATCAATCTACAAAAATTGATTTCTATATGCTAGCAATAAATAACCCTAAGATAAAATGAAAAATATAATTCCACTTAAAATAGCATCAAAAATAATAAAATACTTATGAATACACTTACAAGTGCATTTTACTATAAAAATTACAAAAAAACTGATGAAAATAATTGAAGACCTAAATAGATGCAATAACATCCCATGTTTATGAATCAAAAGAGAATATTCTGAAAATGGCGATGCTCCTCCAATTAATCTACACATGAAATGCAATCACTATCACAATCTCAGCTGGATTTTTTTGCAGTAATTGACTAACTGATCCTAAAATTTATATGAAAATACATCGGTCCCAGAATAGCTAAGACAATCTTGAAAAAGAAGAAAATGATGGAAGAGTCACATTTCCCAATTTCCAAACTTACTACAAAGCTACAGTAATCAAGACTGAATCATATTGACATAAGGATAGACATGTAGATTATTGGAATAGAACTGAGAGTCCAAAAATAAACCTTTACATTTATAGCCAATTGATTTTGACAAATGATGCCAGTACAACTGGATATCTAAATACAAAATAATGAAGTTAGACATCATACCTCAAACCACATATAAAAATTAATTTAAATGGATTTACACCTAAAAATAAGAGCTAAAACTATTAAATTCTTAGAAGAAACATAAATGCAAATCTTTGTTCTCTTGGGTTAGGCAATAGTGTCTTATAAGTGACACCCAAAGCAACAAGAAACAAAGAAAGATAAATTAGACTTCATCAAAATCAAGAACTTTTGTTTTAATGGATACCAGAAAGAAAACATTTGTAAATTACATATTTGATAAAGGACTTATATCCAGAATATATAATGAATTCTTACAATAAGTATAAAAAGAACTCAACAATAAAAGGACAAAAAGCCATTTTTTTGAATAGCCAAGGTTTTGAAGACACATTTCTTCAAAGAATGTATACAAATGGCCCATACTCTCAGGAAAAGATGCTCAGTATCTTTAGTCATCAGGGAAATACAAATCAAACCACAATAAGATACTACCATGATATAGAGAAGGCTTAACTTTGGCAACTGCCTAACTCCCACTTTCATAGTGTTTCCTTCCCCTCCTGATCCAATCCTTCATTTAGTCTACAAAATATAGTTCAGAAAGGCAACAGAATTGTACAAATGCAGAGGGCACCATTTACATTACATTCTATTGTAACAATGCTCCCTGGATTAGTGCAATGTCTCAGTATTGCCTCCATACGTATGAAATTAGAACAATGAGAAAACCTTAATGGATACCATGGCATCAAATTCTGTTGACCTGATAACATCTAATTCCTCTGGAGGAGTAGATGTGCCAATGGCAGTTGCCAATTTCAACATCTGGATTGTGTTGAAGACATGGTGAGGAATCTAAAGGTCATTGGTTTCCTTTTGTCCAGGACATCATCTTTCTATGGTAATATCTAGTGATATTTTGACCATAGAACTATTGATTAAGTTATAACTTTATTCAGGCAAATGAATAAATGTCTTTCTACATAGCTAGCCAGGAACCAGTCATTTCATAGGGTTACTTCTAGAGGTGGCTAAGCTCATTAAGTTTGGTTCTACTACTTTCACAAACAGAACATGGCTTTTGCCTTACAATTCACCAAATATACCGATTCCTTTATTATAGCAGCTGTGGATGAAATATCAGCTGGAGAAGAGTTTGATCTCAGCAACTTGTAATATTAAGGTAGTAGCCATAATGATGTCAGTGAGATTCATTAGTAGAGCTTGCTTAGAGGCATTTATCTCTTGGACCCCAATCACACATGAGGGAATTTTGCTGGGAGAGTTTGGTCCATTTTATTTAATTGGATTCCCGGTGATGTGTAGCATAACTTCCCTGAAAATAAAACTATGAAAATTCACATCTCACTACTTCCCCTTCTCTAAGTTCTAGATTTTTATTGGTTTAGCATCTTCTTAGTTTTCATCAGAAATCCTGGAATTTCTTAAAATTTACAGAATACAATTACACCTTCTAAATGTATACAAAATGAATGGAGATGATGGAAAGAACTGTACTACATAAAAGCATTCCTAAGACTTTCAGCTGACACAGGGTTGGGGCTTAGGATTCTGGGAACTTAAAAGTCCCTAGAAATTAAAGTGTTTGAAATATTAACATGTTATGTCTATGATACCTAGGTGATTTTAAATCCTCCAGTTGCAACGTGTTAATATAATCCATTAGTAAATTTCTGTTAGGACATGTGCTTTATCATTGGGAAGGCTGGCCTTTAAATAATTCTCCACCACTCTACACTAGGCATGAGTGAATTATATTTCAGCATAGGGGATCTTTTTTAATTTAAAAGTGTTTTATGTTACTGGATGGCTGGTGAACTTTTGAGACTTGGAGATTATCAGAATTCCAAATAGCATATCTCTCCTTTCAAATTGTTGACCTAAGGTAAGTCATTCAATCTGTTAGACTTCAGTGATCTCATCTTCAGAACAGGGTGGGGTATACATACCTCACAAGATCATTCGAGGCTTAAATAAGATAATGTATCTAATGTATGTGAAAACAACTAGCAGAGTAACTTACACGTGAAAGGGCATAATAGAAGTTAGTTAAATATTAATAAATATTAGTTTCAAACATTCATCCAACAGTGTTGGTCAAATGTCCATGAGATATTTGATAAATAAAAATTGACTTTGGGTTGAGGAATGTAATTGATTGTTCCTGAAGGTTTTTTGAAGGACTAAGATTAATTGTTAATAGACGTATCTCACATCAGCACATAGAGAGCAAATGAAGACCTAAGTGACTAAAATATTTCAGACTTCAAATCCATTATTAGTTCTGGAGTCTGAGTTTTTCATATCCATTTTCTTTATTACAGAATTGCAATACACAGTGGTTAGCAGCTTGAGCTCTAAAATCAGACCTCAAGGAGTCAAGTCAAGGCTCTGTCTCTTTCTAGCTGTTTGACCTTGGGCAATTTACTGTGATTCAAGGTTTGCATTGGTAGGGTAGTAGTACTAATAGAGCGATCTCCTAGGGTTGCTGTGAGGTTTAAATACATTAATTCATGTTAAGCCTGGAACATTGTAAGCTCTTGTTGACTTATTGACTGCTTTTGCTTTTATTGCATGAACTTACTTAGGCCTCCTCTTGATTTAGCTATAAAAATACAGAGTAAGGTAGTAAAAAGCACTATTTTAACTTCCTAAAAGCTGTTTAGTTTGACTCTTAGAATTTTTTTGCCTTTAATCTTCTTTGATGAAGGCTTTAAACATTATTGCAGCTTTGGAAGGCATTTTTTAAAAAACAATTATAATTTTTCATCTTTTTTTATAATTCACAAAGATTTCCAAATCTCTTGAGAAAATTTCTCACATTTTAAATCAGAAACAGGGTGGGGAAGGGAACGTGAATCTTTAACAGGTTGAGAGACAACTTTGTAAAGAACAGATTCTCTGACAATGGGAACAAAACACCATAATAGACAACCAGAGTGTCGTCTTTCATTTTTTGACCTTTAATTGAAAGATTGAAGATAAGTAGTTCCTGTGAGACAGCAAAAGGCTGATTCACTTACCCCATAGCCTAAAGTAAAAAAGCTTCCTGGAAGCCTTACTATATATTATGAATCACCCTCTTGTCACTCTAAGAAGTTCGTAGCTAAGTAAAATGCTAGAAATGGATTGATGGTGCTGTGACAGGCACCAGAACTGGAGGAAGAGGTGAAAGTCCTCTAGATAATACATCTGGGTCTCCCTCAGGCATTTTTTTCTGTAAAGCTGATGTTTGTGACCTGAGGCTGTCCTGTCTCACTGTATCAGGAATGATTGCTCTTTAAAATTTTTCACTGTTTTAGGGCATACCAATCTGTACGGTAAGGTTCTGAAAAGCCAAGTACATTTTATTGTCCTTTCAATTTAAATATTCCTGTGCCTTTTGGAATTATCTGGAGGGCAGGAGCATCCAAAAATAAACCCTAAAGCACTACTGGTCTTTGTTAAGGAGGTCATTGAAAATCTCATAATAATCTAAGTCTGGAAAAGAAACGACTGAAGAGAAAAGACTGGATTCAAGGCACTGTTTGACATGTCACTTTAACAACTTACACAATCACCTATCATTTTTTTGTCACCTTTCCTCTAAGCCAATGGAACTTATGTGTCTCTTTGTACAGTATTCAACTATAATTTAGCCATATTTGTTGCTAGTCCTTTACAGATTTTAAAGCTTTCATGAAAAAGGCCTACTTAAATGTGGCATAGTTGATAGACACCTCATCATGCAAATTAAGGGATCATTTGTTCCCTCCCCCAGATTTTCCTAGAATATTCTGGACTCATATAATATGCAAGGCATTATGATAAATGCCTTATACTGAGTGATACAGGAATTAAGGAGTGCATCTAGGTGATCAAAGATAATCAAAGATGTATGCAAATTATATAATAAAAAGCAGCATAAGGTTGGTACAATGTGAAGGTGCAAAAAATTTCAGTGGGGTCTACTTAAGGGACAGTTCAATTGTTGTGGAGAATTCTAGAAAGCTTCCTGGATCTTGAATGCTATCAGAGAACTGGAAGAGATAAGGACAAAGAGAGAAAGAAAGAGAATCCTAGGTCTATGGATCTTAAGATGACATTATATAGAGGAAGGAAAATCCAATCTGGTTTTTGGAAGTGTGAGCAACCCCATACGGCTTAAAGGTGGAATAAGAGAACTGAAGTAGGCAATAACTTTAGAGAAAAGGGTTAAGTAAGGGCAATGGTGCTGTATCTGTGAAAAAAAAAAATACATCTTGGGGCCCAAGAATCACTAAGCTAAAGGGAAGAGTCAAGCTGGGAACTTCTTAGGGCAAACCTGCCTCCCATTCTATTCAGTCATTCCTCTACTCCCTAAGATAAATGCATATGTGATTGCCTCATTTGGAAAGGCTAATCAGAAACTCAAAAGAATGCAACCATTTTTCTCTCACCTACTTGTGAGCTGGAAGCCACCTCCCTGTTTCCAGTTTCTTTCTGGAAGTACCAATGTACATCTTACATATATTGATTAATGTCTCTTGTCTCCCTAAACTGTATAAAACCAAGCTGTGCCCGACCACCTAGGGCACATGTCATCATGACTTCCTGAGGCCATGCCATGGGTGCATGTCCTTAACTTTGGCAAAATAAACTTCCTAAATTGACCCTGACCTGTCTCAGATACTTGGGGTTCACATATTTAATATTAAACATGCTATTCAGCCATATTTAGCCATATGAACCATACAAGACAGGTGACATGTTGTAATAAAAATTGCTTGGGTTATGTTATTAGATAGATATAATGGGTCTAATGTGGAAGACTAAATAGTCCCGCTACTTACTACTCACTGATTCCCAATACTTTCACGATGTTAATCAATTTACTTAATCTCTGAGCCTCAGTTATCTCAGTTATAAAATGAGAATCATGCCTCATTGAAATGAGAAAGTTCCCTGACCCCCACTCACAGGATGTGTGACAGGGGTGTAGCTCATCTCTTTGGCTGACATGTGCACTCAAACCCCTTACGGGAGGGGTAACACACAAACAGGCAGGTGCAGAAGCTGGGGCAAGCATCCGCGGGATCCGCCATCATGGCAGCCTCCAGGGATGGGAGTCTGTGACTCCCGAAGCCCAAGTTGGCATATGTTACAGTGTGCTCTATTAGCCTTGCTGTCCATGGACAGCTTAAGTGTTAACCAGCTCGGTGCACTCTTGGTACCCAGCTCCTTGTCTGGCGACCAGGAAGAATCAGTTAGCACACGGACGTAAAGGATGAATGCGGGGGTTTTACTGAGTGGTGGAGGTGACTCTCAGTGCGGGGGGCGGGGATGGATTGCTCTCAGGGGGAGCTGGAAGGGAAATGGAGTAGGAAGATGATCTTCCCCTGGAGTTTGGCCATCCATTGGCCAATCTCTCCAGCCATCCCCAGTTGAACACTTCTTGGCGTACAGACACTCCTCTTCTCTCTGCTCCACTGTTCTGCTCTTCTTCTGCTCTTCTGTTAGTCCTATCGTCTTCTTGTCTGCTTGTCTGCTCGTGGAGCCTGGGGTTGGGGTTTATATGGGTACAGGATGGAGGGACATGGCGGGCCAAAAGGCAACTTTTGGGCGTGAAAACAGAAATGCCTGTTCTCATTTAGGGTCATGGGTTTCCCAGCTTGAGGGTGGGCCTTTGCCAGGGAACCACCCTCTTCAACCCAGTATTTTCCTGTTTTGTTTCCTGTCCCTATCATCATTTTAACAGTTGCCTAAGGTTTACAGGTAATATATAGGAAATACATGAAATATGGTTGGCAATATTTAGGCATATGTCAAGTATGATTAATAACAATAAGCATTCACACTAGAGCTTGTTATTTTATAGAAATGTATCAAGTTGTTGTTTTCTGTATAATTATTATGCTCATCAGAATTTCAGCTCCTTCAGGACATAGACTTTTATTATATTTACTGCTATATCCTTAGTGATGAGAACATTTTCTGGAGTATAACAGTTGATTGCTCAATATTTGTTAAATTAATGAATGACTAATAACCATACTCAATTTATTAGGAGTGATTATATTCATCACTGTCAAAATAAAACTTTAGGAAGACTAAACTGGAAGTTCTATGTAGGAAGGATTAAAGGGAGAAGTAGTAGGGACCTTTATCAGGATACTGTCAGAGGAACCTAGATGAGAATGAATGTATGATTGTTCTAAAAACAGATAGAATTAAGGGGAAATATTCAAGAGACATTATGGTGGATGAATGAAATGCTGGAATTTAGCAAATGATCATATAAAGTTGGGATGAGGAGGGGGCCGTAAAGGGATAGGCTGTCTTGATGTCAATGAAGGAGTCCATGATGCTTAAGGTTTTGAGCCTCAGCCTTTAGAGGGATATTGATCTTAATTTACCAAAATGAGAATGTCAGGAGAAAGAGCTTATTTGCAAAGGAAGGCAAGCAAGTCAATTCTAGATGGCATATATGTAGATATACACTTATTGTGTGTTTTCTAAGTCAGATGCTATGCAAAGAGCTTCATATTCATTATCACTTTAAGTCCTTCTCAATGGTCATATGAGGTGGGTATAAAGATTACCAACTTTTTACACAAGAGACCAAAGCATACATTACAGTGACTGAATAACATTTCCAGGTCACATAGAAAGGATGTTGGGATTGCTTGTAGGCTGTCTCAACTCCAGAGATTCTAACCAAAAGGCTCCTTGCATAGTTTGGGTTTGTGACGCTATTGGGACATCAGGGAGAGGAAGGAATATAAGTAGTCCAAGAACTCAAGTGAAAGATTTGTCATTTCACCTTTGTAATAGTGTAAAATGTGTCCTGATGAGTTTTTATTAAGAAATTCCTTTCAAATTATTTTTGGAAATTATTACACCATAGAATCCCTTGCCAAATATTCCGTATTTATTTGCTCAATTACACACATTTATTTAATTCTAAGCAGGAGTTTGCAAAAATAAGATTCAGTTAATATCTGCAGTGGATGTGGTAGAGGCACCAGTGGAGAAACAGACAGTAATGGGAGGAATCCTAGGTGATACTGACCTTTCCCCCAGGCTGAAACTGACAACACTCACCTGATATTTTACCATCAGCTTTTCAGGTTCTTATTTTTCACATGAGTTTCCTCAGAAACTATTAGATATATAATCATCTCAATTCTCAGTGGTCAATTTTCAATTTTAAAATATAAATGGTGGAAGCAGTTTTTAGGTTGCACTTAGTTGATTCATGAGATGAACATTAACAAATGTCCCTGAGAATACACCTTCTGTCTCTATTTATCCAATCAAGCAACTCATTATCATTCTAGTGACGTTTACAACTTTAGCAACATTTCTGATTTATCAGAACTTTCCTCTTTGCTTACATTTTTGCTATCATGTTATATCCCAACAAATGCTTAATTGTTAATCAAATTCATTTTTAGAGCATAGTGTTTTCAGTATCAAACTGGATGCTGCTGTCCAGGCCTGAATATCACCTACCAAATTGATGGAAATATGATTTCAGGAGCCTGATGACCGAAGAAATAATTTACAGTTGATTTTACTAGACAGGAAGTAGTTCTGTGTTCCATAATCTACAGTGACACTAAAGTAGTCTCTATTTAGCTACAAGGCCTTATGGGTCATTTTTTTTAATGGATTTTGCATTATTCCCTTAATAAGTAGACAAAGTTAGTCTAAAACAGACTATGGGGTTGTATCTGGAATATGTCTTAAGTCAGGGGCTCAATTAAAAAACCATTATTGTTAGACATTCAGTAGGCTTGAATATGAGGCTGGTTGACAATACAAAAGCTTTTTTGTATAATTATATGAAATTTTGCCTTTCTCTTTTTAATCTCATGATTTTTTGAGATTTTTGATTTGTATCAGAGTAAAAACAAAGGCATGCCTTCTTCAACTCTGTATCCTTCACAGTCTGTAGACAGATCCCTGCCCCTGACATGTCCTCAGTGAATGTTTATTAAATTTGGTGGAAGTTGAGATTCTGAAATAATTTAAACAGAAGAGCACAGAAGCTATGTTTAAAACATATACTATGATCTGTCTCAGGTGAGGCATCTTGTCATCTAAGAATACTTGGCTCTGGTGCAAATCAACATTGAAGTAATTTGGTTGGCATGCAATACTCTCATGTTCCTTGACTCAAGAGAACCTGAAAATTGCCAGCACAGAGGAAGATGTCAGCATGAAGCAAGACTATTGAGCAGGGAGCACACATATATTGAGGAGTGCTGGTGAGGAAAGTCAGGATTCACTTCTTAGGAGTCATGTTTTTCATTTGTTTTCCCACCAGAAACTCACCAAATATTGTGACCCTAGCCTTCTGCTGGAACTTCGAAATGTGGCAAGATAGACCCTAAACTGGAGTTTGCTAAACAGCTTCTTTTCTAGAACATTTTAATGACTTTAATAATGACAGCAATAGTTTCTTCCAGTAGAGTCAAGAAAAGGGGGATACAAAGGAAGATCCTTTAGAGAAATGGATTTGATTCACGGTGGTAACAGGTCCCCAAGTGTCTTTGAGGCTCTTCTTTGACTGCCATGTTAAAGAGGTTCATCTTGACACCTTACCAAGCTCACTACTTCCTAGGTGCAGAAAGCATAAAGCATATTGCAGAGCCTGAGTATGATGCCAAAACACAGTGGAGGCATGTGGGTGTTTAGGGGCTAGATTGTTATTACTCCAGCAGCTACACAGTTATTGGAGGAGGTGCCCTTTTCCTTAGGATTAATTGGGTTTATATCACAATGGGGGTGAGTGAATGAGTTAGAATCTTTAAGCTTTTTCTAGCTTAGTGAAAGCTTGCTTTGTCCTGGAAAATGAAACTGAAAATTAAAAAGGCTTTCTCATCTTTGAAAATCTTTTTTTTCTCTATTTTTCAGTAAATGGCAGAGCTACTCAGCAGAACTGACATTCTAAAAGGGTGGTGACAGTAATAGCGCATAAAAAAATGAGGCAAAAATCTCTATTTGAACTCCATTCATTTGGAATTTATTATTACATCCAGACAGACCAGACATAAGTTTACTTTTAGAAAGGGTTACTACTCAAAAACATAATAATATACAATAAAATGTTATCATAGATGGCTCTCACCAATTTAGGTTCCTTTTCAACTATCTTAAGCAAGAACATTTGCCAACAATTAATACAAACTTTAAATAAATAGAAAACATAAAAAATAGAGGTGATGTTGATAAAATTATTAATATGTCAGAATGTTCCCCATTAAAAGGTTGATTATTTTTTATTAATACCCATGTTGGTACCAATTATTTTAAAGACAGTATCATAGAGAAAGGATTTGTATCAATTACTTAGAGGGAAGGTACTTGATGCCAATCTGTATGAAAACGACTGACATTTATTGAATACCTAATATATGCCAGCACTATGCCTACATTATTGAATTTAATTATTACAACAAAGATAGCAGGTGGGTACATTTTTATTATGTTTTATAGACTAAGATACCATAACTTAAAAAGTTAAAAGCAGTTTGCCCAAGGCCAAATGGCTAATATGTTGCTGAGACAAGGCTGGGAGCCAGGTCTGTCTAATACTGAATCATGTGCCTTTAACTCCTTTGACACAGTGATTCTTGATTTCTGCTTACAAAGTGATTTCCAGGTACAATCCCTAGCATAGCAGCATAAAGACAGTAATAAAGTAGGTTAAAGAAAGAAATGCTGTATAATGTACATATGCACATGTAGCCTGGCTGAATATTGGTCAGATTTTAAAATCCATGTTATTATAATTAAATATGAGGATTTGTTTATGTGTGTGTAGTTGGTTTTGAAGCACTGAAGTCAAAAGGGCATAAATGTAGTAAATAAATGGCCAGTGCAAACGTGGGTGAGGCAGGAGGGAAGGGTCACTTATACAGATAGTGGAATTAGAAAGCAAAAGTTCAATTTCACAGTCGTTAGCCTCCTAAGACCCTGTACACTTTAGGCCATTACTTACTGTTCAGTACTGAAGACATTGGAGACCACATTCCAAAAGAATTTACATAAAGAACCTAAAAGTCTGATACTATTTCAAAATCTAAAATATTTCTCCATTGCTGTATTTTTAAAAATCAGATGGAAGAGGTAACTTTCTTTTGCTGTGTTTTCATTTAAAGATGATTTTATTTTGTTGATGGATAAAATTAGAAACTTTACTGGGCTGGTAATAGCCATAAACAAAAAATGCATTTCTTTAAAATAGTATAAAATCAGATACTCACTAATTCGGACTTTCATACCCCCCAATAATTATGAGCTAAATAAACTGTTACGTTGCTACTAAGTAGAGTCTGGCTCTAAACTTCTTTGGCATAGCATACTACTGTTGAACCACACATTTCAAAACTCCACTTAGGCTTTTACCAGATAGACTGTAAGAGCCTCAAAGGACACAAGACTGGCCTTGCTGTCAATAATTCATGCACTAAAGTCTACCCATATGCTTTCATTTGATAGACTGCAGGATATAAATGATCTAAAAAGTGTGAATTAGTGCATTAAAAGAAAATTCAATCTCAGAGTAGGATCATTTTTACACTTTTCTATTTTAAAATTTAAGACCTGATCACAGTTACGGGAAAAGTTGATTCATTCATCTCCCTGAAGACCTCCACACACCCCTTTTAAAGACAGAAAACTAAAGAGAAGCGAGGGGAGGGCGGCTGATGAAAACCAAAGCTGGACCTTATTTATCACTGGCTAACAGAGGACAGAGGGAAGAGTGCATGAACACCTATGCCCATCCTCATAAGAAAATTTAGGACTGAATAGGATTTAATCCTTAACTCTTAATGCTAGTCATTCATCAAGCTAAACTATCTGAGTAATTAAGCATGCACCATCTGGAAATCTAAACCTGAACGTCACAGGTTTAGAAAATGAGAGCCAGCAAAGTGGAAAGGGATGAGTGGAAAGTGCATGCTAAAGAAGTGACTTGGTGCTACTCTTTCATCCAATGTGTATTTGTGACTAGATACCCAGAACTTGATAAGAAATACCGAAAAGGAGAAGAAACAAGTATATAGCAGAGACTCTGTCTTAGAGGAACTCAAATCTAGCTGAGGTGATAAGACATACGTAAATATAACACAGTTAAGTGACTATATGCTATGGAGAGGGTTATGTCCCACAAATTTTGTATGTTGAACCACTAACCTCTAACATGACTGCATTTGGATATCAGGTTTTTAGGAGGAAATGAATGATGTCATAAAAGTGGGATCCTAAGCCAATAGAATTGGTGGCCTTATAAGAAGAGGAAGAGCAAGCTCTTTTTCTCTACACACACACTAAGGAAAGGGCTTGGTGAGTGCACAGCAAAAATGTGGCCATCTGCAAGCCAGGAAGAGGGCCGTCACCAGGAACTGAATTGGCTGGTACCCTGATCTTTGGCTTCCTAGTCTCCAGAAGTGTGAGAAATACATTTCTGTTAATAAGCCACTTGGTATGTGGTATTTTGCTTTGTCAGTCCAAGCTGACTAATACACTATATAAGGCAGCAAATGATTTCCAACCCATATAAATGTCATAGAGAATTCGATGAGAACCATTGCTGAGGCAATCAGGAAAGCCTGGTTCTAAAGGAAACAGAATGCTTTAAGAAGCAAAGCAAGGGCTTGGGTAGGTGAAAGTTAGACAATGTGAACACGAAAACAGAGAAGTAAGCTGATAATGGATGCTCTGAGCATAGCCAAGTGGAGGTTCATGAAGAGGAAAGGAGAGAGAGAGATGGAGTCACAGGACTGAGTTGGAACCAGACCATGGGATTTTTCAGCACCAGGCTCAGGAATCTGATGGAGCAGTGAAACAAACTACAATTTTAGGATTTGATTTGGAGCTGTTGTGTATTGAAAGATTGGAGAAGGGGTAGATAGATATAAAGCAGGAAGACCAATTTCAATGTTTTAGATTAGTCTAATCAGGTGATGAGGAGAGTCTTACCTCTGATGGTGACAGCTAATCAGAGGTTTTATCATCTTATGAATTAGGAAAGAGTAAATAGAATTATTATGTTGGCAGGGCACCCAATTCTGAGTGGGCTAAAAAGGGCAATTTAGAACACAGCAATGATTGAGCCTGAATAGTTCTGAAGGAAAGCACAGGGCCATACACAGAGTGACATTTAAGTTTGTTGTTGAATGGGACTACTGGGACTTCAGTTAACTGTCGTAAAGATTGACGACTAACTAATTTGTTCTTTAATCCAGACCTGTATCTTTGACTGCTGCAGGAGTGTTTTTCCAGTGCCTTACTGGATGTGCCATGAGTATGTCAAAGTGAAAAATTGCCCAACTGAAATAAACTTCTATACTCTCGATCTCCACAAATACAACCACTATGAGCTCAGGGGCCCAAAATTATTCTTCTTCCTCTTCCCATCCCATATTAAAGGGGTCAGGTGATTAAATTATGCCAGAAACCTCAGTACAATGCTGCCCTTCCCTGCTGTATGATGTTCCACAGACATTTTCAATGACATGAGCTATTAAAAAACTAACCTCTTGGTCTTCCTGCTTCTAGCCTTACCCCCTTTACAACTTTCTCCAATATCACAAAGGCTTATTTTTCTAAAATGCAAATCTGCTCATGACACTTCTCTGTTTAAAATGAGTCATTTTTTCCTCATTATTTGCAAAATAAACACAAACACCTTAGCATGACATTATTCAAATCTGGGTTGACTACCTTTACAGACTTACATCTCTTCAGTGTTCCTCTTGGTACATCGTCCTATCATATAATTGAATTAAAAGATTTTTAAATCCATGAATATATACGCTATTGGATGAATTGTGACTCCTCAAAATTCATAGGTTGAAGTCCAATCCCAAGTACTTCAAAATTTGACTGTATTTGGAGATAGGGTGTTTAAGTTCAAATGAGGTCATCAGGGTGGGCCCTAGTCCATTATGACTGGTGTCCTTATTAGAAAAGGAAATTAGGGCACAGACACATATGGAAAGAAAATGATGTGAAGAGACAGGGAGAAAACAGCCAACTACAAGCAAAAGAGATTGGTCTCAGAGGAAACTAACATTGCTAACTTCATGATCCTAGACTTCTCACATCCAAAATTGTGAGAACATAAATTTATGTTGTTTAGGCCACACATGGTGTTTTGTTATGGCAGCCTTAGAAAACTAAGACAAAATTATACTCATTTAAGTGCCTGCTATGGTCTGAAGGTTTGTTGCCTCCCCCAAGCTGCTTCCCACCTAATTCATACATTGAGATCCTCATGCCTGAGGTAATGGTATTATAATAGGATATGGGGACTTTTGTAGGTGATTAGTTCCTGGAGGCAAAGCCCTCATGAATGGAATTAGTACCCCTATAAACGAGGCCTGACAGAGAATCCTCATCCCTTCCACCACGTGAGGAGGATACAGCTAGAAGGTACTATCTATGAACAAAAAAGTGGTCCCTTACCAGACAGTGATTCTGCTGGCACCTTGATGTTGGACTTTCAGCCTCCAGGATAGCAAGAAATACATTTCTGTCATTTATAAGCTACCCAGTTTATAGTATCTGTTAGAGCTGCCTGGACAGAACAAGAGAGTGCCCACATAATACTTATGACTCCAAATAATGGACCCTGGGTTTCAATCCTTTCTACAAATTACTCGCATTTACTTTTCCACAGTACAAGTTACAACTTTCAACTCCAGCAGTAGTCCCTGCTTTTCCTAAAATGTGTCTCCATAGAGATAAAGGCTGTGATAAATTCCAACCCACTCCCCTTGTTTCTTACTAACAGAACCCCAAATTTATTCAAGGTAGCAGTGAACCTGGCTGGCTAAGAATATCAAGTTCTAAGCCACCTTACAACTAGAGTGGCCATATGATACTGTCTGGCAATAACATAAAATCTGAAGAGGCTGAGTGAGCCTTCAGGAAAAGTTTTGTGAAGATACCACTTTGCTGTCTACTCAAGAATCTCTATCCCTTCTTTCTTGGAGTAAGGATGTGATACCTAGAGAAGCTGCACCCATCTTGCAATGATAAGAATGAAACACTTGCAAAGAATGGCAAGTAGAAATCTGAAAAGAGTCTGGGTCTGATGACACCCTTGAGCAGAAGCACCTGCCTTGGTCTGCCTAAATCTGGATTCTCCATTATACAAGAGAAGTAAAACTCTGTTTAAACTAGTGGTAATTGGACTCTGTATTTTTTTCTGCCTACATTTCAAACTAATAAGATGAGTGAGGAAATCCATGCTTGTGATAAACATATGAGAAAACAACTGTATTAGTTTTCAGGATTGCTATGGCCTCAAACTTAGTGGCTTAAAACAACACAAATTTGTTACTTGCGGTTCTGTATGTCAGAAGATTGAAAGAGTTCTCGCAGGGCTAAAATCAAGGTGTTGCTGAATTGTATTTCTTTCTGGAGGCTCTAGAGAAGAATTCCTTCCCTTTTCCTTAGTCCATGCCCCTTTTCCTCCATCTTCAAAAACATTCTTCTGTAGTTATATCTCTCTCTAACTCCAGAAGGAAAAAGTTGTCTGTTTCTAAGGACTCATATGATTAGATTGGCCCTGCTTAATCCAGGATAATCCCCCTAAATTCTGGTCCTTAATCACATGTGCAAACTCCATTTTGCCGTGCAAATAACATATTCTTAGGATCTAGAGATTAAGATATGGACATCTTTGGGTGACTGTTATTCTCCCTACAACAAAAACACAAAGAAAACTATAAAAATTGCGAATTGCATTACCTTGTTTCCTGATATAACACAAGTTTCTTGTGCAGAGCCATACAAATAGTAGAAGGACAATGAAAAAATAGGTATTTTAAAAGACATGGGAAGAATTATATCAATTTTGGATGTTCCATACTACAGTAATACCATTATATCAGCAATAATCTACCTTTCCAGGATGGATAATGAGCCTGAACATCCCTTAAATTGGGAAAGCTAAAAATTGAATTAGGCAGAAATAATGAAAAATTTCTATTATTCACACATGGGTTGTTGCAATTTTTCAGCAGGACAGATTACGGAGGTAGAACGTTTTTTAGAACAAATGGCTGCTTTTCAAGAAAAGAAGTAGTTTCAGAAATCAGAAGGAAAATTTTATACAAAAACTTATGTAATGATAAATATTTAAAAATCCTCTACAATTTATCATTGCGTTTTTACCTTTATTGTCCAATTTAATCCTACATTTCTCTAGTAATATGGTACAACATTAAAAAGGCATTTTTGATTATTATCTTTTAGTTTATCTTGCAAATATGTTAAACCAGTACATCATTTGGTTCTTTTGCAAAAATTCCTTTTGGTTTCCATGCCTTTGCCATATCTGCTGTCAACAGACATGCTTGGGTTCTCATAATTTAGTGTTTAGATTACCTAGTTTATTTGATTCTAAGCTCTCTTTCCTACAATGCAGTCTATATGCTGCTGCTAGAACAACCTCAGAAACAAAATTTTACAAGTATTCTAAATTTGTAATGAATACATTCATTTAAGGGAAGCTTGATTAATCATCCACACTTTGCTTTAGCACTTCCCATGACAAATAATACTACGTTTTGCAAGGTTCTCCATACTACTTTTTGACTTTTTAGAAAATGTCCATTCTTATTTTTATTTAACTTTCTATTTTCACTTGAAATCCACATACATTAAATTAAGTCTCTCTTCTACATACTAAATTTTCAGATATTTGAAGAGAGTTCTCATGTCTCTCCTAAATCTTGTCTCAGTTAAGCATTTTCTGTTTCTCCATCTCTTCCACATTACAGCTGGAAATTCAACATCTTTCTGCCCCCCTTTTTTGGATATATCATAGTTCAGTAAAGATACACTGAAAACTTTACTGCTTAAGTTGAGTATTCCTAAAACCAGGAGAGTGCAGTGTATAGGGGAGAAGGTAGTAGCTCTGGTCTTAGTTTTTTATATTGTCTTCAATTACTGAGTTCTGTTACTTTCATGTTATATTTTCTTCCATGACTTTTCTTATAACCTACAGAAAATATAGTCCCTCCAACACTGATCCTTAATAATTTTAAATATTTTTTTCTTATTGCACATGTAACATCTGTTTACTATAAATAATAAAGATGTTTAAAAATAAAATAAAAATCATAATCTCAGCATTCAAAGAATTATCAACCACTAGAAACTAAGTGTAATAATCACATTTCCTAATTACATTAATAGCAATGATAATAATATCACATTAATAATCAATTAAATGATTTGAATTAATCTTCTCACCAAGGACAACTAGAATTGATAAGGATCAATGACAGAGCGAGTGAGAAAGAGAGATAGGTACAAAGAGGTATAAAGACATATAGATATCCTTGACACTAATAAGATGAAGAATATTTTACTGGGACCATATCCAAAAGAACATAGAAATCAAAACAGGTTAACCAGCATTTGGGGTGGCATTTATTTTGGTAGTGTTTGACAAGCACTTGTGACAACATACTGGGGCATGGAAAAGAAAATTTTTGGAGTCCAGGGATCAAAAAGCATGGAATTGCAGTAAATTCAACGATTTGGGTTGGGATTCTAAAGGGCTACAGTTTAGGATAAGAGTGAACTGGAAATAGAGGCTCTCCCAGACACTGCAAAACAAAAACAAAAATAAAATAAAACACAAGAAAAACTTTAAATATTCTTAATTCCCAGATTGCTGATATCCTTAAATAATCAGCAAGAGTAAATGTGAGTTATTTATACTGGATAGTAAAATTATTCTAATCTTCAAATTATATCTACAAATAAATTTCTTTTTAAAATTTATTTTACTTTAATTTCCAGGATTCCTGTGCAGAACTTGCAGGTTTGTTACACAGGTATACGTGTACCTTGGTAGTTGGCTGCACCTATTGACCCAACCTCTAAGTTTCCTCCCCTCACCCCCCACCTGCCAACGGGCCCTAGTGTGTGTTGTCCCCTTCCTGTGTCTGTGTGTTCTCATTGTTCAACTCCAACTTATGAGTGAGAACATGCGGTCAAGTTTGGTTTTTCTCTTCCTGTGTTAATTTGCTGAGGATGATGGCTTCCAGCTTCATCCATGTCCCTGCAAAGGACATGATCTCATTCCATTTAATTGCTGTATAGTATTCCATGGTGTACATGTACCACATTTTCTTAATCCAGTCTATCACTGATAGGCCTTTTGGGTTGGTTCCATGACTTTGCCATTGTAAATAGTGCTGCAATAAACAGCTGTGTGACTGTATCTTTATAGTAGAATGATTTATATTCTTTTGGGTATATACCCAGTAATGGGATTGCTAGGTCAAATGGTATTTCTGGTTCTAGATCCTTGAGGAATTGCCATACTGTCTTCCACAATGGTTGAACTAATTTACATTCCCACCAACAGTGTAAAAGTGTTCCTATTCCTCCACAGCCTCGCCAGTATCTATTGTTTCTTGACTTTTTAATAATCACCATTCTGGCTGTCATGAGATGATATGTCATTGTGGTTTTGATTTGTATTTCTCGAATGATCAGTGATGTTGAGCTTTTTTCATGTTTGTTGGCTGCGTAAATGCCTTCTTTTTAGAAGTGTCTGTTCCTATCCTTTGCCTACTTTTTGATGGGGTTGTTTGTCTTTTTCTTGTAAATTTGTTTAAGTTCCCTGTAGATTCTAGATATTAAATCTTTCTCCTATGGGTAGCTTGCAAAAATTTTCTCCCATTCTGTAGGCTGTCTGTTCACTCTGATGATAGTTTCTTTTGCTGTACAGGAACTCTTTAGTTTAATTAGATCCCATTTGTCAATTTTGGCTTTTGTTGCAATTGCTATTGGCGTTTTCATCATGAAGCCTTTGCCCATGCCTATGTCCTGAATGGTATTGCCTAGGTTTTCTTCTAGGGTTTTTATGTTTTTGGGTTTTACATTTAAGTCTTTAATCCATCTTGAGTTAATTTTTGTATAAGATGTAAGGAAAGGGTCCAGTTTCAGTTTTCTGCATATGGCTAGCCAGTTTTACCAGCATCATTTATTGAATAGGAGATCTTTTCCTCATTGCTTGTTTTTCCAGGTTTGTCGAAGATCAGATGATTTTATATGTGTGGCATTATTTCTGAGGCCTCTGTGCTGTTTGATTGGTCTATATGTCTGTTTTTGTACCAATGCCATGCTGTTTTGGTTACTGTAGCCCTATAGTATAGTTTGAAGTCAGGTAGCATGATGCCTCCAGCTTTGTTTTTTGCTTAGAATTGTCTTGGCTATATGAGGTCTTCTTTGACTCCCTATGAAATTTAAATTAGTTTTTTTTCTAATTCTGTGAAGAATGTCAATGGTAGTTTAATGGGAATAGCATTGAATCTACAAATTACATTGGGCAGTATGGCCACTTTCATGATACTGATTCTTTTTATCCACGAGGATGGCATGTTTTTCCATTTGCTTATATCTTCTCTTATTTCCTTGAGCAGTGCTTTGTAGTTCTCCTTGAAGAGGTCCTTCACTTCCCTTGTGAGCTGTATTCCTATGTATTTTATTCTCTTTGCAATGATTGCGAATGGGAGTTCATTCATGATTTGGCTCTCTGCTCGTCTATTGTTGGCATAAAGGAATGCTTGGAATTTTTGCACATTGATTTTGTATCCTGGGACTTTGCTGAAGTTTAAGGAGTTTTTGGGCTGAGTTGATGGGATTTTCTAAATACAAAATCATGTCATCTGCAAAAAGAGACGATTTGACTTCATCTCTTCCTATTCAAATGCAGTTTACTTATTTCTCTTGCCTGATTGTCCTGTCCAGCATTTTTAATACTATGTTGAATAGGAGCAGTGAGAGAGAGCATCCTTTCTTGTACAGTTTTTCAAAGAGAATGCTTCCAGCTTTTGCCCATTTAATATGACACTGGCTATAGGTTTGACATAAATAGCTCTTATTATTTTAAGATATGTTCCATCAATACCTAGTTTATTGAGAGTGTTTAACATGAAGAGATGCTGAATTTTATCAATGGCCTTTCTGCATCTACTGAGATAATCATGTGGTTTTTGTCTTTGTTTCTGTTTATGTGATGGATTACATCTATTGATTTGTGTATGTTGAACCAGCCTTGCATCCCAGGGATGAAGCCAACTTGATCATGGTGGATAAGTTTTTTGATGTGCTGCTGGATTAGGTTTTCTAATTTTTACTGAGGATTGTCTCACTGATGTTCATCAGGGATATTGGCCTGAAGTGGTGTGTGTGTGTGTGTGTGTGTGTGTGTGTGTGTGTGTGTGTGTCTTCCTGGTTTTATTATCAGGATGATGCTGGCTTCATAAAATGAGTTAGGAAGGAGTCCTTCCTTTTCAATTGTTTTGAATAGTTTCAGAAGGAATGGTACTAGCTTCTCTTTGTACCTCTGTTAAAATTCAGCTGTGAATCCATCTGGTCCTGGGCTTCTTTTGGTTGGTAGGCTGTTAATTACTGCCTCAATTTCTGAACTTGTTATTGGTCTATTCAGGGATTCGACTTCTTCCTGGTTTAGTCTTAGGAGGGTGCATGTGTCCAGGAATTTATCCATTTTCTAGATTTTTCTAGTTTATTTGCATAGAAGTGTTTATAGTACCTCTCAGCAGAAACTCTACAAGCCAGAGGAGATTGGGGACCAATATTCAACATTCTCAAAGAAAAACATTTTCAACCCAGAATTTCATATCCAGCTAAACTAAACTTCATAAGCGAATGAGAAGTAAAATCCTTTCCAGACAAGCAAATGCTGACAGATTTCATTACCACCAGACCTGCCTTGCAAGATTTCCTGAAAGAAGCACTAAATATGGAAAGGAAAAACCGGTACCAGCCACTGCAAAAACACACCAAAATATAAATGCCAATGGCACTATGAAAAAACTGCATCAACAAGTGTGCAAAATAACCAGATAAGCATCATGATGACTGGATCAAATTCACACATAACATTTCAATACTAACCTTAAATGTAAATGGACTACATACCCCAGTTGAAAGACACAGATTGGAAAATTGGATAAAGAGCCAATACCCATCAGGTGTGCTGTGTTCAGGGGACCCATCTCACATGCAAAGACACTCATAGGCTCAAAGTAAACGGATGAAGAAAAATTTACCAAGAAAATGAAAAGCAAAAAAAAAAAGCAGGAGTTGAAATCCTAGTCTCTGACAAAACAGACTTTAAACCAACAAAGATCTAAAAAGATAAAGAAGAGCATTACATAATGGTAAAGGGAACAAAGCAGCAAGAAGAGCTATCTATTCTAAATATATATGCACCCAATACAGGAGCACCAAGATTGATATAACAAGTTCTTACAGACCTACAAAGAGACCTAGACTCCCACACAATAATAGTGTGAGACTTTAACACCCCACTGTCAATATTAGACAGATCAATGAGACAGAAAATTAACAAGCATATTCAGGACTCCAACTCAGCTCTGGATCAAGAGAAACTAATAGACATCTACATAACTCACCACCCCAAATCAACAGAAAATATGTTCTTCTCAGTGCTACATGACACTTATTCTAAAATAAACCACATAATTAGAAGTAAAACACTCCTCAGCAAATGCAAAATAAGTGAAATCATAACAAACAGTCTCTCAGACCACAGTGCAATCAAATTAGAACTCAGGATTAACAAACTCACTCAAAACCACACAATTACATGGAAATTGAACAACCTGCTCCTGAATGACTCCTGAGTAAATAATGAAATTAAGGCAGAAATCAAGAAGTTATTTGAAACCAATGAGAACAAAGAGACAATGTACCAGAATCTCTGGGACACAGCTAAAGTGATGTTAAGAGGGAAATTTATAGCACTAAATGCCCACATCAGAAAGCTAGAGAGATCTCAAATTGACACCATAACATCACAATTAAAAGAGCTAGAGAGGCAAGAGCAAACTAATTCAAAAGCTAGCAGAAGACAAGAAATAACTAAGATCAGAGCAGAATTGAAGGGGATACAGACATGAAAAACTCTCTAAAAAATCAATGAATCCAGGAGCTGTTTTTTTTTAAAAAAATTAACAAAATAGATAGACTACTAGCCAGACTAATAAAGAAGAAAAGAGAGATGAATCAAATAGCAACAATAAAATATAGCAAAGGGGATATCACCACTGACCCCATAGAAATTGAAACTACAAAAAAATTTCTACGTATAATATCTGTTAGACAATCAAAATAAACACATCTATCATCTGTATGATTAGAAACTTTAAAAAGCAACAAATAAACAGAAAAACAGAGCTCTAGATATTGGATATAACATATATTTTAATTAAGATGTAAGCTGAGAATTTTGAAAGATAAATAGGAAAAATATAGAAGGGATCATAACTGAAAGATAAAATAAATTCTAGAACTGAATAATACCAGATATAAAGTTAGGAACCCAGTAAATCAATTTAACAAGCTTATCTCTGTCACAATCATAAGAGAAAAAATCCTTAATAAAATACAAGAATATCAAATGCAACTATACATAAAAGGGATAACACATCATGAAGTATGTTGTATTCACAAGGTTGATTTAACCTTTGAAAATCAATCAATGTAATTCATACCATCCCCTTAACAAAACAAAGGAGAAAAACTATGATTCTTTCAATAAAGGCAGAAAAAGCACCAGATAAATTTCAACACCTGTTTACTGTAAAAAATCCCAACAAGCTAGGAATATAAGGAAATTTTCTTAATCAGGCAAAAAGTTCTACAAAAAATCCTACATTTAAAAAGTTCTACAAAAAATCCTACATTTAACAGCATACTAAGAATATATTTAACAATTTCCCCCTGATACAGGAACAAAACAAGAATGTTAACTAACTTGATTGGCTTTAGGTATTTTACTGGAAGTCTTGGTGAGCAGAAAAGTTATTCATCAGGATCAAGTGAGATTTATCTCTGGGATTCAAGGATGGTTCAACATGTATGCCAATCAAAAAATGTAGTACACCACACTAATAAATGAAGAATAAAATTTACGCTATCATCTCAAAAAATTTAGAAAAGAACATTTCATACAATTCATCCTCCTTTCGTGAGAAAAATTTTCAAAAAATGAGGTGTAGGAGGAATGTACCTCAAGATAATAAAGGTCATATATGAGAAGCCCACAGTTAACATTATACTTAATGATGAAAAGCTGGAAGCTTTTCCTCTAACACCAGGAAAAAGATATAGATTTCCAACTCATCACTTCAACATAGTACTGGAAGTCTGAGCCAGATAAATTAGGCAAGAAAAATAAATAAAAAGTATCCAAATGACAAAGGAAGAAGTAAAATTTGTTCTATTTGCAGATGATATGGTCTCAATAAAGAAAACCCTAAAGTCTACACCAAAAACTGCTATAACTTATGAACAACTCTGTAAAGTTCCAGGATGAAAAATAAAAATGCAAAAATCAGTAGTGTTTCTACACACTAACAATAAACTATCTAAATAAAAATTTTTTAAAAAAAATCTCATTTTCATTAGCCCCCAAAATACTTAAGAATAAATTTAATCAAGCAAGTGAGAGACTTGTACACTGAAAACTATAAAAGATTAATAAAGGAAATTAAAGGCACAAATAAATGGAAGATATTCAATGTTCATGGACTGGAAGAATTAATACTGTTATAATGCCTATACTACCCCAAAGCAATCTACAGATGTAACCCCTATCAAAATTCCAATGATGTTTTTTGTAGAAATACAAAAACAATCCTAAAATTCCTAAGGAACCACAGAAGTCTCCAAACAGCCAAATTAGTCTTGAGCCAGAGGAACATAGATGGAAACATCACACTACCTGGTTTTAAAATATACTATAAAACTATTATGCTCAAAACAGCATGACACTGGCATAGAAACAGAAAATATACCAATGAAATAGAACATAGAGCCCAGAAATGAATACATGGAATTACAGGCAATTTATCTTCAACCAAAGTGCCAAGAACACATAATGGAGAAAGGACAATCTCTTCAATGAAAGGTATTGGGAAAACTGGATCTCCACTTTCAGAAGAATATAACTGGACCCTTATTTCACAGCCTATGCAAAAATAAACTTAAAATGGATTAAAGACTTAAACATAAGATCTGAAAACTATTAGAAGAAAACACAGGGAAAAAAACTTCTTGACACTGATTCGGGTAATGTTTAGTTTTGTGGGGTTTTTTTTTTGGATATCATATCAAAATCACAGACAAGAAAAGCAAAAGTAAATAGGATTGCATCAAACTATAATGCTTCTGTACAGTAAAGAAAACAATCAACAGAAGGAAGAGACAACCTACAGAATGGAAGAAAATATTTGCAAACCATATATATGATAAGGGGTTAATATCCAAAATACATAAAGAACACAAGTAAGTCAATAGCTAAAAAACAAATAATCTTTTTAAAAATGGGCAAAGGACCTCAATAGACATTTTTCCAAAGAAGAGAAACACATGGACAACAGCTGTAAGAAAAGGTGTTCAACATAATTAACTATAAGGGAAATGCAAATCAAAACTGCAATGAGATATTATCTCACATCTGTTAGAATGCCTATCATAAAAAAGACCAAAAATAAACTCCAAGAATTGTAGACAATGATATGTAGAAAAGGGAACTTTTGTATACTGTTAGTGAAAATATAAATTAATATAGCCATTATGGAAAATAGTATGGATTTTCCTCAGAAAATTAGAAATAAAACTACCATATGATCTAGCAACCCTATTCCTGGGTATATCTCCAAAGAAATTGAAATCTATATTTTGAAGAGATGTCTGTGTTTATGTGCTCATTGAAGCAGTATTCACAATAGCCAAGATATGGAATCAATTGAAGTGTCTGTGGACATATTAATGGACAAAGAAAATGTGGTATATTGTATACAGTGGAATATTATTCAGCTTTAAAAAGAAGAAAATCCTGTCATTTGTAACAATATGGATGAACCTGGAGGACATTATGCTAAGTGAAATAAGCCAGGTGCAAAAAGACAAATACTGTATGATCTCACTTATAAGAGGACTCAAAAGTTGAACTCATAGAAGCAGAGCATAGAATGGTGGTTTCTAGGGACTGGAGGGGTGTGGGAAATGGAGAGATGTTGGTCAAAAGGTATAATGTTTTAGTTAGATGGGATAAATAAATTCTGGAGATCTAACATGCAGTATGGTAATATATATATAAAATATTATCTATTATATATATAATATTTTATATATTATATATTATACATATATAAAATATTATATATAATATATTATATATATATTGCTCTGTTACCCAGGTTGGAGTGCAGTGGCATGATCTTGGCTCACTGCAACCTCCACCTCCTGGGTTCAAGCAATTCTCATGCCTCAGCCTCCCAAGTAGCTGGGATTACAGGCATGCACCATGACACCCGGCTAATTTGTTTATAGTTTTAGCAGAGATGGAGTTTTGCCATGTTGGTCCAGCTGGTTTCAAACTCCTGGCCTCAAGTGATCTACCCTCCACAGATTCCCAAAGTGCTAGGATTACAGGTGTGAGCCACCACACCCAGCCATGAATATAATTAATAATACTGTATTATATACTTGAAATTTGCTAAGAGAGTAGATCTTAAGTGTTCTCAGCACCAAAAAAGATAATTAGTGAGGTGATGAATATGTTAATTAGCTTAATTGTGGTAATTATTTCAAAATGTATACATATGTCAAAACATCACATTTTATACTGTAAATATATACAATTTTTAATCGTTAATTATACCTCAATAAAGCTGGAAAAAGTAATAATGGCTCTTCTTGATGTTATCTCTCTCTAAAGATTACTAGGTCTTTTCTGAGAGGCAGAAAGACCTCTGGAAGAACAGAGTGATCCTAGGGAGGCATGGCTTTAGACTTCCTTAAATGCTGCTTCTCTTAGGATTTCTTTTTCTTACACCCAGAATATGATACTTATTCCTTTTGTGGGCCATTCCTCCTAGGACGTGACCTTTCTGGAGTCTCATCTGAAAGCCCAGGGTATTCATGAAAGTTCCTCCACCTTTGAAATGCTTGAGTACCAACCTCTGTCTTTACAGCATAACAGATATGTTAAAATTTCCTCTCAGCCTTTTAATCTTCTAGATGTTATGTTCTATTGTGTTTTCTGTTGTTGTTTTTGGTTTGGTTTGGTTTGATGACTTTCCCTGTACACACACAATTTAAGTATTGGTCAAAGACTCATAGGAGTAGGCAGACAGATTTTGGAACTCCATCATTGCATTGCCTTTCTGTCCAGGACTTGGCCTGTAAAATGCTAGAAGATCCGAACTCTGTCTTCTCAGCCAATTAATTCTGCCAATCTCCTTTCTCCAGCAACAAAGTTCTGAAAATGTCCTCAGAAGAAAAAGCTTAGATGAATATGAAGCTCACCTACTGTGCTTGCCTCCTCTTGAGGATCATAGACTGAAACTCTACCTGCACTGGTTATGCTCCAGTGCCTTCCACTAGCTTTTTTATTTTCGTTTTTTACCTACTTTTTCCAGCTTTTATATTCCCACCTCCTACTACTCTTCCAAGACCCTCAATAGGAAAGTTAATCTGACATAGACTGTTATGTCATAGCTAGAACTCAAAGTCCATTTGTTTTCTTTACATACGTAGTGTAAGAACCTTAGGGCTGAAGAAACACATCATCTGTTGCCTAATTCATTTCTCAGGTCACAGTTTCTGCTCAAAGTGTTTTTTGATTGCTTCATTTAAACTTGAATAAAAGGAAGAAAAAATGCAGACAACAGTTGTATGTGAAAATCACTTTGTGATAGTGAGAGAACTTCAGTTAAATCCAATATTTGGGTCGTGAGGAATTGATCCAGGCATTCCTTCAGGTAGTTGGATCCATGGGAATCATCCCTCAGTGAATTGTGATTCTCCGATGTCTGTGTTCCTTTCATAAGCAGTGTTGGGCAGCGATGATAATCCCTTTTGTCATTTTGACATTGTGAATTTGTAGAATATATATAGTAGAAATAGCATAAATATAGATCTACTTCTCTAAAGTGCTTTGGAAAATTTTATTCATAACAGATGAGAAAACTTAGAATCAGAAAGGATAGAAAAGGTAGAGAATGGAGCCAACTTTCATGGAGTCTCTGCTGAGAATCATTACAGAATCATTGTCCAAGCTTCTGACACACAATATCTTTTTAATTTTCACAGAAATCCTAAGAGTAGATGTTTAGTAATTTTTGAAGAGACTAATTTTTTTATTCCAGTTTCTCAGGTAATAATGCAGAGGTCCTGGAACTTGAATGCATCTTCTAACTTATACTTCAGTGCAGATTCATATACAATACTAACTAGGCACAGTGACCATAGAGCAAGGCAGTCAAACACCTCCTCCATGTAAAATTTGAGAGGACTAGAAACAAAATGCACAACAATAACAAAACTGTTGATTAAAAGCAAATTTAAGAAGCTCTTTACAATGCATAGTCATTAGAAAAGAATTGACTATGTGTGTGCTTTGGAAAAACTCTCTCAAAGGTACACACATTATTCAAATGCTATACTCAAGTATTGCATATAGAGCTTGGAGATTTCTTGGAGAAAGATACTATAAAACTAGAAAATATAAATCTGACACCACCTGCTGTCCAATATTTTTCTCATATGTTCTATGCTATTTAATGGGAAAGTGTTCTCATTTGACTTAGATCAGGGCTGTGAATTGCAGCAGAAACCTTCATTAGAACAACAGAAATAAAAAAATACATAAAAAATTACAAGCTGTTTTAAAATATGTTCACAGAAGTCAGCTGGTCAAGGGATTTATTGCATTACAATCCTGAGATTTTGGCCTTTGAACAAAACCATAACCAACATGAAAATGGGAAAATCTTTTACAGTGCATAAAAATGATTTTGCTAATTCCAGGTAATGGTATCAGTAAAGGTTGTGCTCTTTGCATGTGAAGCAGCATAAGGATCTTTGAATTTTTCACCTGTATTTTAACTGCAAAACTAGATCTTTATTAGGTTTGAATATGGAGGACTCTGGGGAGAGCTAGACAGAGAGATGAAAAAGTGTGTCACATTCTGGCCCTCAAGGCTGATTTGCTCCTCAGTGTGCTTAGTAAACATCACGATGGGAGAATCACCTTCTCTGGGGAATCCCAGACACAATCAAGTCTGTAATTTCACCAGGTTAAGCAAGGAATCTTGACTTTTAGTAGAAAAAGTGTTTTTAAAAGCCATATTTTTCTTCTAAGGTTTAAGACTTTTCTGTTGAGATACATACTTCAAATCCTAAATTTGTTGACACTGAACTCCTTTGTGGAGCTGACTATACTTGCAAAAATCTAAGGCTATCATGTCTGTTCCAAATGAATGCAAAGTAAGCACAATAATCTAATAAAAAAAACTAAGATTTATAGTGTCTTCTTCAAATAAGTTGTAATTATCTAACACATTGCCTCATTTATCACAACACATTCAAATAGAAAAAAAAGTTTTCTGAGGGAGAAAACAAATTCAAAAACATTCTTGCCAACACATTAAGTATTTATGTAAATTCTAACCTACCACACTTTCTAGAACTTATCCTTTAAATATCAACAGTAATTAATGAAATACAACAGAGTGACTGGTAAGATGCTTCCAGTCTCATCTTTAAACATTTGCTGGAGAGAGTTAAGAAAGTGGGATTGGGCAAAGAGAGAAAGCGAATCATGATCTATTCCCAGCAAAAGGTCCAGCCCATTCTTCATGGTTCTCCAGAGCCCAGAAAGCCCTTCAAGGTTTTTCTGACTTGGGGAAACAGGGAAGGGCTTATTCCTCTTGCATTGGATCAGTCATTAGATAGGGGTTGTCCCCAAGAAAGTGATATAACCTTGAGTAGGGCTGTTCTTTTCAACCGAGGGCAAGTCCCAGAGAGAAGTTGAGCTGAGGTCTGTCAGCCGGCAACACTGCTGAAGCTGAGGGAGTGATTTCATCCTGGGCAGCCCTCCCCTACCCATAGCCTTTGTTTCTCTCCAATAAACTACATGTACTATATCCTTGCCCCAGGATCTGCTTCTGAGGGAGCCCTCTCTGCAATAGTTATGTTGTAAAGTAGAAAGGATTCCCAAGATGTCTGCCATTAATCTCACTAGCATTACAGGAATGCAAAGAAATTCAGTGGAAAGCACAGAAGCCTGGAGTCAAAAGAGCTGGGTTAGAGATGTCTCCATAGCTAAGTGCTTCAGCTTGAGTACAGCTGCTGATCTTTCTATCACTTTTCTTATCTGTCAAACTAGGAATAACAGTAATTCATCTCAATCTATCTCATAGTTGTATTAAGCTATCAAATGAGATAAAATTTGGCAGAGCTTTTTGCATTACATAGTGCTTACACATATTATTTAAACATAAAAAGCCATTACAGCAAACTCTATGAAACAAACTAGGTAGTTTTTAAAATAATTGGGTTGGATGAGTGCCTGATAGAATTTCTATTTCCATCCTATAAAATATGGAGATAGTGAGAGACGTTCGACGTCTTTGTAGAAAATTTAGAAACAGAAAGCTCTGTAAGAATGAAAATAAGATAAATTATGTTTGAATCTTAGCTCTACCACTTTAAAGCTGACCTTTAAATAAACCACTTAACTTCTTAATAGCTAAATATCCTCATTTATAAAGTGGTAAAATAATATTAAGTTGTTTATGTAAGATCCACTTTTACATATAAGAAGTGTTCAATTATTAATCATTAATTCATCAAATATTTATTGAGGACCTATGTGTGCCAATCATAGTACTAGCTGTCATTAGCTATTTTTGTTTTTAATCAATGATATTGTTACTATTGATACAGGAGGGGGACAGGGAAGTGCTGGGTTCCCTGAGAGAAAGGCGAGTCCCTGGCTAGGGCTCCACCCCCACGAACGTAGGTGAGGACAGGCACTCCCGCTTTCACGCCCAAATGTTGCATTTCCCAAGACCACCCTGGCCCACCAGGCCCCCATCCTGTGCTTATAAAAACCCCCGATACCCTAGCAGGCAGACAGAAGCAGGTTGACAGCGAGAGGAACACATGGGCGGAAGAAAACAAGCGGCTGGAAGTTGAGAGGATGTCAAGGGGGGCATGCCGGGGAAGAGCACACCACTAGATGCCGGCGGCCACGGACTGGCCGAATGAGGCGGAGTTTGTTTGGCTGGAGCCGTTGGAGGAGAGCCAGGACCGCCAAGCGGCCCAACTCCAGGGGAAAACCATCTCCTCTCTGGATCCCTCATTGGCTGAGAGCTGCTGCCACTCAATACAACTTTACACTCATTCTACAAGCCCATGTGTGATCCAATTCTTCCGGTACACCAAGGCAAGAACCCAGGATACAGAAAACCCTCTATCCTTGCGACAAGGTAGAGGTTCTAATTTAGCTGGTTAATACAAGCCACCTATAGACAGCAAACTAAAAGAGCACCCTGCAACACACACCCACTGGGGCTTCGGCTGTAAACATTCACCCTGAGACACTGCCGTGGGGTTGGAGCCCCACAGCCTGCCCATCTGTATGCTACCCTAGAGGTTTGAGCAGCGGGACACTGAAGAAGTGAGCCACACCCCCATCGCATGCCCTGTGAGGGGGACAAGGGAACCTTTCCTGTTTCACTATCATCTTTATTATTATGCTACATTAATCCAGAGAGGAAAAGGAAAATATTACACCATTACTTATCTCCTGGTGTCCCTTAAGCCTCCAATGCTTTAGCAGGTTATTTTCTGCAAAGAAGTTCTTAAATTTTATTCTAGTTGAGCCACAATATTACACGAAATTGAACAAAGTTTTCTGCTTATTCAATAATTAGTAATTGTTAAAACTGAAAAAAGTCACATTTATCTTCTGTTTGTTTTTCTGTTTTTTCTTAAATCTTGGGCAGTAGAGAAGGCGTAGTGAGAAGGCCTAAAGCCTGGAGTGAAATGATTTGATTTTATTTAAATCTTCTGCTGTGCAGCCTTGGAAAGGTTATTTCATCTCTCTCTGCTTCTGTTTATTTATCTGTGAAATGGGATAAAATACTAGTACCTACTTTCTAAAGTTGTTGTGGGGCTGAATGAGTTACTATGTACACTGTGATTAGAAGAGAGCATGGCTCGTAATCAGCACTCAACAACCGTTTCCTCTTCTTATTGTTAAGTACAGGAATGCAATGTTGGATGGTCTCTAATTTGCCACACATGTAAATACTGTTATTTTAAATTTACTGCATCAGTATTCCATTGAGTCCTACAAAAACTACTATGACCTCCGGATAATCCATCATGTTTTCTTCAGTTAACAATTAGAAAAGAGTTCAGACTTCCTTTCTCCCTGAGCAATGCAAACAACACAGAATCATGACCTTCATCTTACAGAATGAAGGTTACATGGACAGGAATGAAGGTTACATGGATAATAACCAGCAAAAATATTTATTCAACATTTTCTGTGGATTTTTGTGTAAATGACATTTTTATGGGACATAGATTGGAAAGTGACGTAACTTTAATTACGTATCTGTAATGAGTGTAAAGATTTTACAAAACAAACTGAAAACTATCTGATAAAATATTCCAGTGAATATTATAAATATTTCAACAGTATTAGAATTCACTATCTCTCAGTGTTGTTTTTATTCTTCTTCTTTGCTAACACTATTTCTTCATCACTATGTTAATGAAATATTTTTTCACTGATTCTTTGTTCCACTGCCATGTCTTTATTTAATCATTCAGCATTAACTTTTATTGACCTCAGAACTTATTATCTCTGTGCTCTCCATAGTATAAAGTACTGTACTACTGTAATTATAAGCTATAATTTGATTCAGTATTTCAATCGCTTTTTAAATTGTTATTTGCAAACTCTTAGTCTCATTATATATAAGTCAACTGTTAAAGTTAGTCATAGCTAACTTTTATTGAGTTTATATTATGTGCCAAGTATTGTACAAACCACTTTACATGCTATTTATTATTCACCAAATCCTCTGAGGTAAGTATTATTACCTTCCATTTACAGAGAAGAAACTGATGCTCAGATAATTTAAATAACTTTTTTTTAAATTAAATAACATGTTTTTATATCTGGTAAGTGTCAGTAGTTCTACTCAAATCATCTTTAACTGAAGTTCAGGACTGTGTGGTCCTCTTGAGATTTCAATACTTTATTACACATAAATAACACTTAGATTATGTCTGATCCTAATTTTATAATATCTAATTTATTCTAGCAAATTGTCTATTTCCTCATAACAATATAAATATACACCATGGCTGAAGGGACTTTGTTATACTCATCCTTGTTTTTCCAGCAAACAGCACACTGCCTGGTATATAGTGGAAACACAATAAATATGTATTAGATGAATAAAAGAACAATAACTGATAAAATTTTAAAAATTACTTTTTGCCTGAAAATTGGTATCTGAAGAGGTAGAAATGCTGTGCTTCTGCCATCTGTCTAAAGGAGCAGTCACAGCTTCTGTTGTAAGCAGATATTAACAATACAGGGAAATCCATCAAAGCTGATAATTAGTGCAAGATTTACTTTAAAAACAACACTTTCTATTCTGAACTAATTGTAGACACCTAGGAAATTGCAAAAAGAATACATAGAGTTCTATGAACTTTTTTAAACACATAATATATAATAACTGTAGAGAATGTAGGGAAAAATAAAGATACAAAGTTAAAAGTAATGACTTTTTCCATAATGAAAATAGTAACCATTGCTGACATTTTAATGCACTGCCTCCCACAATTGCCTATGTTGTCTATGTACAGGCATTTCTAAAGGATTGGAATCAAATTGTATATGATTACTCTCCTAATAGTTTCACTTGGTATTATGATATGAGCATTTTTCTATTATATTAGGTAGCCTTGAAAAATGACACCATGACTCCTAACTCCTATTGCTTTAAATGAATTTACCATAAATAATTTAATTACTCTATTTGAGTATTTGATTTGTTCTTAATATTACTATCATAAATAATGCTGCAATAAACAGAAAAATCATTTATGACAGAGTTGTTATTGACTTAGGATACATTCCTTCATGATAAAATATTTAATAAATAATATAATTATTTTAAATATTATTGATTCATGCCGACACATTTATAACAAAAGAGAATTCATTGACTTTCATACAAGAAAGTTTATGAGTATGATATTAATTAACTCTTATCAAAAGTAGATCTGTCTTTTTAAAAAGCTTTGCTAAGATGATAAACAAAAAGTAATATTTTAGACATTGTTACTTGGAAACCATACTGCCACTGGCGGGGGCCTGCCTTGTCCTGGAAAACATCTGTTAGTGCATCTGGGGCCAGATAGCTAAGCCAGACCTGGGACTACAGAAGCCCAAAGACTTCAGGCTTCCTTTCAGAAACTACTTCATCATACTTCTCTAAATACTCATATTTGATGGACAGCCCTGAAGAACGTTCTAGGGAAATTAGACACCAGGGAGCCATCTTATGGCACTTGATAGAATCAGACCAGTGAGTAGAAGCAGATCTTCCCACGTACAAAGATATCAAGCCATCATACCATCTTAACCAGGTCTTTGTGATAAGTAGCTTTCAGCAATGATAGGCATAGCTGTATTTTAGGAATAAATACTTCCGGGAAATGCCGTCAAGTCACACAACCCTCTAAGGGATTCCATATACCTTCAGCTGTCTCAGTCTTCTGGGGAGCCAGGGGATCTTTCTTAGCTTATGTTTCTGCATGGGGGATCCACCTATAATCAACCCAGGCTACTGATCTGACATGCAGACTGCCTATGTCATCCATCCATGGATGGTATTTCAAAACTCAAGCAGCTCAGCTCCTTAATCTTTCATGTGGGGCTATCTTGCAGACAATCTCTGGGTGGGACGTATACCCCAGCTACCTCAGTCCCTTTAATCTCATAAACGACACCTCCAGACATTGTAGTACAGCAAGATGCCAGTCTCCTACTAAACGAACCTCTGGCACTTCAACGAGAGATTTATCCAGAGTAATTTCTCACGTAAGGGGTAATAATGGCTATCAAAATTGGTTTCTGAGTTTATACCCAAGCTTTCCTGCCATCCAAAACTATGCCCTCTCAACCTTATTTTAGCCCATTCCCAATTCCTCTGTGCCCCCAGCCACAATGTGATTGCTGCTGCCACAGTTTTGAACACTGATTTACCTCCCCTCCTACCGCAAACTACTCCAATAATTAAAGAACTATGTAGTCTAATGAGCCCTTCCTGCAAGTTCTGCCTGGAGACAGTCATGTTTTAAATGTAACTTTGTAAATGTACCCCAGGTATACTTACTGAATTGAATAACACATACTTTTCTAGTTCACAGTATTCCTATTATCTACCCAGGCAGGGCTTCTCCTTTGCTTTTTAACTCTTTATTCCCCAAACAGGCTACATTTTATCGAAATCCATAAGGTATGTTATAGGAGAACTTCAGCTTCTCTTGTGTTAGAATAACTAGCATCAGACTTGCCTTTCTGCCATAAACAACTAGACTACTAGATAAAAGTATATTGAACAACTCTATTAAACATTTGACTACGGAAAGCCATTTTAGACATTAGACTTGTATACACGGCTGCCATCCCTGAGAGAAAGAACATACATGAGGTGAGTTCTGTGATTATCCTAATGTTTTACACATAGGACCATTCTAGTGTACCAGAGGAAGACAGGCAGCCCAAGCAGAAAACTTTAGTCACACTGAGTTGAGGAGACAGAGATTAAAGGTGGGGAGAAGAGACGAAGGTGGTCAGAAGGTATGGGGCAAAGTATAGCAGAGGAGGAAGATTGGCAAATTATCGTTTCAGATATCTGCACAATGATCCCCTTGAGTCTCTTCCAGACAATAAATGGTAGCATACATAATAAAACTCCACAAAGTTAGGCGAGGCAAAGAATAATCAGATGAACAATTCTGAGAGCTGATAGTAAAATTCTGGCAATCCAGAGTGGAAAGATCTTGTAGAATACCCAGGAAATTCATGAGGTACCCCCAAAGAGTAAGGCAAAATTAGTAAGGCTAATCTAGAATTGCTGTAATAATTTTCAAAACAAAGCCTCAAAATGATTAAGCTAGTCCACAAGTTATACAACTGCTACCCACAAAAAAACTTAACTCTCTTTTAAAAGGACAACAAAGGCCGGGCGCAGTGGCTCACGCCTGTAATCCTAGCACTTTGTGAGGCTGAGGCCGGCGGATTGTCTGAGCTCAGGAAATCCAGACAAGCCTGGGCAACACGGGAAAACCCTGTCTCTACTAAAATACAAAAATGTAGCCGGATGTGACGGCGCGCACGTGTAGTCCCAGCTACTCAGGAGTCTGAGGCAGGAGAATCGCTTGAACCCGGGAGGCGGAGGTTGTGGTGAGCCGAGATCGCGCCACTGCACTCCAGCCTGGTGACAGAGCGAGCTTCCGTCTCCTTAAATAAATAAATAAGTAGACAACAAAACACACTCAAAAATGTAATATTCTCAATGACAAGCATCTAAGAAACATAGTAAACAAAGCAGCTGAAAAAAGCCGTAATCTAGAGAAAAATCAGTCATTAGAAACAGACTAGTCCGGGCGCGGTGGCTCATGCCTGTAATCTCAGCACTTTGGGAGGCTGAGGTGGGCGTATCACCTGAGGTCGGGAGTTCAAGACCAGCCTGACCAACAGAGGGGCGACACCGTCTCTACTAAAAATACAAATTAGCTGGGCGTAGTGGCGCATGTCTGTAATCCCAGCTACTCGGGAGGCTGAGGCAGGAGAATCACTTGAACCTGGGAGGCGGATATTGTGGTGAGCAGAGATCGTGCCGTTGCACTCCAGCCTGGGCAACAAGAGCGAAACTCCATCTCCAAAAAAAAAGAGAAAAGAAAAAAAAAGAAACAGACTCAAACATGACAGAATGATTGAATTAGCAAAGAACTTTGAAAAAGTTATAAATATGTTCAAGGACTTATTAACACAATGAGTAAAGAAATGAAAGATGAGAGACAAGACCAAACAATCTCTAAAACTGAAAATTAGCATATTTGAAATTAAAAAGAAATTACTGGTTGGACTTAACAGAAGATAAGACAGAACCGAAGAAATAATCAGGTGGGTCTTATCCTAGAAATGCAAAGCTACTCTAACATTAAAAAGTAAATATTATAATTCACCATATTGACAGGATAATGGGAAAAATATTACATGCTAATCTCAATATATTTCTAAAAGACACTTGGAAAATAGTAACGCACATTTATAATAAAACTATCAGTAAACCAAGAATAGAAAAGAACGTATTCGTCTGAAGACCACTTAGGGAAAACATATAGCTGACAGATGGAATGCTGAAGGGCTGAACCCTTTTGTTAATGAAACACTTGTTTCTCTAAGACTAGAAACAAAACAATGGCTTCCGTTTCACCACTTTTATTCAACATAGTACTAAAGAATCTAGCCAATAAATGAGGCAAGTTAAAAAATTCACATAGATTTAAAATGTAGAGGTAAAACAATGTAAAGATTTCATGGTAACATATGTAGAGAATTTAAAAACATCTACAAAGAAAGCAAATGGAATTAATAAATAAACTTGTAAAGTTTTAGGATACGAGATTATTATACAAAAATCAATTATATTTCTACATACTTGTGACAAACAAATGGAAAAAAATTTTTGAAAGAATTGGTATATATAGTGGACACACAACAAATACGTATTGGATTAATAAAAGGACATTAACTGATAAAATTTTATAAAATTTATATATATTTATAAAATTTGATCAGTTAGTGTCCTTTACAATGGCATGAAAACCATAAAATGTGTAGAAATAGGTATTACCATGTGCAAGATATGTGACAACTCTAAAACTTAGCTGAGAGAAATTAAGCCCTAAGGAAACAAAAAGATATGTCATTTTTATAGATGGGAAGATTCAATACTGCTAAGATATTAATTCTCCCCAAATTTATCTGAAAATTAACACTGGGTAGTTATTTAACACTACTCAGTTCAAAATCTCAAAAAAATTTTGTGTAAAGATTTAAATGGAAATGCAAAGGACTAAAATATACAAACTAACTAAAAAAAAAAAAACTAGAAGACAGAGTTTACTCAGTGTATGGATCTATTTTCAAGACATAAAGCTACAATAATGAAGGCAATATAATGTTGGTAGAAAGACAGGCATACAGATCAATGAAACAGAAGAGAGAGACCGAAAATAGATCCGTAAGTATATTATTAATTACTTTTTAACATTTTGACATGAGTAGCAAAAAAAATTAATGGAGAAATGATAGTGTTTTTCACAAATTGTGCTGGAAATCCTATATTCATACGGCATAAACAAATGAACCTTCACCTTTACCTCACACCATACACAAAAATCAACTCAAAATATAATTAGCACAATTAATCTTTAGAGATAGAAAGTAGGTGAATGAGTGTCTGTGGTTGAGGTGGGGGAAAATTGACTGCAAAGAAACATAAGGGAACATTTTGGCATTGATTGAAATGTTCTATATCTTTATTTTAGTGGTGCTTATATTCTTGTGTATATCCGTCAAACACATGAAGCCATATCCTTAAAGTGACTGACTTGTATTGTTGTTCATAAATTATAGCTAGAAAGTTAATTTTAAAAAGCTAAAATGATGTGCATACTCCTGTAAAATATATAAAGGTGTTTTAAGTGTATCTTTCAAATTTGCCTAAATGAGGTTGTGCTGTAAATCTCATTTTAAAAACTTTTTTGTCATGCAGTAGTTTTCCAAGACCTACCCTATGTTGTGTTTATTGTTTATTTTGTCTGGTTATTTAAATTTATAGGAATAAAATTATGATATTTCTACCATATTTAAAAAAATTTGTTATTTCTCTAATTATGTTCCTCTTCTGTCCTAATATTGTTTATCTGCGCCTTCCCTAGGTTAAAAAAAAATCTCAGTTGAGTTTTTTATTTTACTATCTTTCAAGAAACAAGTTTGTCTTTTAATTATCTTCTCTTGAATATTTTGTTTCTCTTGTTATCTTTATTTTCTTCCTCATTTATTTTGGGTTCACTTCCATTTCTTACTTAGCAAGCCATGTAGTTGATAAGCTTTACCCTTTATTCTTTTTTGATAGAAATGTTTTATAATATAGATTTCTCCCTAAAAATACATACAGTTTCAGTTGTACCCCATAGTTGTTATAGGTCATATTTACGTGATTGTATTAAAAAATCACTATTGAAGTAAAAGTCAAGTTTTACATTTGTCATAGAATTATAGTAAATAACTCTCATCAAAGCAAAATTACCTTTGGATTTTTACCTCTCTACTGATAAACTATACATATAATACTTTAATATCGATGATATAATGGAGTGGTAATTATAATTAAAATATAATAAAAATATAAAACTCACATATTAGACTTATATATTTAAAAATTTACCAAGAACTTTTTGGAAAATATAGTTATATTCATGTTTAATATGAACAAAAGAGTACTGTCTTGAGTAGCCACAGATTCTTAAACTGATAATTAAAGAGCAATAATCCAAGCTCATTTTCATGAAAGAGAAAAGAAGTCCAAAGATATTTTGGGTGTGATTCTAGAAGTCCAGCTAGTTTATTTAAAAGTTAAGTTAAACTTGAAGAAATCTTTTCTATTTTCAGAATTTGAAACTGGCATGATAAACAAGCCCATGAAGGAAAAGACGATTTCTTTTAATTAACTGTCCTTTGTTCTACTGGCAAGAATGAGCCTCGGATGGAGTTGGAAGAAAATGAACACACATTGACAATCTAAGTGAAAGCCTGATTTAAGAAAAATTAATGTTCTGCTTAACGTTTATTTATCAAATCATCAATTGATGGACACTTAGGTTGATTCCATGACTTTTCAATTATGAATAGTGCTGCTATAAACATACAAGTGCAGGTATCTTTTTGATATAATAATTTATTTTCCTTTGAGAAGATAGTAATGGAATTGCTAGATCAAATGGTAGTTTTATTTTTAGCTTTTTGAGAAATCTAGATACTGTTTTCCATAGAGGTTGTACTAGTTTACATTCCCACCAACAGTGTATAAGCATTCCCTTTTTTCTGCATCCTTGCCAACATCTGTTATTTTTTGTCTTTTAATAATAGCTATTCTGATGGTGTAAGATGATATCTCATGGTGGTTTTCATTTGCATTTCTCTAATGATTAGTGATGTTAAGCATTTTTTCATATGCTTGTTGGCCATTTGTATGTCATCTTTTGAAAAATATCTATTCATGTCATTCACCAACTTTTTAATGAGGCTATTTTTGTTTTGTTATTGTTGTTGATCTGTTTGACTTCCTTGTAAATTATGGATATCAATCCCCTGTAAGACTTATGCTTTGCAAATATTGTCTCTCATTTTGCAGATTGTCTGTTCACTGATTATTTCTTTTGTTGTGCAGAAGCTCTTTAATTTAACTAAGTCCAATTTGTCTATTTTTGTTTTCGATGCTTGTGCTTTTGGGGTCTTAGTCATGAATTCTTTGCCTACACCAATGTCCGGAAGACAGGAAGATATTCTCTTAGGTTTTCTTCTAATATTTTCATAGTTTTAGGACTTACATTTAAGTCTTTAGTCCATCTTGAGTTAATTTTTGTACATGGTGAGAAATGAGGGTGCAGTTTTATTGTTCTGCATACAGAAATCCAGTTTTCCAGGCACCATTTATTGAATAGGTTGTCCTTTCCTCGGTTTGTTTCTGTTGACTTTGTCAAAGGTCAGTTGGAAGTAGATATTTAACTTTATTTCTGGATTCTCTATTCTTTTCCATTGATCTAAGTGTCTGTTTCTACTCAAGTACCATGTACCTTGTACCATGTACATGTATTGGTTATATAGCTTGTAGTATAATTTGAGGTCAGGTAATGTGATGCCCCCAGCTTTATTCTTTTTACTACAAATTGCTTTGGCTATTCAGGGTCTTTTTTGGTTCCATATGAATTTCAGGATTTTTTTCTAATTCTGTGAAAAAATGACTTTGATATTTTGATAGGGATTGTATTGACTCTGTAGATTGCTTTGTGTATTATGGTCATTTTAACAATATTAATTCTTCTGATCCATGAGCATAGAATGTTTTTCCATTTGTGTTATCTACAGTTTCTTTCATCAGTGTTCTGTAGTTTTTCCTGTACAGATCTTTCACCTCCTTGGTTAAATATACTATCCGGTATTTTATTTTATTTTATTTTTTATAGCTATTATATATAGGATTGAGTTCTTGATTTGGTTCTCCACTTGATTGTTATTGTTGTATAGAAATGTCACTGCTTTTGTACGTTGATTTTGTATTCTGAAACCTTAAATAATTCATTTATCAAATCTAAGAGCTTTCTGAAGGAGTCTTTAGGGTTTTCTAGGTATATAATCATATTGTGAGCAAACTGAGATAATTTTGCTTTCTCTTTTCCAAGTTGAATGATCTTCCTTCCTTTCTTTCATTCCTTCCTTCCTTCCCTCCCTCCTTCCTTCTTCCTTCCTCCCTCCCTCCCTTTCTTCCTTTCTCTCTTCTTTTCTTTATCTTTTTCTTTTTTCTTTTCTTTCACCTAATTGCTTTGGCTAGGAATTTTAGTAATATGTTAAATAGGAGTGGTGAAAGTGGTCTTGTCTTTTTTCAGTTCTTTGGGGAATTGATTTCACCTTTTCCCCATTCAGTGTGATGCTAGCTGTGGGTTTGTTGTATATGGCCTTTATTATTTTGAGGTATGTTTATTCAATGCCTAGTTTGTTTAGGGTTTTTATCCTGAATAAACATTTAATTTTATCAAATGCTTTTTCTGCATCTACTGAGATGATCATGAGGTTTTTGTTTTTAATTCGGTATATGTGATGAGTCACATTTATTGATTTGTGTATGTTGAACTATCCTTATATCACTGGAATAAAATCCACTTGACCATGGTGTATTATCTTTTTGATGTGCTATTGGATTTTGTCTGCTAGTACTATGTTAAAGATTTTTGCATCTGCGTTCATCAGGGCTATTGTTCTGCATTTTTTGTTATTGTTGTTCTGTCCTTGTCTGTCTTTAGTATCAGGATCATACTGACTTTACAGAATGAGTTAGGGAGGATTCCCTCCTCTTCAATTTTTTGGAACACTTTTAGTAGGATTGGTACCAGCATCTTTGTATGTTTGGCAGAATTTGCCCGTGAATCCATCTGATCTTTGACTTTTTTGTTGTTGGGAGATCTTTTATTAGTGATTCAATCTCACCACTCATTATTGGTCTGTTTAGAATTTCTATTTCTTCTTGGTTCAATCTTGGGAGGCTGTTTCCAGGAATTTATCCATTTTCCTCGAGGTTTTCTAGTTTGTGAGTATACAGGTGTTCATAGAAGTCTCTGATAATCTTTTGCCTTTCATCTGTGTCAGTTGTAATGTCTCCTTTTAAAATTCTGATCGTGTTTATTTGGATCTTCTCTCTTCTTGGTTAGTCTAGCTAGTGGTTTAGATTGTTACTTTCTAAGATGGACTTAATTTTTAATAGACTTATTTTTTAGATAACGTTTAGATTCACAGCAAAATTGAGTGAGTGGCAGGTACAGAGATTTCCTATATACCCTCTGGCCCTACATATGCACAGCCTCCCCCATTACCAATATTCCCCACCAGAATGGTACAATTGTTACAATTAATGAACCTACATTTACATGTAATTGTCACCCATAAGCCATAGTTTGTATTTGAGTTTACTCAGTGTTGCACATTCTATGTGCTTGGAAAATTGTATAATGACATAGATCCACCATTACAGTACAATACAGAATAATTTCAGTGCTATAAAAATCCTTGGTACTCTGCCTATTTATTCCTCCCTCTCCTCAACCTTTGGCAAGAACTCATCTTTTTACTGCCTGCATAATTTTGCCTTTTACAAAATGTTGTATCATTGAAATCATGCAGTATGTAGCTTTTCCAGATTGGCTTCTTTATCTTAGTAATATGCATTTACATTTCCTCCATGTGTTTTCATTGCTTGGTACCTCACTTATTTTGGGGGATGTATAATATTCTATTGTCTGGAGACATCACAATTTATCTATCTACTTACCTACTAAAGGACACCTTGGTTGCTTCCAAGTTTTGGAAATTACGAATAAAGCTGCTATAAATATCCATGTACAGGTTTTTGTATGGACGTAAGTTTTCACTTCTTGGGTACATGTCAAGGTGCACAAATGCTATATCATATGGTAAGAGTATGTGTAGTTTTATAAGGAACTGCAAAAATGACTTCCAAAATAGTGGTACCATTTTGCATTCCAAACAGCAATGAACAAGACTTCCCATTGCTCCACATTCTCACCAGGATATGGTGTTGTCAGTATTCGACCTTTTTTTTTTTCTTGAGAGAGAGTCTCACTCTGTTGCCAGGCTGGAGTGCAGTGGTGCGATCTCGGCTCAATACAATCTCCACCTTCTGGGTTCAAGCGATTCTCCTGCCTCAGCCTTCTGAGTAGCTGAGATTACAGGTGCGTGCCACCACACTCAGCTAATTTTTGTATTTTTAGTAAAGACGGGGTTTCACCATGTTGGCCAAGATGGTCTCGATCTCCTGAGCTCGAGATCCACCCGCTTTGGCCTCCCAAAGTGCTGGGATTACAGGCATGAGCCACTGCGCCCGGCCTTTTTTTTTTTTCTTTTGACTACTCTAATAGGTATGTAGTGGTATCTCATTGTTCTTTTAATTTGCATCTCCCTGATGACATATGATGTCCAGCATTTTTTCAAATGCTTATTGTGAATAGAGCTATATTGTTATTATCTATCCCTATCTCTTCTCAAGTGAATTGTCTGTTAAGGTCTTTAACTCATTTTTAATTGATGTATTTGCATTCTTATTGTGGAGTTATTTGCATATTTGTAATAAGTCTTTTACTGGTATGTCTTTTGCAAATATTTTCTTAATCTGTGGCTTGTTTTTTCATTGTCTTGACAATGTCTTCCACAGAGTAGAAATTTTTAGTCTTAAAGAGGTCCAATTTATCAATTCGTTCTTTCCTGGATTGCTCCTTTGGCATTGCAACTGCAAAAATCTTCACCAAGCCCCAGGTCATCTAGTTTTTCTCTTATGTCATCTTCTAGGAGTTTTATAGTTTAGCATTTTACATTTAGGTCTGTGATACAGTTTGCATTAATTTTTGTAAAGGGGGTATTGACTGCATCTAGATTCAGATTTTGTTTTTTGTTTTGTTTTGTTCTGTTTTTTGTACGTGGATGTATAATTGTTCCAGCACCCATTATTTGAAAAGACTATTGTTTTTTCAATTGTATTGTCTCTGCTCCTTTGTTAAAGATTAGTTGATTATATTTAAGTTTATTTCTGAGCTCTCTGTTCTCTTCCATTGATCTGTTTTTCTGTTCTTTTGCCAATACAACACTGTCTTGATTACTGTAGCTTTATAGCTAGTCTTGAAGTTGGATAGTGTCAGTCCTTCAACTTTGTTCTTCTTTGATGTTGCATTGGCTATTCTGGATCTATTGCCTCTCCATATAATTTGTATTTAAGTTTATTTCTAAGCTCTCTATTCTCCTCCACTGATCTGTCTGTTCTTTTGCCAATATCAGCTTGTCTTGATTACTGTAGCTTTTTAGTCATGAAGTCAGATATTCTCAGTCCTTCAACTTTGTTTTTCTTTAATACTGCATTGGCTACTCTGGATCTTTTGCCTCTGTGCATAATCTTTAGAATCCAGCTTTTCAATATACACAGTATCAGTGGAGTGCAGTGTCTCACACCTATAATCCCAGCATACCAGGAGGCTGAGGTGGGAGGATTGCTTGAGCCCAGGAGTTTGAGAATAACCTGGACAACATAATGAGACCCCATTTCTACAGAAAATTTAAAAATTATCTGGGCATAGTGGTGCTTGCCTGCAATCTTGGCTATTCAGGAGGTTGAGGTGAAAGGATTGTTTCAGTCAAGAGCTCAAGACTATATTGAGCCATGATCACACCACTGCACTCCAGCCTGGGCAAGAGAGAGACACCTAGTCTAAAAAAAAAAAAAAAAAAAAAAGGAAAAAAGAAATCACAGTATTCACAAAATAACTTGCTGAGATTTTAATTGGGATTGTGTAAATTAAGATAAAATTATATTGATGAATATGGAATATACTCACATTAGTTCTTCTTTGATTTCTTTAATCAGTGTTTTTATAGTTTTTCTCATATAAATCTTGTCCATATTTTATTAGATTAACACCTAAGTTTTCACTTGGGAAGGTGTCGATGTAAATGCTATTATATTTTTAATTTCAAATGCCATGTGTTTATTTCTGATACATAGGAAACCAATTGACTTTTCTACATTAACTGTGTATCCTGTAATTCTGCTGTAATTGTTTATTGATTCCAGAATTTGTTTTGTTTATTCTTTCAGGCTCTCTACATAGATGATTATGTTGTCCGAACAATGAAAGTTTTCTTTCTTTCTTCCTAGTCTGTCTACTTTATTTCCTTTTAGTATATTATTGCATTAGCTAGAAACAATTTTTTTTGCACACTCCTTTGGAACAGAGCTAAGCTTGTCAGTTTTTAGATTTCCCTTGAATTTGTCCAAAAAGTTTTGGAGCAAGCTGTTTGTTTTTTCTATTATATAAAATCAGTTTCCAATGGACTGAAAAAGTCTTAGTAAAATCCAGAGAGCCATGTCAATACTGAGTCCCGCTGCATGCACTACTGTCTCACACAGTAAGCGATCTAAGCTGGAACCTGATGATGTGCAGCATCACGTGCAGGTGTCCAAGGATCAGACCAAAGTCAAGGTCAGCAGTGTTTCATAGCTTTTCCATGAGGCTGAAGCTCACCACAGAGCCCATCTGGTAGTTTTGGCTCAAGTAAACCACAAACTAGAGAAATATCTGAGAATATTTACTGAACCTAAATTATCTCAAACCAGAATGGATCATCAGTGGAGCTGAATAAATGGAAAAACAGCGACTGATTTAAAGAATTTGTAAATTCCCACATTATCTAATATTCCTTTTTTTCTTCTTTGCCTTAAATTTTTTATTAAAATATTTTATATTTTTAATTGTACAATATGTAATAAATGCAAGTATGTTCTAATTGTATTTATTTATAATAATTTATAATGTAGAAATATTATAAAACATATAAATAAAATTAGAAAAAATTTCAAATAAGTGGAAAGAATAGTATCATTGAACCCCATATTTAATAATTATTAACACTGTGCTAAGTTTTTTTTCTCCTCTCTTTGCATTCTCTCTCTCTTCTACACACACACACATATATATACACATATGTGCATTTCCTAAATCATTTCAAAGTAAATTACAAATTTACACTTCATCATGTATCTACAAAAAATAAGGTTATCTTCCTAGATTATAATACACCAGTATCACACATAACAAAATTAAAATATTTCTAATATAAGCTATAATTAAGTCTATTCAAACTTCCACAGTATACTCACTATTATTTTTTGGAATCGAATTAAGAATGAGCATTACATTTGGATGTTATATCTCTTGACTCTCGTTCTTTGCACATTTTCACTGGTGTTTTATATACATACTCTTGACTCTTTTCTAATTGAAACAGGACTCATCTATTATTTTTACATTTTATTGTTGCTGTTGAGATGAGACATACATACAGCAAGGTATACATAATCCCATAAATTTTCCTTTATTGACTCATCCAGCTATATCCAACAGACATGTTGCTTTGTTATTCATTCATATTATCACTCATTTTAAAGTATTTTATATTTTTCTTATGATTTTTTCTTTGAACCATGAATTATTCAGAAGTGTATTGTTTGACTTTATCTATTTTTACTTTTTAAATATTTTGAATTATATATGAGTAATTTAAATTATTGATTCAACTTACATATGAGGTTTACATATATTTTTATTGGAGAGTGCTGCTCTATATCTTTGTTAATTTTTTGACCATCTAATTTATCAGCTTAAGAGACATATGTGTTGGGCTTGTATAAAGTTAAGGAGTATTACCTGCGTTCCTAATTTTCTGAATATTTTCATTACAAATATTATTGCACTTCATTGAATTCTTTTTCGTCTATTGCAATAATCATCTTTTTCTCCTGTAGTCTAATAGAGTTGCAAATTATATTGGAAAAAAGTAATACCTCTTTGTTGTTTTAGGTTGAGTCTTAAATTTAACAGTGAAATTGAAAATTAAAGACAGAGAACGAGAATTTCAAGTGAGTGAGAAAATGAAACTCAAGACAGTGTGGAGTCACTGAAACCAAGGTTAAGGGTTGTTTCAACTTTATTAAAAGAGAATGATGAGTGATCAACTAAGCAGAGTACTAAAAATATGTCAGGTAAATCATAAAACCCAGAAGGCAAATCTAAAAAGTCTGATTTTACTGTGGTTTTATGAAATAATTCAAACTAACATAGTTTGAAGATAGAGTAAGAGGTGACAAAATAAGATCTAAACTTGATCGTCCTCACTTATTTTCCTCTAACCCAGAGGTTTGCTTTCTAAGCTAGAAGAAAATCTGCACCATGACATTTCTACCTTCTTTACCCTCAGAATCATCTATCAACCTCTGAAGACACATGCTCCAAAAACAAAATTTTCCTTCATCTCTCAGAAAAATAGCATATACTAGAGAATTAACTGGTGCAATTATAATTATTTGACTATTATTCTAACATGGGATATTAATGATCAGATATTACCTTTGATTTCAAGAAACTGTTGCTATAAACATAAAGCAGAAAATTCTGAAGGAAAAATGTTTATTGTTTTTACATATTAATATTATTTTGCAAAGTAAAGCTTCCTGTGATGTGACTTTTAGGCAGAGAAAAATATCACATTTCATAATTGAAGCTATTTTCCAATATCTTGCAGATAGTTCACTCTTATATTACTTCCCTATAACAACCTAATTCCCATTGATATTTTATTAAGCTATCTCCAAAACTGAGATGTTAATCAAGATTTGGATGGGAAAATGATGTAAATCCTTATGTTCAACACCATGACTATCTGGTTTATTTCTACATAATGACTTAAAAGATCTTACCCACAGGCTTCAGACCAGAATTAGTGTAATATTCCATTTTCAAGTCTACTGTGTAGCAACCCAGTCTTCATTCTGCATTAATGTTAGTGTTATAAAAAGAAGCATTTAAAATCAGTAATAGGATTTGTAATATTAATGAATAAATTTTCTACTCATTTGTATTTCTATAGTTCCATTAGAGTTCCTGTTTGTCCATTTATTTTCTCAAACCTAGTGATAATAGTTTTGTGTCATATAACGACAGGGATATGTTCTGGGAAATGCTTCACTAGGCGATTTTGTCATTGTGCAAACATCATAGAATGTACTTACATAAACTTAGATGGCATAGTCTACTACACACCTAGACTATGTACCACAGCCTATAGTTCCTAGGCTACAAACCTGTACAGCATGTTACTATACTGAATACTATAGGCAATTGTAATACAACAGTATTTGTGTATTAAACATAGAGAGGTTACAGTAAAAATACGGTATTAAAATCTTATGGAACCACCATCATATACATCGTCTATCATTGACCAAAATGTCATTATGTGGTACATGGCTGTAATTTGAACTTTGAAATATTAGATGGTGATTCACAAGTAGTTTTCCAATGTATCACTTTTTGTTCTTTTCCTTTTTAAATTTCTGGAAGACTTTTCTGCTTATCTGTTTTTAAGAATAATGCCTCATGTGCTTGAAATTACATAATCGAATAAGTAAAAAATAAAAGACCATAAATATTGTACATGAATCTTTCATTGTATCTAACAATTTATTGTGAGAACTAAGTTATTATTCTTAACATTAAAACAAAACGCAAGCTGGAATGCCTTTCCTTATTTTTAATTTTTATTATGTATAATAGAAAAAATTCCTAATCACCATTTAGAGTAGAATGTAATTGTATTTGTAGAATATATCTAGAAACATGACTTTTTGTGATTGATTTCATACTAACTTGCAAATAAAAATTTTCACCCTAGAAATGCATTTGTAGTATCTTTCTAAATTTTGGAGGCCTTACTTAATGGATTAAACTGTTAGAAATTATGATGTTATGTGGCCTATATTGCACTACTGAAATAACAGGAGCAAAATTATACAGAAATGAAAATGCCCAATTTGTTACCAAAAAAAAACCCTTTTAAACTAAAATTACTTACCTTGAGTTAATAAAGCAGAGTAAGCAGATATGTCACCTCTGACATATATAATCTAAATATACAGGAATGCCAGATTTTAAAAATGACAAAATATTATAAATATTACAGCTTGAAACCAAGAATAAAACATCTAATAACTCAAAGTGGTTTACTAATGTTTCAGAAGACAACATCCAGGACTTACAGTTTTATCCTCTGTATGCAAGAGGTGTTCAAGCTAAGGGCCTACTGTACACGAAGCCAGGATATCTCAAAATTACTCTACATAAAAATCTATGTACTAACTCATAAAAGCAACAAGGAGGCTGCCACCTTTCTGGAGCCATGGGTAGAAATAAACAAGGCCATTGAACCTGGCGCCTATGCTACACCCATGTGAGGGCCAAAACACACAGTTGTTATGATAATGGATCTCATGACAAGTACCAAACATAAAAATAGTCTATAATCAATAAAACATATGAGTCCTAACAGAGGCAAAATATTAAGTCATCTCTGTAAAGTCACTTCTATAACTTGGGCACTCCCATAAAAAAATGTCAGTGACGTTATCAAAAATCACAAACTGCCACTTGTGAAATACAAGATAATTCCAAATGAGAATTACAAGATTATTCTAAAAGTGACATTTAGACTAAGAATGTTTTAAATATTCAAAGATAATAAAAATGGAACAGAAACCATAAGGCAAAAACAGAACAGTATGTGATAAATTGATTTTCTCTGTACTTAGTGAAATATTTCATTCAGAAAACCTACTACATGTCCCAAAAGTCTGGGATGAGTTTCTGAATCTAATCTGGAAAATCATAAAAGGATGGAGATGAGTGGACCTCCTGATCTGAAAGTAGGTTGAAGGCAAAGTGCTACACCATTTTGATATACACTCTCATTATGTTTTAGGGCCAAGCATGTATCAGTGATTTCCTTGGGCCAGATGTAGGCGAGGTGGAAGAAAGAGCATCACTGGAGGAATAGACATAGTTAGAATTGGGAAGCTTAAGACAGGGACAGCAAAAAACTGCAATCAGGATACATTCTCCCTAATCTGGGAAATGCAGATGGGAGTACCCTACAAGTTAAGCAGGGTGGGGGAGAGAAACGGCAAACTACTTGAAGACCCATCAAAGTACCCAAAAGAGAAAGATTTAGCTGTATAAGCCTGCCCCTGTCTACACTCCTGAAGGCTTACCTGTAAGGATTGCATCAAACCCCTAGATGCTGGCTGGTTTTAGGCAGTGGAAGATCTTGGAGGGTAGAGTAAAAGAACCTGGTTAATTTATTCCCCTGGCATTCTCACAGCTGGGCTGCAGATTGGCAGTGCCTGTATTTCTCCACTTAAGGTCAAAGCTGTTGGGTGTGATCTCAGGGATGGTAGTGGCTTTACAACTTCACTGAGGATGTTTCACTTTCCCTTAGAAAACACTCCTTTCACTACACTCTTGGCCATCACTCCGTTTGCACATGTTCCCTGCCAGGACATTAACTGATACAGACCTTTATCTGTTAAGTCAGAACTTTGCCTGTCTCCTTACACCTTCTCCCTACTCAACTTCCTTCCACCCTGCAGGACACAGAATCAAGGTTAAGAAGCCAAGGAAAGCCCTGTAGAAACTCAAGGCAGAGAGAAAACAAAGCATATATCTGCTTTTCCAACCTCAAGCTTTCCTTATGCACCCGAACCAGGCTAGGAATGGGAAGAAGTTTCAACACTAAATCAGGTTTGGAGTTTTGACTATTACGTAGGACTGGAATGATTCTACAAGACTGGAAAATTTAATTACCAAATTAAGACAATACTCAGTGCATTAAATAACCATGTAACTCTGTTTTAACCAAGGGCTGCTAGAAATGCCATAGACTACCCAAATTTCTGTCTAGTACTTGAAAAGAGTAAATATCCAGATCATCTGTTAAAAGGAAAGGGAGACACATGGGATTGTTTCACCATTAAATTCCACAACCTATGCTTGTCCAATTTATGACTTACAGGTAGAAGCAAACATAGGTTTTAAGGCTATACACCAAAATCTTGATGGTGGTAGCCCTTGGAGAGATAGCAACTAAAGGTGGCTAAATATTATACCTTTATCTACTTTATATTTTTAACAGAAAATATATCTAAGCAGGAATGTTAATATTTTTAAAAGTTTTGAATGGTGGGTGCTTGAATGTTTATTATTATTGTTATTATTATTATTTGAGATGCAGTCTCTCTCTGTCGCCCAGGCTGGAGTGCAGTGGCACGATCTTGGCTCACTACAACCTCCACTTCCTGGGTTCAAGCAATTCTTCTGCCTCAGCCTCCCAAGTAGCTAGGATAACAGGCATGTGCCACCATGCCTGGCTTTTTTTTTTTTTTTTTTTTTTTTAGCAGCCATGGGCAGGGCGGTCTCGATCTTCTGACCTCATGATCCACCTGCCTTGGCCTCCCAAAGTGCTGGGATTACAGGCATGAGCCACCGTGCCCGGACTGTTGTATTTTTACTGGTACTTTTTCCTCTCTTTAAACTCGGCCTCAATGTGTTCTTAGTCTTCCCAAATCCTTCTTTTGTCAAACCCTCAAAAACCGTTGACTTACACTGTTAGCCTGAAAAATGGCCCTACTCTTGGTCATTTCTTAGTTTACAATCTGCTTTGAAATTTCAAGTGTCCTTACAAAGGCAGAAATTCAAAACTGTAGTGCAATGATATAAATGCCAATGGGGAACTAAATGACATTTTTAGTTACAGCTCATTTTGCAGTTATAATTAGGGGCAGTCAGACATGGGCCTGTAACTCAAGAACTTAATGGGAATCCCTGAAGCAGAACTATTGAACTGACAAGTGAGTCTGTAAGAACTAGAAATAACACACCCCCAACAAGGATCTTTCACTGAAATGACTTCCTAAATTTAGAAGTTTACAGTTGTCTGTTTTATGGCTACTATTTAGAATCAGATTTTTTTTCTACACAAACCACTCCAAACCCTTCAGTCAATGTTAAATTGCTGTTTTACAATTTTATTGGTAGCATTTTGGGCCTTTGACAAGACCATCCCCATGCTCTGAAAATGATCAATGTGCATTGTACTTGATGTCACCTAAATTGGGCCATCAATTGGCCAATTCTAGCTAGACGTCAAAACTTTAAAAAAGTAAATCTAACACTTAATAAACACACACACACACACATCCCAGAAAAACTAGAAGTGTAATATCTTTCTTGAAATCGATTGATGAGACACCAAAAAGGAATTATGTTTTATAACAAGGAGCAAGACTTTCTAAAAACCATCTTTGCCCAATTCTATTCTAAATCCCTCTTATAATATGGCACCTATTTCTCAAACTCTCTTCTATCTCTTCTGAAACTTCAACCCATTATTATAATCTACCTCTACCCACTGCTCATATTCTTACCCCGGCTGCCACTCCCCAGATCTGTTTTGTTCTCCCATGAGAATCTTCACATTCTTTCTATTCTAAATAAATGTATCCTCTTTTAGTAATTCTTTAGTTCTTCTTACCCAATGCTCTAATCAGAGTATTAAAATCTCAAGCACTTGTTAGATTATAAAAATAATTTTCCTAGGAGAATTTAGAGAAAAGAAACATAGGATTGCCAGGTTTTGCCAATAAAAATACAGGAGACTAAGTTAATATAAATTTCAGATAAACAACAAATATATTATTTAGTATAAGAGTGTCCCAAGTAAAATAATAAACATGTCCCAATATAATTTGGACATGTTTATACTAAATATATACTTGTGATTTATTTGAAATTAAAATTTAACTGGTATCCTGTAATTTACCTGCAACCTTAGAAGAGAAGATTTTTAAATATGTTTTTATTTCTGACCTTGTGACACACATAAAACACAGAGATCTAAGCAACACTTACGGTTCCTCATCTCAGCATGTTCTGATGTTAAGTTTTTGTGATAGGACTACTTCCAATTCATATATCACTCTGGCTTGGTGTTGGTTAGTTTCCTAAGCTTTTCACTTCCATTTCTCTATATATTTGATGACTGTGGTAAGACCCTGCAACTCACTTTGGGAAAATACCCTTGTTATTCATGCTCTCACTTTTTATGTTCACGATCAGCAAAGGGACAGCAAGTGCAAGAAAAATGTAAAAAATGTGATTTCTATCAGCCCAAAAGTAAAAGGAGGGGCTCTCATAATTGTCTTCGCAGCCAAAACCTGAATTACTAACACTAAGATCTCCTCAGACTCCAGGGGAGAAAAGCAAAGGAAGGAGAAACTCAACTTCTAAGATGCTTTGAAGCTTAGTTTGGTCCTGAATACTTTGCAGATGCAATCCCTATGCTGAATTAGATATATGATCCAATTTTCCTCCTTAATCTTTTTGCTCAAAAGAAAGAAAAAAATCCTTTAGTTACTTAATAACTAAGGATTTTAAACCAATTGACCTAAAGCTCCCTGCTTTAGTGGTTTTTGTGCTAATGTACTTGGGCCAAATTATTTAAGTTGTAAAGAGACAGACTTAAGACAAATCTGCTGTTGTTATATGTCATTAATAATCCCACAGGCCATGTGCAGCATTAATTTAAGCAGTAAAAACAAAACACTTCTTGGAACAAATAGCACAGCACACTTAATTTTAGAAGTTTTATAAACAAAGATTGAGTGAAAACTGGTTTCGACATCTTTGGCTAGAGGTATATTAGCAAAAGTATAGATTTGAAAGAAAAGAAGAAAGCAATGAGCTTCTGCCCACAAAATTCATTCGTCTTAATTCATTAGCATATTCTATTGTTCAGAATCTTTAGTTTGACAGAACACGGGAATGTACTACTGAAGGCTCACCCATGGCACCAGCTGACTGACAATTCTGTGAATTTCGGTGCTGTTTTAAGAAGGATATAGTATACTTCTTAAAGTGAAAACCAAAATATGGTTCCATTTTCTCTATGTGATATTAAGTACCAAAAGAAGAAAGTAGGATTGCCTTTTCTCTCTATTATCCCTACTATCTCAGTTGCAGAATCTACAATTCCTTTCCTTATGACCTTGAGCTCAATGTGTTTAGCTATCCTGAGGTCTAAGAGAGGAATGTTTTAATATCAAACATTATCATGGTTCAAGTGATTTGAATGCCACTACCATTTCTTGAGGATTTTATTTTTATATATAATGGTAAACCAACATTCAGAGAAGGGGGCTATTGTACTGGTCAGGATGATTGATCATAATTACCAGGGGCAATTGTATTGATGCTATGCAGCAGACACAAGGAACACCATTTGGATGCAGGGAATTTATTTTTTTTTTTTTTTGCCCAATAGTCTTAATAATGGGGAACTGCAACAACCTAATAAAGACAAGACCACCAAGTACTTAGCTCTTGCCAGAATGAAATGCTGTGTCACCCAACAGGTAAGAAATGCCATTCACTTGATATGTTAGCAGATATTATGGACAAAACTGAATGACTGTTAAAAGAATACAGGGATGATTCCATTGATTTATTCAGGTAAAATTTACATTGCCAGCAAATGGGGCAGTTATGATTTATGTTAATTTATTGTTTATATATTCCTTCATTTTTTCCCATTATATAAACATGGCAGCTAACATTTTTTATTTTAAATGGAAATACAATTAAATTGACATCACTCCATAATGATATGGTAATTGATGTATGAATCAAGGATGAACAGATACTGAAAGGAACAGGTGTGAGACGTAATAGACTTCCATTCGTGTTCCGTATCTGCTTTCTACTCTTCTTCATCTTGCAAATGCTAAATACTAGCTTGAAAATTTTAGGCCAGATACTCAACTTTTAAAATATTAAGTTCAACGTGTATTTTACACATATAAAGAAGACACATAATATTTACATTAGTTTTGGATCGTAAGTTTTAAATGAGCACCCATGAAATCTCTACCCAAAGAACTATTATAGAATATTATCGCATTATTAATGAGGTAATTTTCACTTCTTTGCTTCTAGTTATTTAACTTCCAAAAACATTTCTTTTCTCATAAATAAAAAATATAATAAACTATCCATCATCAAATCCCATTGGTTCAGTCTTCAAAATATATCCAAAGTCTGATAATATCTTACCACCTCTACTACCCAAACCCTAGCTTCCCTAGACCAAGTCACCATGATCTCCTGTTTGAACTTTCTAAACAGTCTTCCATCTTTTCCATTTTTCTCCCTCTCTTCAATTCTCCCCATAAAAACCAAAGTAATTCTTTTAAAATATAAGTCAAATGATATAATTCCTCTGCTCAAAACCCTATAATAATTTTCCAACTCATTTTTTAATAAAGCTTAACTTCTCACCATGGTTTGGAAGGCGTCACATGGTCTTTATCATGCCTCTCTCTCTAACCCCAACTCTTCTCTCTCTCACCTCAAACATTCCACTTCAGTCACCCCAGTCTTCTCTCCATTTCTTCAAATTTTCTTGTTAACTCTCACTTTTAAATTTATTATTCCCTCTGATTGAAATGTTCGTCTTTTACATATATATCTCCAAAGCCCATTCACACACTTAGTTCAGTTCTTGGTCTTTTCAAAAGCCATCTTCTCAGGGAAACATCTCATGACCCTACCTAAAATAGCACTCACTTATCCTATTGTCTCATCATTCTTTATTTCTTTTCCCTAGTTATACTCTATAGATATGTTACATATTTTTCACATAGCACTCACTTATCCTATTGTCTCATCATTCTTTATTTCTTTTCCCTAGTTATACTCTATAGATATATTACATATTTTTCACTTACATATATTACTTATATAATATAAACACCATAAAGACAAGACCTTTGCCTGTGTAGTTCATATCTATAGTTCCAGCCGTCAGAATAGTGCCTGGCACAAGATATTGATCCTTGATACCCCAGAGCTTGAAGTGTCAGAAGCCCTCAGATCTTTTACTGCAAGAAGCCTTATGTGCTTACTCCCAATGTGCTAATATCATTGCTTAAGTGTGCTGTCATGTGATAATACAAAATTCTAGGAGGACTTGATTAGAGAGAATAAATAAATATGAGATACCAACTCATACTCGTAGGAGATACAAATTATTGAATAAATTCATGCAAAAAAGTTTATGACAGTGATGCAAAACCTATAAATACACAGGAGAGGAATAAACATATGATGTCAACACATGTTTAATTCACGCATAAATATATCTAAAATATAAATGCTGCAGGCATTCAATTTGATGCACTATGGGATGATATCAGAAAGTCTTTTGAATGAGATAAAATCAATACACAACTATCAATATCAAGATTTTTAAAACGTGTGAGATAATGAACCTCTAAGTGATCACTAAAATATCAGGAGAAATTTCAAAATAAAGCAAGAGGTTCAATCCTGAAGATATTTTATTCATGTGCTGTTGGCCTCAAAATACTGGGCCTTTACAGGAAGACTGCTGAGGAATTGAAGACAAATGGAGAAGAAATATGCTACTTATAGGTTTACAATCAGATTTATGCTCACTCTAAAGAAAGCTTGGCCCTGGAGAAGAGCCACATAAACATGTCTAAAATAATTGAAGGTATTTTGAGGACAGATACTATAAAAGGGCTTTTTACGAAGGGTCTATGTAAAAATAGTTCCTCAGTGAACCAATTCTTCATAAAGACAATTAGAGATGCTTGCCCTTTCAAAGAAACATTTTGAGGATGTTCATATGCTACAGCAGAGCAATCCTTTTATATCTGTGTAAGATTTCTCTTATTTTTGAAGTCTCCAAGGGTAAAATAAGAGTGGTTATATCAGCTACAATCATCAGCATTTACTTTTACTTCTGCTAAGTCCCGCAAGAAAAAACAAAAACATAATACAAATAAAAAATAACAAGCACAGGGAACAGAGAAAGATGCAGATTATGACTTGAGAAGCAGCAGTACAATGAGCAGCACAATGCCGCCAGTTTCCTCAAAAAGAGGACTGTAAATAAGCCTTGGCATACCTGTAAGGAGGGAGATTCCCGAATCTTCATTTAACAAGACAGAGCTCAGTCACTCAGGCGAAACGTGTTTGTATGTGAGGTACACAACATCAGTAACTTCTTAAACCATCCACAAAGTTGCACAAAGGCAATTGCACTGTGACTTTTTAATGTGAAGCTAGTGCAATCACCTTTTGCTTCTCTCAAAACACTTTTAATAATGTCCTATCAGAATTTTCATCTTTGTTAGAGACTCTTTATGAATTGCCAGCATAAAATGGAACATCAAAGATACACAGGAGTCAATCATCTATCCAACAAACAATAAGCAGTGATAATTTTGTCCATATATACCATTACATCATATTCCATCAAAATTATCAAGAACTCCCAGTGTGCCAAGTAATTTCTGACAAACTTTGTGTCATGTTATAATGGAAAGGTATATATAGAAATGGCAGTCCTAAGAGATCCTTGTTGGTATATTTATGATGAATGTTGCATACTAAAGATCATTATAAAATTATTTTTATTCAAAATTCATGTAGCAGCCACTAAATAATAGATTTTATTACATATTGTTTACACTTCAAGAAGATAGGAGGGTCTGAGTTGAATTATTCATTTTTTCTAGGGATTATTTGTGTTTTCTTTCAAGAAACATTTAATATTTAACACGTAATTTTTCTTATCTCTTATAATCTCAGATATTTTAATAGTGTTCTTCAGAAAAATATACCCAAGATCATAAAATTTAACAGGAATTAGAAAAGAGAAGATGTTTATGTTTAGAGGAGAAAATAAGCAGAATTAGATATGCTCAGATATCTTCCCCTTTCTGTGAGTCAAAATATTTATTTCTATGCATTAATCTCATTATTGTAGAAGGTTGTGTATCATCATCATTTGATTTTTAGAACCTCAGACTTATATGGAATCATTTCTTTGAGTTTGACTTCTTTCAATGTTTATGGGATTCATTTATGTTGTAGTATGTATTGATGTCAGTATTTTATTATATGAATGTGCCATGAATTTTTTTGGTATATTATCCTATTGTTGAACATTTGATTGCTTCTGATTCTTGGCTATTATGAAAAAAGCTTGCAAGAAATTCTTTTACAGCTCTTTTTGTGGATAGATGCTTAATTTTTCTTGGGAATATAAGTGAAAGTGGAATTTCTGAGTCATAGCAAATATTCTAACATGATAGACATGCTCTATACCTTGATTGAAGTGTTGGTTAAAAGATTGCATATTTTTTTAAACGCATCATCCAACTATACATATAAGATATGTATAATTTTTTGCATATAATCATGCCTTTAAGTAAAAAATATATTTAGAATGTATTTTCCATTTTTTTAACACAGCTAATCATTTATTCATAATACCAAAATTCAAGCACAAATTATCCATCTCATTTATGGAGTATTTTATGGTATTTAAATAGTTTTTATGTACATTATTATAGTCTTGAATTTAGTGGCAACTTTATTTGCTAAACCAGAGAAAATATTAACACTCATTTGTAGATAAGAAAAGTGAGGTATCGAAAGACTAAATGGCCTAATTCACATAGCAACACAAATTAGGAGAGCTCAGGGTCATTGGTCTAGTGAAGCCAACAACCACCAATATGTCATGGAGTCGTTTTGTAGAAATTCTTCTGTATCATATTTATAACATTTCCTAAATAAGTAGGTTACAAAAAAGAGCTTCCAATCATAAGCTAATGCACTTGACTGCTACTTCAAAACTAGAGCAATGGTAGGAGACATTGCCCTTTAAAGATCTCCTAAATATACTTACAGTTAACAATTGCATTTATTCTTTTATGTTCATTAAGGTTGTGCTAAGACACATGAAGTTTTGCATTTGCATGCTCGTTGTTGGTAACATCCTATGCAACTTTTAGGAGACTGAGGTAGAACTGGCAGACATTACTCAATTTGCTAAGCCAAAAAGGATAACAGCATTCTAGTAATAAAGCTGTGCTAAGAGGAGATTTCATCTTCAGTGAAAACAGCTCTTCTTGACATAATATCTTTTTGAATCAGTTGTATTATCGTACAGCTATCATCTTTATGGTATGTGAATCAGCAAACCCATTGTCTGTGTATCTCCTTCCCACCTCTCTATACCCTTCTCTGCTACCCTCTGGATTGTTCAGCAGATTTGCGTGCACAGCAGGCAGTAATGGGGCAGGCTATTACTTTCATGTCCACACCCTGAGCCAAGGTCACAATTTCAGTTTCTTTTCTTCATGTATATAATTAGTTTTACAGAAAATGTGAAACCGTGACTTGTCATCTTGTTTCACACCCTCTGGTAAAACTTATTAGTTTAGAAGCATTGATCTAAAACAGAGTGTCTTTTTCCCTCCTAGCATCTGCCAATCCTTCCCTATTTCTGTGTGTTTACATAAATCAGGGACAGGAGACATGCGGATCCTAAATATGAAGGAATCCGGTTGGGTGGGGACTACAGAAAACGAGACAGTTCACTGTTCCTCAGTATGACAGCAGCTACTTAACTCCAGCTAGTTATTCTCATGCAGAAATAAGTGGATTATTCTACTACACCTTTCTACTTTTTAAAAGAAACTCGAAATACAGATTTCAATATAAAATCTCAAAATTCTCAGATGTTGCAAACTAAATCAATTTTTTTCCCAACTTTTATTTTAGGTTCAAGGGGTATATGTGCAAGTTTGTTAAATGAGTAAATTGTATGTCTCAGTAGTTTGGTACAGATAATTTTGTCACCCAGGTGATCAGCATAATACCCAATAGTTAGTTTTTCAATTCCCACCCTCTTCCTGCCTCCATTCTCAAGAAGACCTTGGTGTCTATTATTCCCTTCTTTGTGTCCATGTGTACGTAGTACTAAATCTGTTTATTTTAAACCTTATTGAGCACAAACAAGTCCATCAGTGGGTCTTATTCAATCCAAAATCACTATCTACAACCTCTGCCCCAATAATTGCATAACTCTTACTGTATCCGGAGTTTGTTACTTCCGATGGGTTTGTGGTCTCACTGACTTCAAGAATGGAGCTGTGGACCTCGCAGTGAGTGTTACAGTTCTTAAAGACGGCACAGACCCAAAGAGTGAGTAGCAGCAGCAAGAACAAAAGAACAAAGCTTCCACAGCGTGCAAGGAGACCCCACCGGATTGCCGCTGCTGGCTGCAGTTGCCAGCTTTTATTCCCTTATTTGTCCCCACCCATGTCCTGCCAACTGGTCCATTTTACAGAGTGCTGATTGGTCCATGTTACAGAGTGCTGATTGGTCCATTTTACAAACCTCTAGATAGCTACAGAGTGCTGATTGGTGTGTTTTACAATCCTAGCTACAGAGTGCTGATTGGTGCATTTTACAATCCTCTTGTAAGACAGAAGACTTCTCCAAGTCCCCACCCCACCCAGGAAGTCCAGCTGGGTTCACCTCTCATTACTAACCCTTAACTTGGAGCCATCCTTTTTTCTACTGGTCCTCCATCTCTTACTTAACTGTTTATCCCCAGTTAGAGGACATCACAGGGAATCTCCAAGCCTATCTTCACATTTTTACTCTAACGCTAATAACCCTGAATCCAAATCCCCCTGCTCTTCAAGTGTCTTTAATTTTTTATAAACTTTGACTCTTTACCTTTCTGTTGGGACAAGATAGCTGAATCTATCTCTCTTAGCTCTTCCCAACCTAATTCATTGCATTTTGATCACTGTGTCTGAGGTGCACCTTGATTACTCTGGATCTCTACCAAAAATGCATTAATTATTAGTTGTAGTTGTTTGCCTCTTATTTTATATAGGCCAACATCATGGTCCTACTTAACATGTGTTAATCCCACTTAGCTGTCTGAGCTCAGTAGGCATTTTCCCATAAACCAATAAAAGAAATGAGAGTGGCTAATAAATATATGAAAACCAATGAGCCAAAATAAAATGTCAGAAATATCTTCAATTCCCTTAAACAATTCAGAGAATGTCACGTAGTATCACTTCCCAAAGTTTGCCAAAACTTTTTCGCTAGTACAACTATTTGCAGTTTGTAGAGTCAAGATGGGTGAAGTGATTCACATAGTTTATGTGGTAATCTTGGTACTCCATTTTTTCCATTTCCTTCTCTCCCGCCTAACCCTTTTTCTCCCAAGTTGTTGGGCAACATCTCATGTTTCAAAACAATGATACTCTTATTTCCATCAATGCTTTCCTTTGAAACGATGTGATCTCTCAGATCCTTCCCTGTGCTCACCCTTTCTTTCCTCTCAAATATGCAATATTTTGTTCTTTCCCCTTACTCTATCTAGATTGATGGTTTCACTTCTTAGGTCATGTAAAATATAGAACCAACCACAACCAAATAACCTCAACTTCCCACCAAATTTTCACCCCACACCTGTACTTGTGCCCATATACTTTCTTCCTTCCTGTTTAAATATATGAACCACTTCTGATTTTATCTAATGTCCACCTCTCCCTTTATGCACTAGATACCATTTTTGTTCTCTATTGCTTACTTAAGTTCTTTGCTCCTCCAGTTATGCTCTATCTTCTGGATCTTCAAAATTTCTTCCATATAAAAATTTTTTCCTCACGCCTGTAATCCCAGCACTTTGGGAGGCCGAGGCGGGCGGATCACTAGGTCAAGAGATCGAGACCATCCCGGCTAAAACGGTGAAACCCCGTCTCTACTAAAAAAATACAAAAAATTAGCCGGGCGTAGTGGCGGGCACCTGTAGTCCCAGCTACTTGGGAGGCTGAGGCAGGAGAATGGCGTGAACCCGGGAGGCGGAGCTTGCAGTGAGCCGAGATCCCGCCACCGCACTCCAGCCTGGGTGACAGAGCGAGACTCCGTCTCAAAAAAAAAAAAAAAAAAAAAAAAATTTCAAAATCTAATTTAAACATGCTGAAATATCTCTATCTATAAATAAACTTCCTTATAGAAGGTCTCTTTTTTTCTTTATTTAAAAAGGTTCTCAAATGGACCAATTTCTCCTACTGTCTCCATTTAATTTCCATTCCATTTAGACTTTCTTTGTCCCTACCCCATTGAGACAATTCTTGTCAAAATCGCAATGACTCTACCTTACCAAATGCAATGGTCAATTGTAAGTCTTCAATTTATTTATTCTATCTGAGCCATATGAAATATTTAGCCACTCCTTCCTTCTTGAAACAATTTCTTCATTTGGCTTCCAGAATTCAATATTGTGATTTTGCCCCTGCTTCATCGTCTCATCTTTTTCAGTCCTTATTGCCTCAGAATGATGCACATTAATAGTAGCAGTAGGATAATCATTGTTCTCTTTCTTTTCTCTGTCTATAATCATAGACTAATATTGCATTGAATTCTATGGATTTAAATACAATCAATATCAACGTATTGATATTTAAAATTTGTGTTTTTAACTTTTACCATTTCTATAAGATTCAGAATGATATCCCGACTACACACTTCAATCACTTTTGTAATAGTGTAGAATATATAGTAAATCTGAAAATACACATACTTTAGGACCCTGTAACGTTGCCTCTACATCACAATAATAATTCACAAAACATAAATGTATAATTTTGTTTACTGAAAGCCATAGATTAGAATGTTCATGGCAGTATTTTTTGTAATAGCCCCAAATTTTAAACTATGCAAATGTCTACCAAACAAGATTAATAAATGAGTTGCAGTATATGTATATGATAAAATACCGTACAGTACTGAAAATAAATGATCTCTAGCCACATGCAGGAATATAAATCATTGGCACATACATAACAATAAGAAAAAGAAGTCAGACACATAAGTGTATCTAATAAATGACTGCATTAAATAAAGTACTGAAATAGGCAAAAGTAAATATGCCTGTTAGAAGTCAAGATGTTTTAATAATTGTGATCATATATTTAGAAAGACCTAAGGACCCCACAAAAAAATCTATTAGAACTGATAAGCAAGTTAAGTAAAGTTTCAGGATACAAAATCAATATACTCAAATCAGTAGCATTTCTATATGTCACAGTGAATAACCTGAAAATGAAATTTTAAAAGTGATCCCATTTGCAATAACTACCAATAAGATTAAATACCAAGAAATTAACTTAACCAAAGAAGTGAAAGATTTCTATAATAAAACTATGTAGAACTAATGAAAGAAATTGAAGAGAACAACAAAAAATGGAAAGATATTCTATGTTAATAAATTGGAAGAATCAATACTGTTAAAATGTTCATACTACCCAAAGCAATCTACAGATGCAATGCAATACCTATTAAAATACCAATGACATTCTTCATAGAAATAGAAAAAAACTATCCTAAAATTTACATGAAACAACAGAAGACCCAGAATAGCCAAAGCTATCCTAGGCAAACAGAAAAAAACTGAAGGAATCACATCACCTGACTTCAAATTATACTACAAAGCTATAGTAACCAAAACAGCATGATACTGACATAAAAACAGACACATAGACCAATCGAACTGAATAGAAAACCCAGAAACAAGTTCACCTACCTCCAGTAAACTCATTTTCAAAAAAAGTGTCAAGAACATAAACTGGATAAAAGAGAGCCTCTCTTCAATAAGTGGTGCTGGAAAACTGGATATCCATATGCAGAAGAATGAAACTAGACTGCTTTCTCTTGCCAGATACAAAAACCAAATCAAAATGGACTAAAGACTTAAATCTAAGACCTCAGACTATGAAACTACTACAAGAATACATTGGGGAAAATCTCCAGGACACTGATCTGGGCAAAAAGTTCTTGAGTAATATCCCACAAACACAGGCAGCCAAAGTAAAAAGGGACAAATGGACTTCTATCAAGTTAAAAAGCTTCTGCAGAGCAAAGGAAACAATCAACAAAGTGAGAAGATAGTCTACAGATTGGGAGAAAATATTTGCAAACCACTTATCTGGCAAACGATTAATAGCCAGAATACGTAAGAAGTTCAAACAACTCATCAGGAAGAAATCTAATAATCCAATTAAAAATGGGCAAATGATTTAAAAAGACATTTCTCAAAAGAAGGCATACAAATGGCAAACATATGGATACATATGGATATCCAGTTATATGAAAAGGTGCTCATCATTGATTATGATGCAAGAGAAATGCAAGTCAAAACTACAATGAGATATTATCTTACCCAGTTAAAATGGATTATATCCAAAAGATAGGCAATAACAAATCCTGGAGAGGACCTCATACACTGCTGGTGGTAATGTAAGTTAGTACAACCCCTATAGAGAAGAGTTTGGAGGTTCCTCAAAACACTAAAAATCAAGCTACTATATGATCCAGCAATCCCACTGCTGGGCACATAGTCAAAAGAAAGGAAGTGAGTATATCAAAACGATATCTGCACTTTACAGCACTGTTCACAATAGCCAAGATTTTGAAGCAACCTAAGTGTCCATCAACACAGAAATTGATAAAGAAAATGTGGTACATATGCACAATGGTGTACTCTTCAGCCATAAAAAAAGAACGAGATCCTGTCATTTGTAACAATATGAATGGAACTGGAGATCATTATGTTAAGTGATATAAGCTAGGCACAGAAATACAAACATCACCTGTTCTCATTTATTTGTGGGTTCGAAAAATCAAAACGATTGGTCTCATTGACACAGAGAGTAGAAGGATGGTTATCAGAGAATGGGAAAGATAGTGAAGAGGTTAAGGGAATGTGGAGATGGTTAAATGGTTAAAAAATAGAATGAATAATACCTAGTATTTGATAACACAACAGAGTAGAAGGACGGTTACTAGAGGATGAGAAGGGTAGTGAAGGGGTTAGGAGAAGGTGGAGATGGTTAATGGGAAAAAATAGAATGAATAATACCTAGTATTTGATAGCACAACAGGGTGACTATAGTCAATATTAACTTAATTATACATGTTAAAATAATTACAAGAGTATAATTGGATTTTTTGTAACACAAAGAATAAATACTTGAGGGGATGGATACCCCATTCTCCATAATGTAATTATCATGCACTGCATGCCTGTATCAAAACATTTCATTTACTCCATAAATATGTACAACTACTATGTACCTACAAAAATTAAAAATTTAAAAATTAAGATATTTTTATTATTGAAAGAAGATATTAATGGGTCTGTTGAAATGATGGAGATTTTTTTCTTTCTTGATCTTAGTCTTTGTATACAGGTGTACCCTATAAACATTTAAATGTTAAAAATGAATTTCAGAAAAGAGATAAGCACATACATTATGAAGAATCATAAAACTTTGTTGACAGGTATTAAAGCAAAGATAAATAAATGGAGTTGTAGTCTATGTTCAGTGATTGAATTCACTCATTATCACAAAATTATCAGTTTTCCTAAATTGACCTATAAAGTAGATGCTATTACAATAGCCTTTTAAAAAAATTACCCTTGCAACATAATTTTAAAATATATATTAACAGGAGCTAATTATGAGCATGAGCAAGATACACCTAAAGATGAAGAGGTGTGGGTCACGCTCCAAGAGCAGGTTTTACACCAGTGTTATATTAATTCTTGACAGACAAATTGACCAGGAAGCATGATGGAGATCTCAGAAATAGATTTGCACATGTAAGGAAATTTGATATACAACAGGACATTACTGATGACTACATGGGAAATATGGGTTCTTCAATAATTTTTGCTAAGAAAATTGGTTTTCATTGCAGGAAAAAATGTAATGAAATGTCTATATCAAGCCAACAATATCATATGGTTGAAATAGTAGTGGGAGTAGAAACTACAAGCTTTTGTAAATCATTATAAAATATCTATAAGACTTGGGGTAGGAAAATATTTCTTTAAAAAATATCACAAAATGAAAAATACTGCTAAATGTTATCATACTGAAGTTAAAAATATCTTTTCACCGAAATAAATGATAGTGAATATAAAGAGGTAAACTACAAACTAGGAGAAAATTTTTAGTAATCACGTAATTGACAATGAATTAGTAGCAAAATATATGCAGAAATTTTACACAGAATTTAAAAAATCAAAAAGAAGAAACTGTACAAAATGCACTTTAGATAAGTGGAAATGTGAATGACAAAAATATATAAAAACAATGCTCAACATCGTTAGACATCAGCTAAATGTGGATTAAAATCATGATACCCAATATATTTGGAAAAATAAATAAATTAGGATGAGAACACAGGCTGTCCAAGTTGTAGGACAGCAGGAACCCTCACATACTACCACATACTGAGGTAATATATATTAATACTATCTCTCAAGGAAATAATTTGAAATTGCCTAGTACAGTTGTCTCTCCTTATCTGCAATATCGTTTTCCATGGTTATCTGTGGTCAACCATTGTTTGAAAATATCAAGTGGGAAATTCTAGTAATAAATAATTCATAAGTTTTGAATTGCACAGCATGACACGCATCATCCTGTTGTCCAGCATATCCATGCCACATACTCTACCTGCCCATTAGTCACTCAGTAGCCATCTCAAGTGTCAGATCAGCTCTTCCCATATCACAGTGCTTGTGTTTAAGTAACTCTCACTTTACTTAATAATGGACCCAAAGCACAAGAATAGTAATGCTGTCAGATTGTTATAATTATTTTATTTTATTGTTAGTTATTTTTAATTTTCTTACCATGCCGAAGTTATAAATTAAACTTTATCATAGGTATGTATATATGTATGTATAGGAAAAAAACATAGTTTATAGGATTCAGTACTATTCAAGTTTTTAGGTATCCATTGGAAGTCTTGGAATCTACCCTCCACATATAAGAGAGAACTACTGTAAATATGAAGATAAAACTAATCTTTTATAATTTCATACCTATGTACAATCCTTGCAAAATATATTTATGTACTACAGGAAACATATAAAAGAATATTTATATCAGTGCTGTTCATAATAGCTAAAATGGGAAACAACGCAAATGCCCTTGAATGATAGAATAGGTAAATTGTTGCATATACATACAATAAAATACAGTGCAACGATGAAAAAGAATGATCTACAGATGCAATGTTATCACAGGTGATTCACAGAGGTATAGTAAGGCACAAAAAATGCAAGTCACAAGATATGTCCTGCAATATTAATTTATATCAAGTGGGAAAAAAGTCAAAATCTCAAAAAATTTCTTAGAACATAACGTCCATGGCAAGCCTGTGAAAAAACAATGGGGGGATGGAGAGGGAAGAGCTTCTTGTTCCTATGTTCTAGTCACTTTTCTTTTTGTCTTTCTTATACTGATGATTGATAAATAGGTTTTCATTTTGTTATTATATTTTTAAATTCTTCATTTACATTACACTGTGTGCCCACATTTATATATTTAATATATCACTAAATAAAAATAAATACTGAAATGTGACAACCTCAAAAGTTTTTAGAGATATTCCATGTGAAGATAATGATAGTAATTTGGCAATGTCTACTTCTCTTCTTTGAATTACTCAAAAGCGACAAGTGGAATTGTTTTAAATGAAACACTCCATTAACTATATAAAATGGACACAGACAACAACCTCAAAACATAATTGAGCAAGAAGTGGTGCCACAGACAGTAGAGAACAAGCAGGACTGTTCTCGGGAGGACGAGGAAAGCAAATACTGAAGCTGCTGATAACAGACAGACCAGAAACCTTCTCACAGGTGAAAGACACATCTTAAGGTACACCCACTGGCATGTACTCATACTGGGATCTAAAATATTCCGGGATGAGTTTAGTGTTTGCAAAGCACAGGAAATGGAGCTAAATAAAAGCCAGACAGACCAGCTATATTTTCGTTAAGTAGGCTGCCTCAGTGACTTCAAGGAAGACGGAAACTGGTGTATTGAGCAATATCTCAGAACTACCTATTGTTGTCATTAGGCAGCAGAAAGAAAAGGCCACATAAACTCACACACCAAACTCTGAGAAATGAAAGACATTTCAAATGAAAGACATTTCAGCAAGCCACACTTTCTTTAAACAAACACCTAGGAAATAGCTATTATGGGGTAAAACAATACTCACCTGTTACTTAAATAATTAGTCAAAAAAGGAAAAAAGCAGAAAAATTTGCATGACTCTACCACATGGAAAAGGAAGAAAACATAGAAGAAGATGAAAATCGTGGCCAAATTTCACAATAATTTATTTTTTTTTAATCAACGAAGCCATTGCTTCTTTGAAACAAACCACAAGTGTATAAAGTAGAGAAATTCAGGAAGCCAATAGCAAAAGAACTTAGCAGTGAGTAGGCATGTTCAGAATAGAAGTGTAAGATAAACGTAATATTAACCATTATAGAAATTAAGCTAAATTTGAAAAAACCAAAAGACAATATTAAAAATGGAATAATGATCATGATTATAGAAATGAAAAAATAAAGTGAGCAAAATAAAACCATTATAATGAATAAATGATTAAAATACCTATATAGAAAATGCTGGTTATAGAAGAGAAAAAGGATAGTGTACATTTGTAAAACTGAGTACCCAAAATTTTCTAAAAATCTGATATAATAACTTCATTGCTGCCTAACAAAATACCCTAAAATTCAATGACTCCAAACAAGCACCATTTCATGTATTCAGTTTTTGTGGGGGAGGAATCAGAAAGGGTTCGGCTGGGTAATTATTTTGCTCTCTGTTCTGTCAACCGCAGTCAGCTGGTGGCTGTGCTGAATTACATGTTCCAAATATATTTGGCTCTTACACACAGCCTATCTTTCTACACGGCTAATTTGGGCTTCATCCCAGGGTAGTCTAACCATCTGACCAGCCCATAGTGGTTGGCTTCCAAGCAGGAGTGTTCCAAGTGAGGTAAAAGCAGAAGTTGCAGATCTCTTGAGGTCTGGCCTCAGAAATTGTACAGCCTCACTTCCATCCATTCTATTGGTCAAAAACAGAGAACCTGCCCAGATTCTAGGTGACAATATTTCCCACCACTTGATTTTGGTGGGGAGTGGCAAAGAATTTGCACCCATCTTCTACTACATAAGTATATAACTCAAGAAAATAATATAAGAAATAAAAGAAAATTTGAATAACATGCTGAAAATACATCCCGTGTTCCAGGAAAAACTGAACCTAAATAATCACCATCAAACCATAGGCTTGTCATTTTCACAGACTCCAAATTATACAAATTGCTAACACTTACTGAGTACTTACCATATGCCAGACATAAGGTTGCCAGATTTAGCAAATAAAAATGCCCCATGCAATACTTGGGACATACTTACACCAAAAAAATAAAATAAAATAAATACAACAACTCATTGTTTTTCTGAAGTTCAAATTTTAACCAGGCATCTCTTATTTTATCTGGCAATGCTTCTAAGCACTATTTAAGAAATCTACTAGAGGTGGAATTCCAGCCAAACAAAAAATAATTATAAAATGAGGGAAAAACATCTAGCAGTAAGCACTGAATTTATTTAATAGCAAGCTAAAACAAATATGGGGATGAGTTTACTAAAATAAAGTGTAAACATATGCTCTGAGTATGTAGAAAGCCTGTAACTAACAAACATTTGAAGGTGAGGATGGGGGTGAAAAGTGAGCAGCAGTCTACAGATGCAGAGTTCTTCATTTTTACCAGGAAATTAGAATTTATGTTATTCCATTGGCGCAAAAGTAATTGTGATTATTGCTATTAAAAGTAATGGCAAAACCGCAATTACTTTTGCACCAACCTAATACAACTGACTACTTAAATAATAGGTCTATACTCATAATGCTATAATGGTAGACATTATGAAAAATCATAATTAAGTAGAAGATGACATTGTAGAGAAATGAGAGGAGAGAAAAGGAAATATGCTAATTTTATCATTGTTTATAATAGGCATATCAGTCAGGGTCCCAACAGAAAAGAGATAGCATTCTTAAAAGAAGAAAACTTAAGACAGGATTATTTTCAAAGGGATATTTTACAACATGAGGGTTTAGGGAAATCGCAGGGAATGAAGCAGGAACCAGGGTTATTATACCTATCTCAGAAAGAAGGAAGAAAGCAGCATTGCTAGAATTCAGGAGTACAGAGTTATATAGAATTGGTCCCAATAAAAAGAACAGTGGTGGTAAGTCAAGGGCACAGATTTTCCCTCCTCCCTCCAGCCTATGGCTTGCCAGAATTCATCATTGGCTGAGCCTAATCAGAAGCCAGAGGTTATGGGAATTTATTTATATGGTTCCTAAGGGTCAGACTTCTCAATCAAAGAGAAGAGATAGAAAGATGGAGAGTGAATCTCAAGGGGAAAACAAGATATTTGGTGTGATAGTGTGATAGCATACACTGTCTGAAGAAGTAGATCACTTGGGGGATTATATAATGGTATAGTTATAAAAGTACCACTACGGCAAAAATAAACATATCAAAGGAAATAGACATCAAAAAACAAAGCAACACCATAGCCACATTAAAGATTTTTACAAGCTATTAGGATGGTGCAAAAGCAATTACTTTTGCACCATCCTAATATAAAATAGAAAGCAGATTATAAGATAATTTGAGATAACAAGCGTATATGCTATACCAAAAAAGGCAAAAGACTTATACTCAGTAAAAGAAGCCATTCATATCAGCTTACAAAGAAAAATGTTCCTTGCATTATTTTTAAGACATAATTTAAAGCAAAGAGTATTGTAAATAACACGATTTGCAAAGAAATGCCAGTAAAGTACAGACAAATGAAAAAGAGTGAATGTGACCTTTATATCAGATAAAATAAATTCTTGTAAAAGGCATTAAATGAATCATAGGCACTTTCAACTCCTTATGGATGAAATATTCTATGAAGAAGTAACAGACAAAGATTTGAAAGTAGCATCAGCAATTATAAAGCTAAGATTATAGGAGCTGAAAAATAAGTGATAATAAAAAATAAATTAACAAAAGATTTTTTTTTTTTGAGACGGAGTCTCTCGCTCTGTCGACCAGGCTGGAGCGCAGTGGCGCGATCTCAGCTCACTGCAAGCTCCGCCTCCCGGGTTCAAGCCATTCTCCTGCCTCAGCCTCCGGAGTAGCTAGGACTACCGGCGCCCGCCACCGCGCCCGGCTAATTTTTTGTATTTTTAGTAGAGACGGGGTTTTACGGTAGTCTCGATCTCCTGACCTCGTGATCCACCCGCCTCGGCCTCCCACCGTGCTGGGATTACAGGCCTAAGCCACCGCGCCCGGCCAAAAGATTTTAATACTTGAATCTCATTCTATGATAGATCAAATGAGTGATTTTTTAAAACTCTAAGTACACATGTAATCTAAATGACATAATCAATAAATATATCTCTCTCTATAAAATGATTTGGGAAGTGTTCATGCCATTCCTATTTTCTGAGTTTGCATATTAACATTGCTGATAATTTTCAGCCTTAAATGTTTCATGAAATTTATGAGCAGAGACATCTGGCCCCCCCAGAGAAATATTTATGTTTATCAAAACTTACTCTAAAAGAAATAGGAAATCAGAAAAGAGAGTCATAAAGATGAAGAAATTATCAAAGAGCTACTTCCAAAAAAGCACCAAGTTAAGATAATTTTAAGAAGAGTAAAACATCTCTCAAGACCAGATAAATTAATACTATTTAAATTTTTCTAAAGCACAGAAAAGGAAAACTTCTGAAATTTTATTTGAAGTTAACAAAATTTTAAACTGGCATCAGCAACAAATATTGCGATAAAAAATAATGTAACAAATCTCCCTATGACAATTGATGATAAATCTTAGGTGAAATATCAACAAACAGAAACCAGCAACACATTGGAAAATACAATAAGGCCAAGTGAAATTTTTCTAGGAATGCAAAGATGTTAAAAAATAATAAAAAATAAAATGGAAATCTACTTATATAATTAAACATATTAATAGTTTGAAGTGGAAAATAGTTCCCACAGATTAGACAGAAATTCATAATATTTATTTTTCAATCTTGATTTTTAAAAATTTTAATAGAATGACATTATATTATGATATAAAATAGGATGATATGATATAAGGTATCATATCAATATGATCCATTGTCATTACTATTATTTAACATTGTTCTGAAGGTGTTATTAGTATAGTTATAAAGCAGGGAAAAGAGGAGGATGTAAAATCACTACTAATTTCAGACAATATTATTTTATATCATAAAATGAAAAAACTACAACTGAAAATCAATAACAAATAAGAGAATTTTACAAGGTAAGTGAATATCAACTTGATGACATTCAACGCTATAGATAGAAATCTATAGCATTCATATATAATGCAATGACAGTTTAAAGGTAAATAATTTTCCATTTCTGATAGCAAAAAATGTTGAAATATATAGAAATAAGTGTATTAAGAAATATGCAAGACATGTACAAATAAAACTAAAAATTTTTCTGATTGAAAGTAATATAACAGAAATTCACATAAGGTTTTTTTAAATAGGAAGGCTTCACATTGCAAACATAAAAACTTTACATATGATAATCTTTAAATGTAACCTGATAATAATTTTAATAACAACCACATAAGCAAAGCTATGTCAAGGTAATATGGAAAACTTAAAAAGCAAGGATAGTCAGAGAACTTAAGAAATGGGAAGAATATTGAGAAATAATTAGCTTATACAGATATTAAAACTTAATATAAGTATAAAGTAATTAAACTAATGAGGAATTTGCTCATGTAAAATAAAGATACATCAATGAGATGGAATGGAAAATGTAGTAATAGATCCAAATGTAGACAGGAATTTAGTATAAGATAAAGTAGGCTTGATGGCTCACAGTGCTGGCAAAGGCATGAGGAAAGAAGCACCCGCACATATTGCTGTTGAAAATCTATCATCTATCACAGAATCTAGCAAATGCAAATGCGCAAAGTTCTCTTTTAACCAGCTATTTCACTAGAAGACACCCTCACATCTACTCACACAAGTGTGAAATTGTATATGCTCTCTGTTATACCTAAGGTACTGCATATAAGATTTAGAAATAACCTAAACCTTCATCGATAGAGGGCAGGCAAGTAGGAGAAAATATATCCTCATGTTGAAAAACTATTTGGCCTTAAAGGAGAATTAGAGAGCTCATAATGATACAAAATTATCTCCAAGACAAATTTTAAGTGAGAAACAAAGCTCCATCCATTAAAGTAACACATGCAACTCTCTCTCTCTCTCTTTTTATATATATATTTGTATGAATAAAATATTTTTGGAAAAATATTTAAGAGACAGAAAGCATTTTTTTCTTTATTTCTTCTTTGAAACTGGGTCTCATTACGTTGCCCAGGCTTGTCTCCAGCTTTTGAGCTCAAGCCATGAACCCAGAGAATTCTCTCACTTCAGCCTCTGGAGTAGCTGGGATTACAGATGTGCACCACCATGGCCACTGCAAGAGACAGAAAATACTGTTGCCTATAGTATGCAGAATGGCTGAGGTCAGAGGTGGATTGAAGAGTGTTTTCTAAATACTTTATATGTTTGAATTTTACACCATGTATACGTATTACCTATTCAAAAAATCAAATACACACAATTTAAACATTTTAAAAAAGAAATTCACAAAGTGAGTAAGAGCAATTCTTAGTCACAGGAATAAACTAAAGCATTATCATAAATATATCAAGTATATTATAGGAAGGGAGATTTCCAACCCCTAGAATTCTTGTCATATCCCTACCTGCTCACTCTGCAGACTTAGTCTAAGAAATTGCCTGGCTTACAATGCTCTATGCAGCCTCCAAATATTCAAGACATCTGGAAATTCAGCATCTTCTGGTTTTATTGAAGATTTTTTAAAAGTTGACAAAGGTTTTCTTTTTTATTCTCTCTAAGTTACTGCAGTTAATAAATAAAGACACAAAGAAAATATATTTGATGGGTTGCATTAAAATTTCCATGAGCATAGAGATTTGTGTTTTGAGAATTTTATTTCAGGAACCTGGGTCTGGATGAGAACCAAGTACCCACTAGCAGATGCATCTGGTGATTTCAGCAGGGGCCCTATTGGAATGATCAGAGACTCCTTTGTGGATGTTTGCCTCTGATACAAAGCAGTCTTAAGACAGGATAGATTTATGTGTATTGGCAGAGCCAAGTAGCAAATGGAATGTGTTCTCACAGTATGTCTGGCCTGAGCCTGTGTGATTAAATCCTGACTTTGATGAATCCCAGACCTTCAGGGAAGAGAAAATAAAGCCAGAAGACAGTTGGTTAATAAGAAATTACTGAATCAGCCAAGTTCTAAGATGTTGCAAAAGGACAACATTTAGAAGATACACAGAGAAATTGAGATAAAAAATTAGAGAATAAAAATTATACTTTTCCAAAAATAATAGTCCCTCTTCACCTCCATTTTGCTTCCATATCATTGTGCAACCAAACTTATATTATCACCCAAAGTACAGCACTTATTCCAAAGCATTACAAGATTTTGCTTATGTACCTTCTTTTTCAATAGTCTGTGGATTCCTTGCAGAGAAGGAAAGCTTGTTACTTTTTCTTACATAAGCAGGGTCTCCTGTAATGTGTGATACACAGTCAACATTCAATATTTTGTTGAGAGAGGGAGGCAATGAATAGATCAACTTGTAGATGGATGGATAAATACCAGGGACATCAATCTTACTAATGTGATTCCATAGTATATTTTCAAATGATGTGATATAAAATTGTAGAATAAGCTAATTTTATTTTATACACATTATAAAGATACATATGTATCAAAAAGATGTGATAATTCAAAAAGTTAGAATTAAGATTTGAAACAGATCTAGAAACTATCCAACATGAAGTACTGCTCAGTACTTTTAAGTATTCTCAGTGGGTAGGTCACAGGTGCTTGTGAGCTTTGTGTAGACTCGTACAGAATCTTTACAGAGCTCAGTAAAATCTTGACTAAGTAAAAGGCTTGAGGAGTTGAGTGCTGTGATAAAATTAGCTGTGATAAAATCACCAACGATTTATATCAGCATCTAATAAAATGTCTCTAAAATCTAGAAACCCATTCTTCATAGTTCCCTTAATAAAAGTACACTATAAAATGACATTTTGATCAATGATGAACCACATATAAACAATGGGGGTTTCATAAGATTACAAGATACAGTTTTTATTGTATCTTTTCCATGTTTAGATATGTTCAGATAAAAAATATTCACCATTGCATTACAATTCCCTACAGTATTCAATATGGTAACATGCTATACAGATTTGTAGCCTAGGAGCAAGAGGCTATACAATATAATCTATGTGTATACTGGGCTATACCATCTAGGTTTGTGTAAATATACTCTATTATTTTCACTCAATGGCAAAATCACTTCACAATACGTTTCTCAGAATGTATTCTGGTCATTAAGCAATTCATGACTGTATTTTTAAAGGTGTGGTTGTTACAGTACTAATGGCCATTGTTCAGAACATTCATTTTAATTGCCCACAATTCTAGATAATTAGACTGGATATATATTGATACCAGGACAATGTCTATTTTAAGCTATGATTTAGTTTCCACCTCCAATTAAAATGGGAAAACCATGAGAATGTGATCTAAAAATCTTAAATGAAATATTTAAGAATATGCAACAATGCATGTATACCACACATTGAGCTGTGTCCAGGAACTCAGCAATGGTATAATATTAGAAGTTTATTAGAAGTGACATCAATAAAAATGGTGGAGTAAGGACCTCAGAAAATATTCTCCTTCACAAAAGTAATGAGAATATTCTTAAAAATATCATCAGAATAAACTTTTTCAGAACTCTGGAAATTAACCAAAGGCTTACAGAAAACTAGAGAGCACTTATTCAAGAAAAATAGCTGAATGTCTGTAGGCCAGCTTGTGGCAATTTAACCTTCCCTATTCTCATATCCCCCACCTCCAAAGCTTTTGATATCATTGAATATGAACAACCTGTGAATGCAGTGAAAGTGAGCAATATAGTAATCACTAGATGGGGCAGAAAAGGGTTTGATCTTCAAAGTCTCACTTTCAGAGCTTTTTATTATTTGACATATCTGGTGGTTCTTTGGAAGATTTCTTTTGCAAGGCTATATTTATTTAAACTGACCTGTGAGTTGCAGAATATGAACAGCCTTTTCCTGGGGCTAGGAAAAGCATTTGCCTAAAAAACAATTATAGACAAATGTTGAACATCACAGCTGCCTGATATCATTGATAATAGTTGAAACACACAATAAGGTCATCAAAATATTAAAATCCTGGGAAATGAGATGTCAATAGAGGACTTGAAAATGCTCTGAAAATTTTCTGGGAGTCTAAAATGCCCTGGATATCAAGATTTTTGCATTCCCAAAGCTATGTAAATGTTTAAGAAAGATGTGAAAAGGCTTTACATTCTCATCTCTGGCCAATGCTCTTCACAAGCAGGAAGTGAAGGCTAAGGCAGTGTTGTAAACTCTGTGAGAGTTCAAGAGATGCACTTAGATGCACACACAGCCACTTGACAAAGATTTGAAGAATGATTGATTCCAGGCATCTAAGAAATTTCTGTTCCATCATCAGCAGACTGCTATGCTAATCAAGCAGAGATTTCACATGACAAAGACAGAAATTATTTAGGCAGATACTGAGGGTAAGGAAGTCCTCAGTAATGTTTTCCTTTTGATGAAAAGCAGCCCCCAAATCATTTCTTTTCTAACAAAAAGCAGTCTGTAAAATCAAGCTGCAGACATAGACAAGCAAGTTGGAAGCTTGCACGGGTGAATGCTGGCAGCTGTGCAAATAGGAAAAGGCTACCTGGAGACTAGGCATGTTCAACATGGTGGTTCTATCTTCCCTTTTTCTTGCCAACCATTTGTGCAGTAGGGAGCAGACAACATGGCATCAGCCAAGTGGAAAGCCCATTTGCATAATAAGAAGATTAGGATGGGGTGGCCAGCTTCCTCATGCTATGTAAGTATCACACCTGGTCCAACCAATCTGTGAGCCCTATGTAAATCAGACATTGCCTCCTCAAGCCTGTCTGTAAAATCCTGGGCATTCCACTGCAGGGTGGAAGACCCATTCAAGAGCTCCTATCTCTCTCTGCAGGAGAGAGAGCTATTCTCTTTTTCTTTTGCCTATTAAACCCTCTACTCTTAACTTCACTCCACATGTATCTGTGTCCTTGATTTCCTTGGCATGAGGCAACGAACCTCAGGTATTTACCCCAGACTATGACACTGCTTCAAAAGTATGGCCTGTAAACAACAACAACAATAACCAAATCAATTAAATTGTCACTGAGAAGGCCCAGAAGTTTTACTTATTTGACAAATATTTTAAATAAACTTGTTTAGTTGTGTTTGAAAAACTGAAAGGAAACTGATAGTTTGAATTTGTGCCCCCACCCAAATCTCATATCTAATTGTAATCTCTAATATTGCAGGAGGGGCCTGGTAGGAGGTGACAGGATCATGGGGGTCAATTTCCACCTTGCTGTTCTCTCATGATAGTGAGTAAGTACTCATGAGATCTGGTTGTTTAAAAGTGTGTAGCACTTCCCCCTTCACTCTCTGTCTCCTGCTCTGCAATGTTAACATGTGCCTGCTTCCCCTTCACCTTCCTCCATGATTGTAAGTTTCCTAAGGCCTCTGTACCCATGCTTCCTATACAGCCTATGTAACTTTGAGTTAATTAAACCTCTTTTCTTCATAAATTACCCAGTCTCAGGTAGTTCTTTATAGCAATATGAGAATGGACTAATACAGAGACATATTTAAATAATGAAAGGAACATATAAAAATAATGTCTCACCAACTAGAAGAAGGCTGTAATAAAGATATTAAGATTATAAAACAGAACCAAATGGAAATTCTAGGGTTGAAAAATGCAATCACAAAAATTGAAAATTTACCATAGAAGTGAAACATAGATTTGACCAGCTAGAATAAAGAATATATTTCCTAGAAGATAGTTTAATTCATTACACAGTCAAAGGAAGTAAAAGAAGAAAAGAGTAAAGACAAATGAACAGAACCTCAGAGTATCATAAGGCATCATCAAAGATACTGATATTCACCCAATGGAAGATCCAAAAGAATAAAACAGAAGAAGAACAAATGAATATGGAAAAATAATGACTGAAAATGTCCAAAATCTGATGAAAAATGTTAATCAATACATTGGAAAAGGTCAATAACTGCAAAGGGAAAATAAATTCAAAGAAACTGAAACCTAAACACCTCATTACCAAAGTTTTTAAAGCCAGCAAGAGTGAAGGCACTTATCATGTACAAGTGATTCTAAATAAACTTAACAAGCTGATGTTTCATCAGAACCCCTGGGGGTCAGGAAGCAATAGGATGATATATTCAAAGTGCTGAAAGGAAAAGACTGTCATCAAGAATCCTATATCAGGTAAAATTTTCTTTAAAAGTAAAGGAGAGGGGCCAGGCGCAGTGGCTCACTCCTGTAATCCCAGTACTTTGGGAGGCCAAGGCAGGAGGATTACTTGAGCCCAGCAGTTCAAGACCAGCCTGACCAACATAGTAAGATCTTGTCTCTAAAAAAAAAAAAAAAAAAAAAATTAAATGAGGTGGGAGGATCGCTTGAGCCCAGGAGGTCAAGGGTGCAGTGAGCCAGGATCATGCCACTGCACTTCCACCTGGGTGTCAGAGCAAGATCTTGTCTTAAAAAAACAAGTAAAGGAGGAATTAAGATAAGACACTCCAAGAAAAAAAAACTGAGTTTATTGCTACCATACTCATCCTACAAGAAATGATAAATGGAGCCTTCAGACTGAAACAAAGGTAATTAGGCAATAATCATGTTAAAAAGGAAGCAAAGAATCTGAATAGACCTGTATCAATCAAAACAAGATATTTAAATAGTCAAAAAGTATATTTAAAAATTCTCAACATCACTAATTATCAGGGAAAAGCAATTCAAAACCACAATGAGATATATCACCCCAGTTAGAATACCTATTATAAAAAAGACAAAATAAATGTTGGCTAAGATGCAAAGAAAAGAGAATTCTTGTGCACTGTTGGTGGAAATGTAAATTAGTAAATCCATTATAGAAAACACTATAGAGGTTTCTCAAGAAAACTAAATATACAACTACCATATGATCCAGGAATCCCACTACTGTGTATTTATTCAAAGGGAAGGAAATCTACTGATTTTGATTGCATCAAAGGGTGCAGTTAATACCCTCATATTAATTGCAGTACTAATCACAACAACTAAGTGATAAAATCAACCCAAGTGTCTATCAGTGAATGAATAAATAAAGAAAATGTGGTATATATACATATATATATATATATATATATATATATATATATATATACACACACACACACACACACACAAAATACTATTCAGCCATTAAAAGAAAGAAATCCTGTTAACATGGATGGAAATGGAGATCATTATGTTAAGCAAAACCAAACACAGAAAGACAAATATCACATGTTCTCACTCATATGTGGGAGCCAAAAAAGATGAATTCATGGAGGTAGCGGGTATAATGATAGTTGCTAGAGGTTGGGAAGAGTTGGGGGGGCTGCAAATACAGGTTGGTTAATAGGTAAAAACATATAGTTAGATAGCAAGTGTAAGTTCTAGTGTTTGATGGAACAGTAGAGTGACTATAGTTAACAATAATTTATTATGTATTTCAATATAGTGAGAAGAGAAAATTTGAAATATTCCTAATACAAAGAAATAATAAATGTTTAAGATGAATAACTATCCTTATTTGATCATTACACAATGCATGCATGTATCAAAAATCTCATTTACCCCATAAATATGTAAAATTATTTTGTATCAATAAAAATAAATTTTTAAAGAAATACAGGAAGTAAAGACCTCTGATAAAGGTAACTATATAGGTAAACGGAAAAGGGAGTGTAAGTGTACTTTTTGTTTCTAACTTTTTTGTCGTATCTGATTTTTTAAAAATAACTGGATAAAGCAATAATTATAAATCTATGTTGTTAAGCATACAATGGATAAATATTTAATTTATGGAAAATAACAGCCAAAGGAAGTAGGTGGCAGAGAATGAAGTTCATAGGAGCAACAATTTTATATATTATTGAATTTAAGTTGATACTATCTGAACCAGATTGTTATATGTTAAAGTGTTATTTTTAAATTCCAAGAAAACCACTAAAAAAACTCAAAGGAAGTAGTAAAAGAAATGATGAGGGGATAAAATTGCTAAACTAGAAAATGTCTACTTAACACAAAAGAACTCAGTAAGAAGAGTAGAAAAAAGTATAATACATATAAAAAACAAATAGCAAAATGCTATGTGTAAATTCTACCTTATCAGTAATTACATAAAATATAAATGGATTAAATAATTCAAATCAAAGGCAGAAAATGACGGACTGGACTAAAAAACACCAAGATTCAAATATGTATTGTCTATCAGGATAGGCTTTTTAGATTCAAAGTACAAATAAGCTGAAAGTAAAAGGATGGGAAAAGATATTCCATGCAAAAAGTTACCAACAGAGAGCTAAAATGGCTAAACTATTATCAGACAAAATAGACTTCAGGGTAAAAATTGTTACTGGAAATAAAGACTAAAGATAAAGCAGTAAATCCATCAATAATATATAACAACTCTAAACAAATATGCACCTAACAATAGAGTCCCAAAATACATGAAGCAAAAACTGACAGAATTGAAGGGAGATGCCACTATGAAAACGCAATTAATTATACACACCATTGACATGAAAAAATAACCATACAGTCAGGTCTACATAACAACCAGCCAACAGCACAATGGCAGGATCAAATGTTCACATATCAAAACTGACCCTGAGTGTAAATGAACTAAATGCCCCATTTAGGCATAGAGTGGCAAGCTGGACATCAAAGCAAGATGCAACGTCTGCTATCTTCCCATCTCACAATTAAGAACACCTATAGGTTCAAAATAATGGGATGGAGAAAGGTCTATCATGCAAACAGAAAACAAAAAAGAGTGTGCATAACGATTGTTATGTAAGATAAAACAGACTTTAAAGCAACAATAATCAAAAGGGACAAAGAGGAGCATTAAATAATCATAAAAGTCTCAATTAAACAAAAAGACTTGATCCTAAACATATACTCATTCAACATTGGAGCACCAAAATTCATCAAACAAGTTCTTAGAGATCTATGAAGACATCTGAGCAACCGCACAATCATACTGGGAAACTTCAACACCCCAGTAACAGCATTAGATAGATCACTGAGGCAGAAAACTAAGAAAGATATTCTGGACTTAAACTTGACACTTGACCAATTGGACATAATAAACATCTACAGAATACTCCACCCAACAACAATAGAATATACAACATATACACATGGCACATACTGTAGCCATAAAGCCAGTCTCAATAAATTCAAAATAATAAAATTAAAATTATAACAACTGGTGCAATCAAAGACCTCAGAGCAATAAAAATAGAAGTAAATACAAAGAAGATCGATGAAAACCACACAATTACACGGATGCTAAACAACCTGCTTCTGAATGACTTTTGGGTAAAGAAAGAAATTAAGGCAGAAATCAAACATTATTTGAAACTAGTGAAAATAAAGACACAACATACCAAAATCTTTGGGACACAGCTAAAGCAGTTTTAAGAGAAAACTTTATAGAATTAAACACCTATATTAAGAAGTTAGAAAGATCTCAAATTAATAACCTAACATCACACCTAGAGTAACTAGAAAAACAAGAGCAAACAAACACCAAAGACAGAAGAGGAGAACAAATAACCAAAATCATATTAAACTGAATGAAACTGAGATGTGAAAATCCATACAAAAGATCAACAAAATAAAATCTTGTTTATTTGAAAGATTAAATATCAATGACAAACCACTAGCTACATTAATTTAAAAAAGAGAAGATCTAAATTAACACAATCGGAAATAACAAGGGGGACATTACAACTAATCCCATAGAAATACAAACAACTCTTAGAGACTACTACTAAGAACACAACTATGAATGCAAACTAGAAAACCTAGAAGAAATGGATAAGTTCCTATAAACACAGATCCTCCCATGATTGAACCAGGAAGAAATTAAAATTCTGAATAAACCAATAATAAGTTCCAACATTAAATTACTAATAAGAAGCTTACCAACCCCTCCCTCCCCCAACACACACACACACACACACACACACACACAAACACACACACACAAACTTAAAAAAAACTCTGCACAAGATGAATTTACATCCAAATTCTACCAGATGCATAATGAATAGCAAGTCCCAATCCTTCTAAAATTATTTCAAAAAATCAAGGAGAAATATCTCCTCCCTAACTCATTCTATAAAGCCAGCATCATGCTGATACCAACACCTAGAAGAGACACAACAAAAAAAAGAAAACTTCAGGCCAACATCTCTGATAAACATAGACACAAAAATTCTCAACAAAATATTAGCAAGCCTAATCCAGGAACACATTGAAAAGCTAATTCACTGTGATTAAGTAGGCTTTATTGCTGAGATACAAAGTGGGTTAACATGTGCAAATCAATAAATGTGATTCCCATATAAACAGAAACCACTTCATCATCTGAATAGATGCTGAAAAAGTCCTTTGATAAAATTCAACATTGCTTCATATTAAGAACCCTCAAAAAATTAGGAATCAAAATAATAAAAGCCATCTATGAAAAACCCATAGCCAATGTCATACTGAACAAGTAAAAACTAGATGCATTCTTCTTGAGAACTGGAACAAGACAAGAATTCTTATTCTTACCATACTTACTCAACGTAGTACTAGAAGTGATAACCAGAGCAGTCAAGCAACAGAAAGAAATAAAAGCATTGAAATCAGGAAAGAGGAAGTCAAACTATCTCTCTTCACAGACTATATAATTCCATACTTAGAAATTTCCATACAATCCACAAGAAGATTTCTAGAACTAATAAGTGACTTCAGGACACAAAATCAATGTACAAAATGTACAAATTTTGTACAATGTACAAAAATTAGCATTTCTATACACCAAAATGTCCAAGCTCAGAGCCAAATCAAAAATACAATTCCATTTATTGAAATACAGTAGGCACTAACAGAATAAAGTATCTAGGAATAGAGCTTACCAAGGAGGTGAAAGATCTCATAAGATTACAAAACACTGCTGAAAGAAATCAGAGATGACACAAACAAATGGAGAAACAGTCCATGATCATGGATAGGAAGAATAAATATAGTTAAAATGGCCATGCTGCCCAAAGCAATCTAGAGATTCAATGCTATTCCTATCAAGTTATCAACATCAATTTTTATGGAATTAGTAAAAACTATTCTAAAAATTTATATGAAACCAAAAAAGTGCTTAAATCTCCAAAGCAATCCATAGTAAAAAGAACAACCTGGAGGCATCCCACTATCTGACCTCAAATGATACTACAAGGCTAGAGTAACCAAAGCAGTGTGATACTGGTTCAAAAACACACATCAACCAAAGGAACGGAATAGAGAACCCAGAAATAAAGCCACACACCTACAACTTCCTGATCTTCAACAAAGTTGACAATAACAAACAATGGGGAAAGACTTCCCTATTCAATAAATGATACTGGGAAAAATGGCTAGCCATATGCAGACAATTGAAACTTGACTCCATCTTTTACAGTATACAAAAATTAACTCAAGATGGATTAAAGACTTAAATGTAGACATAAAACAATAAAAATCTTTTTTAAAAACCTAGAAAATACCATTCTGGATATCAGCCTTGGCAAAGAAGCGATGACTAAGTCCCTAAAAGCAGTTGTTATAAAAATTACATTGACAAGTGAGATCTAATAAAATTTAAGAGTTTCTGCACAGCAAAAGAAACTATAAACAAAGTTAACAGACAACCCACAGAATGGGAGAAAATATTCACAAACTATGCATCTGACAAAGGCCTAATATCCAGAATCTATAATGAACTTAAACAAATCAGAAAGCAAAAAATAAATAACTCCATTTAAAAAATGAGCAAAGGACACTTGAGCAAGGGACACGAACAGATACTTCTTAAAAAAAGACATACATGCAGCTAAAAAATATATTTTTTAAATGCCATCTAAACTAATCATTAGATAAATGCAAATTGAAACCACAATGAGATACCATCTCACATCTGTCAGAATGGTGGTTATTAAAAAGTCAAATAACAACAGATGCTGGCAAGGTTGAAGAGATAAGAGAACACATACACTGCTGGTGGGAATGTAAATTATTCACCCACTGTGGAAAGCGGGGTGGAGACTTTTAAAGAACTTAAAATAGAACTGCTATTTGATCCAGTAATCCCATTATTGGGTATATATATAAAGTAAAATAAATTATTCTACCAAAAAGACTTATGCAGTATACACAATAGCAAAGACATGGAATCAACCAAGGTGCCCATCAATGGTGGACTGGATGTAGAAAATATAGTACATACACATCAAGGAATACTACATACCCATAAAAATAAATGAAATTATATACTTTTCAGCAACATGGATGCAGCTGAAGGTCATTATGCTAAGTGAACTAATGCAGGAACAGAAAACCAAATACCAAATCTCACTTGTAAGTGGGAGCAAAACATTGAATACACATGGACACAAAGATGGAACAAAAGATACTGGGGACTGCTTGAAGGGAGAGGGTAGCAGTGAGAGTGGGTTGGATAACTACATAGTGGGTACTATGCTCACTAATTTGGTGGTGGGATCATTCATACACCAAGCCTCAGCAACAAGCAATTTACCCATATAACAAATTTGCACATGTACCTGGAAAATAAGTTTAAAAAAAAAGAATTGAAGGGAGAAATAGACCAAAAAAATTAATAGTTCCAGAATTTAATGCTTCACTTTCAATAATGTATAGAACAACTAGACAGAAGATCAAAAGAGAATAGATCACATAACCAATACTATAAACCAAATAGACCAAACAGACCCATATAGAACGTGGAAAACTAACAAGAGCATAATATAAAGCCGTATTAAGTACACATGAAACATTCTGTAGGATAAATGATATATTGGTCTACAAAAACAACTCTAAATCAAGTTAAAAGAATTGAAATTTTGAAAGCATGGCTTCAATCACTAAAAATAATATAAATCAATAATAGAAGTACATTTGCAATTCAATATGGACGTTAAGCAACACACTGCTAAACAATAGGCCAAAGAGTAAGTCACAATGGAAATTAGAAAATATAGTGAGATGAATTAAACAAAAATACAACACACCAATATGTATAGCATGCAGCTAAACCACAACTTAGAGGAAAATTTATGGCAGCAAACACCCAGATTTGAAAAAAAGAAAAATCTTAAATAATCATTCATCTTAGGAAGTTAGAAGTAAGAAAGCGAACTAAGCCCCAAGTAAGCAAAAGAAAGAAAATAATAAGAGTTTCAATGCAAATAAGTCATATCGAGAATATAAAAGCATTAGAGAAAGTATGCAAAGCTAAAAGGTGGTTCACTGAAAGGTGAACAAAAATGTTGAAGCCAAAGCTAGATTGACCAACAGAAAAATAAGAAATTGTTTCATTACTAAAATCAGAAATGAAAGAGTGGGCATTAATACTGACTTTTAGAAACAATATTATTAACAATTACATGCTGAAAAATTAGATAATTTAAATGAAATTCATACGTTCCTAAAAAGACAACACAAACTATTGAAACTAACATAAAAAGAAATTGAAAATCAATATAGACCTATAACAAGTATAAAGATTGAAATAGTAATTAAAAGAATTCTCACAAACAAAATCCCAAGACCAGTGGTCACTGGTGAATTCTATCAAGTATTTAAAGAGGAACAAACACCATTCCCCCCAAACTCTTATAAAAAGTAAAAGAGAAAGGAAGGTTTTCCAATTCATTCTATCAAATTATTAATAGCCTAATAATAAATTCAGACAAAGGCATCTACAAACCAAAAGAAAACGATAGAACAATATCTCTTATGAATATAGATGCAAAACCTTCAAACAAATATCAGCATTTCAAATTCAGCAATATGTAAAAAGGATAACATACCATGACCAAATGGAATTTATCCCTGGAAAGCAAATTTATTTCAACATACAAAGATCAATCAATGTAATACACTATATTAATGGAATAAAAGACTAAAATCACATGTTCATCTCAATAGATAATAGACAAAAGAAAACATATTTCAAAAACTATAGCAAAAGTATTTGACAAAAATAAAACACTCATTATTAGGAAAAAAGTAACTAGAGATAAAGGGAACTTTCTTAATTAGAAAATGGAAGTAAATAAAAAACCCATAACAGCATGCTTAGCAGTGAAATACTGAAGTATCTCTCCTCATGATCAGGAGGAGACAAGAATCTTCACTCTCACCACTTCTATTCAACTTTGTGCTAGAGGCCCTAGGGAAGACAACTAGAAAAGAAAAGGCCAGGTGCAGTGGCTCATGCCTGTAATCCCAGCGTGTTGGGAAGCTGAGGCGGGCAGATCACGAGGTCAAGAGATCGAGACCATCCTGGCCAACATGGTGAAACACTGTCTCTACTAAAAATACAAAAATTAGCTGGGTGTGGTGGCCGGCGCCTGTAATCCCAGCTACTCAGGAGGCTGAGGCAGGAGAATCGCTTGAACCCAGGAGGCAGAGGTTGCAGTGAGCCAAGATCCCACCACTGCACTCTAGCCTGGTGACAGAGTGAGACTCCATCTCAAAAAAAAAAAAAAAAAGGAAAAGAAAAATAATTAAAAGGCATGCATTCCAACTGGAAATAATGAATTGAAACTGTTTCTATTTGCAGATGACATAATCTTGTAAATGGAAATTTATTTAAAAATTACTGAAAAATTATTAGAGCTACTATTATTAGACTGTTTGGTGCTAGTCTAAAGATTAACATGAAGCTCAGTGAAATAGAATTGGGAGTTCAGAAAATATCCCAGACACTATGGCAACTTGGTTGTTGGCTATGGTGCCAAGAATAGTCTTTTGAACAAATGTTGAGGACAACAAAATAGACACATGCAAAAAAATTAATTTGGACCCCTACCTCACATCTTATATAAAATTAACTCAATTTGGACAAAAGTCCTAAATCTAATAGTTACAATTATAAAAATTTAAAAATAAAAAATAATGTTAAATATTTGTGGCCTTGAATTAAGCAGTTGTTTCTTAGATATAGCAACAAATCAGAAGCAATGAAAGAGAAAAAAATGATAAATTGGCTTTTCTCAAAATTAAAACAGTTGTACTTGAAAGATACCATCAGTAAATTACAAAAGTAAACCACAGAATAAGAGAAAGTATTTGCAAATTATATATCTGATAAGAAAGTTATATCAAGAATATGTAGAGGGCTTTTACAACTCAACAATAAACTACAAATAATTTAAAATTTTTTCAAAGGATTTAGACATTTCTCCAAAGAAGGTTTATTTTTAATGGCAAATAAACGCATGAATAGGCTTTTTAACATCACTGGTCATCACAAAAATCACACTAAAATGTGATGGCACTTCACACCTACTATAATACCAAAATCAGGAAAGGACATAACAAAAAAGAAACTATACACCAACATCCCTGAATAACAGAGATGCAAAAATCCTCAACAAAATACTAGCTAATCAAATCTAGCAGCATATCAAAAAGATAATCCAACATGATCAAGTGGGTTTCATACCAGGGATGATTAACATACACAAGTCAATAAGTGTGATCCACTTCATAAAAAGAATTAAAATAAAAAATCACATGATCATCTCAATAGATGCAGAAAGAGCATTTGACAAAATCCAGAATCCTTTTATGATTAAAACCCTCAGCAAAATCAGCATAGGAGAAATATACTTTAAGGTAATAAAAGACATCTATGACAAACCCACAGCCAACATTATACTGAATGGGGAAAAGTTGAAAGCATTTCCCCTGAGAACTGGAAGAAGAAAAGGATGCCCACTTTCACCACTTCTATTCAGCATAGTATTGGAAGTCCAACCAGAGCAATCAGACAAGAGAGAGAAATAAAGGGCATCCAGATTGGTAAACAGAAAGTCAAACTGTCGCTGTTCACCAATGATTTAATCATATACCTAGAAAATCCTAAAAATCTCACCAGGCCAGGCACGGTGGCTCACACTTGTAGTCCCAGCACTTTGGGAGGCCGAGGTGGGTGGATCACCTGAGGTCTGAAGTTTGAGACCAGCCAGGCCAACATGGTGAAACCCCATCTCTACTAAAGATACAAAAAATTAGCCAGGCATGGTGGCAGGCACCTGTAATCCCAGTTACTGGGAGGCTGAGCCAGGATAAATCACTTGAACCCAAGAGGCAGAGGATGCATTGAGCCAAGGTCATGCCATTGCACTCCAGCCTGGAAAACAAGAGTGAAACTCTGTCTCAAAATAAAATAAAATAAAATAAAATAAAACTCATCCAAAAAGTTCTTAGAACTGATAAATGAATTTAGTAACGTTTCAGGATACAAAATCAACGTACCCAAATCAGTAGCACTACTATACACCAACAGTGACCAAGCTGAGAATCAAATCAAGAACTTAATCCCTTTTACAATAGCTGCAAAAACAATAAGATACTTAAGAATATACCTAATCAAGGACATGAAAGACCTCTACACGAAGGAAAACTACAAAACGCTGCTGAAAGAATTCATAGGTGACAAAAACAAATGGAAACACATCCCATGATCATGGATGGGTAGAATCAATATTGTGAAAATGACCATGCTACCAAAAGCAATCTATAAATTCAATGCAATTCCCATCAAAATACCATCATCATTCTTCACGGAACTAGAAAAAGCAATCCTAAAATTCATATGAAACCAAAAAGAGCCCACATAGCTAAAGCAAAACTAAGCAAAAAGAACAAATCTGGAGGCATCACACTACCCAACTTTATAATATAAGGCTGTAGTCACAAAACAGCATGGTACTGGCATAAAAATGGCACATAAATCAATGGAACAGAATGGAGAACCCAGAAATGAAGCCAAATGCAGCCAACCAATCTTCAGCAAAGCAATCAAAAACAAATGGGCAAAGAATATCCTATTCAGCAAATGGTGCTGGGATAATTGACAAGCCACATGTAGAAAAATGAAACTGGATCCTCATCTCTCACATTATACAAAAATTAACTCAAGATGGATCAAAGACTTAAATCCAAGACCTGTAACCATTAAAACTCTATCAGATAACATTATAAAAACCCCTTCTAGATATTGGCTTTGACAAAAACTGTATCACCAAGAACCCAAAAGCAAACACAACAAAAACAAACAGATGATACTTAAACTAAAAAGCTTCTGCACAGCAAAAGAAATAATCAGCAGAGCAACCAGACAACAAACGGAGTGAGGGAAAATCTTCACAAACTATGCATCCAACAAAGGACTAATATACATAATCTACAAGGAACTCAAGCAAGTAAGAAAAAGCAATCCCATCAAAAAGTGGGCTAAGGACACTAACAGATAATTCTCAAAAGAAGATACACAAATGACAACAAACATATGAAAAAAATACTCAACATCACTAATTATCAGGAAAATGCAAATCCAAATCACAATGTGATACCACCTTACTCCAGCAAGAATGGTCATAATTTAAAAATAAAAAAAAAAGATGTTGGCATGGATGTGGTGAAAAGGGAACACTTTTACACTGTTGGTGGGAATGTAAACTAGTACAACCACCATGGAAAACAGTGTGGAGATTCCTTAAAGAACTGAAAGTAGATGTACCAATGGATCTGGCAATCCCACTCCTGGGTATCTACCCAGAAGAAAGGAAGTCATTACACAAAAAAATACACTTGCACATGCATATTTACAGCAGCACAATTCACAATTGCAAAAATATGGATTTTTTTCAGCCCAAATGCCTATCAGTTAATGAGTGGATAAAGAAATATGGTGTGTGTGTGTGTGTGTGTGTGTGTGTGTATGTATATATATACACACACCATATATATATACACACACCATATAAAGAAAATATGGTGTGTATACACACACACACACACACACACACACACACACCATATTTCTTTATCCACTCATTAACTGATAGGCGTTTGGGCTGAAACGCCATTATATATATGGGCTACACACACCATATATATAATGCAATTTTTTCATTCCTTTTTATGGCCAAGTAGTATTTCATTTTATATATATATATACATATAGCATATACATATACATAATGCATATGATATATATTATCATATATATGTATATATGTATACATATACATAATGTATATACTTCAATATATATACATGTAAAGAAATACTACTTGACCATAAAAAGAAATGAAAAAATGGCATTTACAGAAATCTGGATGGATTGGAAACTATTATTCTAAGTGAAGTAACTTGAGTGGAAAACCAAGCATTGTATATACACACTTTTAAGTGGGAGCTACGATATGAGGATGCAAAGGCATAAGAATGATACAATGGACTTTGGGGACTCAAGGGGAAGGGTGGAGGGGAGGAACAAAAGAGTACACATTGTGCATTGTGTACAGTGTACACTGTTTTGGTGATGGGTGCACCAAAATCTTAGAAATCACTACCAAACAACTAAACCATGTAAGGAAACACCACCTGTTCCCTAAAAATCTATTGAAATAATACATAAATAATAAATAAATAAATAAATTACCTGTCTGAGATATTCTATAATGGCAGCAGAAAACACACAAAGATAGAAAATTGGTACTGAGAAGTAGGACTGTTACTAACAAATATGTGAATATGTGAAAGTGGTTTTGGAACTTGGTAATTGGTAGAGGTTGAAATAATTTAGAGTACCAAGCTAGAAAAAGCCTAGATTGCTGTGAACAGATTATTAAGGGCAATTCTTTTGAGAGCTCAGAAGATTACCTCAGAACTATGGAAAGTCTGAATCTTCTTAGGGATTACTTAAGTGGTCATGACCAAAATGCTGGTAGAAATAAGGACAGTAAAGGCCATTCTGTGAGGTCTCAAGCAGGAATGAGAAACAAGGTATTGGAAACTGAAGTAAAAGCTATCTTTGTTATGAAGTAGCAAAGAACTTGGTGGAATTATGTCCATGTCCCATGGCTTTATGGAATGCAGAAATTAAGAGTAATGAACTAGAATATCTCTGGAAGAAATATCTAAACAGCAAGGCATTCAGGCTACTGAGTGGCTACTTCTAACCACATAAGTGACATGTGAGAGCCAAAGAATGAATTAAAGATGGAATTTATAATTAAGAGGGAAGCAGAGTGTAAAGATTTGGAAATTTTGAACCCTGGCCATGTAAAGAATTAAAAATAATGTGTTCAGGAGAGCAAACAACGTGTGGAGCCAAATGACTATTTGCTGAAGAGATTACCATGAATAAAAGAGTGCTAGGTGTTATTCATCAACACAGTGGAAGAAAAACTTAAAGGTATTTTAGAGATCTTCAAGACTGGCTCTCCCATCATAGGTCCAGAGCACTAAAACATTAGAATGGATTCAGGGGACCACACCAAGAGAATCTTCCACAGGCTCATTTCCCAGAAGAACCTGGGTCTCTGTTCCCTGCATTCCAGCACATCACTTCTCAGCCACCACAGCCATGGCTCAAATGGGCCTAGGTGCGGCTCAATCCACTGTTTCAGAAGGCACAAGCTATAAACATTAGAGGTCTCCATGTGGTGCTAATTCTGTAGGAATGCAGAACGCAAGAGCTGCAGGGGCATGGCTTTTTCCATCTATATTTCAAAGGATGTCATGAACAGCTTGAGAAACCAGGTAAAGACTTGTTACAGGGGCAGAGCCACTACAGAAAGCCCTGACTAGGGCAATGACAAGCAAAATTGTGGGGCCTGGAGCCACCACATACAGGCCCAATTAGGGCAATGCCTCATGGAGCTGTGGGAGTGGGGCCACTCTCAAGACCCCAAAACTGTAGAGCTACCACCTTGCAGCATCATCCTGGGAGAGCTGCAGGCCTGGGATTTCAACTCATGAGAGCTATTGTGTGGACTGAGCCCAGCATAGCCATGGTGGTAGAACTTCCTGAGGCCTTGGGACTTTCAAACTCATTAAAATGTGACCAGGATGCGTGATAGGGAATCAACAAAGATGACTTTCCAGCTTTCAGGCTTTAGTGTTGTGCACCTTATTGGGATTTGGACTTACTTGGGACCTGTGACTCCTTTTGTTTTGCCTATTTCTCCCTTTGGAATGGGAATGTCTATCCTATGCTTGTCACACCATTGTATTTGAGAAGTATTAACTTGTTAATTTCACAGGCTCACAGCAGAAGAGGAATTTGCCTCAGGATGAATCATGCCTCCAATCTAACACGTATCCCATTGGATAAATCTAAACTTTGAACTTTTGAGTTGATGCTGGAATGACAAGACTTTTGGAATTATTGAGATGGATTAAATGTCATTTGCATTTAAATAAATACAAAGAACATAAATTTGGGTGACCAGGGAAAGAATGCTATAGTTTGAATGTGTCTCCCAAAGTTCTTGTGTTGGAAAGTGATACCTAATAAAAGGTGATTAGGTCATGAAGGCTCTACCGTTATAAATGGGTGTGATGGTTAATACTGAGTGTCAACTTGATTGGATTGAAGGATGAAAAGTATTGATCTTGGGTGTGTCTGTGAGGGTGTTGCCAAAGGAGATTAACATTTGAGTCAGTGGGCTGGGAAAGACAGACCCACTCTTAATCTGGGTGGGCATCATCTAATCAGCTACCAGCAGAGCTAGAATATAAAGCAGGCAGAAAAACGTGAAAAGGCTAGACTGGCCTAGCCTCCCAGCCTACATCTTTCTCCCATGCTGGATGCATCCTGCCATCGAACATCAGACTCCAAATTTCTTCAGTTTTGGGACTCAGACTTGCTCTCCTTGCTTCCCAGCTTGCAGATGGCTTATTGTGGGACCTTATGATCATGTGAGTTAATACTTAATAAACTCCCCTTTACATATATATAAAATAGGATATAAATATATCCTATTATTAATAAACTATCCTTTACATGTATATATAGATGTTTATTAATAATAAGATATATATATATATATATATATATATATCCTATTATTTCTGTCCCTCTAGAGAACTCTAATACAATGGGCTAATGTCATTGCTATTGGAGCAGGTTAATTATCACAAAAGTGGATTTGTTATAAAAGTGAGTTTGACCCCCTCTTTCCCTCTTGCTTTTTCATAATCCCTTTCTCTTTTATGCTCTCTTGCTCCTCCACTTTCTACCATGGTATGACACTGCATGATAGCCCTTTCCAGATGACAATACCTTGATGTTGAACTTCCCAGGTTCTAGAAGTATGGGAAAAAATTTATTTTCTTTATAAATTACCCAGTTTCAGATATTCTGTTGTAGCAGTACAAAACAGACTAAGACAGTATCCATCAAAAACATATATCAAATGACATATAAAGCTCACTAAAATGCCTATAAACAAATGATGGCACTTCATAAAATATCACCCACATACCAGTTGTTAGAAACATGTGACAAAATATCATGGGGGAGGAGAGGTTGAGACATAGAAACAAACTTCAGGTCATATAAATATTAGAGTTTCAAATCGGCACTTTAAACTAATTCTGATTAATATATTAGAATAAATTACAAGTGGGAAATTGTATCAGAGGACTCATACTGATAAAGAAGAGCAAATATAAATTTTAAAACCTAAAATTATTATAAATGAAAATGACAATGTAGTATATCAGATTAAAAACAGATGAAATTCAGCAGATAAAAGCATTAGTGAATTGATGATAATTTAATAGAATATATTCAGACTGAAGTACAGAGATAGCAAAGTATGACCAATAAAGACAAGACAGAAAAAGACATGTGGGTTACAGTCAGAAAATTGAGAAGACTTGTAGAAGTTTCAAAAAGATAGAAAAAAATTAATGGGTTAAAAACAATAGATGAAAATATACTGTCCAAGAATTTTCCAAAATTGATGGAAAAAACCAGACACTTAGAATTTTAGGTAGCTCAATGAATTGTATTAGGTTGGTGCAAAAGTAATTGCAACTTTTGCCATTACTTTCAATGGCAAAAACACAATTACATTTGCACCAACCTAACAACAACAACAACAACAAAGTACAAAGAAAACCAAACCTAGGCAAAAAGCCAACCTGCTAAAAACTAAATATAGAGAAGAAAATCTTGTAAGCAGCCAGAGAGAAAAAATACAGACATATGAACTTCAAAGAACAATAATCAACTCATCGCTTACTTTCCAACAAAAATGATGGATGCCAGAAAAATAAAAAGCCATTTCTTCTAAGTGCCAGAAGAAAAACACTTCCAAACTAGAATTCTATATGGAGTGATAATATTCTACAAAAATTAATGTACAACAAAGATATTGACAGCAAAAAGGAACACTGGAAGAATTTATTCCCTGCAGAACCCTCCTAACTAGAAGACTTACTAAAGGAACAAAGTAAATTCTTTTGGCAAAAGAGTAATGATGTCCAATGGAAGTTTAAAAAATAAATGCTGAACAAAGAAAATGGTATATATGTGGTTAAACATAAATATTGACTGTACTGCACAATGATATTATTTAATATAATATAATATAATATAATATAATATAACATTGGTGTATGACTAGAACATATGCCCCAAAGCACTTTAGTAGACAGATAAATGGACTTAAGTGTTCTAAGTTTCTTGCTTTGACAATAAAGAAGTAAATGTTCAATTTATTTTAAGCTTTAATTAGTTAAGGATTCATGCTATAATACCTTGGGTAACCATTGTGAAAATAATTAAAAAATTTATAACTACAAAGTCAACAGTGTAGAAATACAGAAATAGGATTAATAATTTATTAATCCTAAAAGAAAACAAGAGGGGAAAAAAAGGAAAAATGGTGCAATGAAAAATAGTATGATGACAGATTTAAACTCAAATATATCTGTAATCATATGTAAGTAGATTAAATTCTCAAATTAGATTTTAAAACTATATTGCATAAATTTAAGAACACAGAAAAGTGGAAGATAATATAATGAAAAACATATTGGATGAAAAAACTAACCAAATAAAAGCTGATATTGCTGTACTAATATTAGTCACAGGACACTTTAACATAAAAACCTTATTAGGTATGACAAGAATATTCATTATTAAGTATAAAAGTGAATAATGAGAGGTTGCTTTATCCACAAAGGTATTATAATCTTTATGTACCTAATAACCTAATTTCAGTAGTTAAAACAGATATAGGGAAATCCAAAATCATAGGGAAAGATTTTCACACGTATTCTTTAGTATTTAATAAAAAGAAAAAATTTGTTGATGAAACTCAATTCAATTGACACATATGGAATACTGCACCCAACAAAGGCAGAGTACATATTCTTGTCACTTGCACACAGAATATTTACCAAATGTAACCAGGTATTTAAACATAAGAAAATGCTCAATGTTCCTTTCTGACCAAAGTAGAATTGAACTAAAAATTTGTTTAAAAAAATGTATATATATATACATATATATATATACACACACACATATATATGTAGATAGATAGATAGATAGATAGATAGATAGATAGATAGATATAGATGTAGATATCTAGATATATCTCCAGAAAAACCTCAAGGTGTGTGTGTGTGTGTGTGTGTGTGTGTGTGTAACCAGAAAAACCTCAAATGTATGGATGTTTTTTCATGTGGTTGTTTTTTTAGAGATAAAGTCTTGATCTATTTTCCAGGCTGAGTACAGTGGTGTGATCATAGAAGCCAGATAATTATTCTTTTTCTAAACTTTTATTTTATGTCCAGGGTACATATGCAGGTTTGTTATATAAGTAAACTTAGGTTATGAGGGTTTTTTGTACAGATTGCTTCATCACCCAGGTACTAAGCCTAATACACAATATTTATCTTTCCTAATGTTCTCCCTCCTTCCACCCTCTGCCCTCAAGTAGGCCACAGTTGCCTGTCCTTGCCCTCTTTGTGTCCATGTATTTTCATCATTAAGCTCCCACTTATAAATGAGAACATGTGGTATTTGGTTTTCCGTTTCTGTATTAGTTTGCTAAGGGTAATGGCTTTCAGCTCTATCCATGTTCCTGCAAAGGACATGCTCTCATTCTTTTTTATGGCTGCATAGTATTCCATGGTGTATATGTACCACATTTTCTTTATCCAATCTTCCATTGATGGCTACTTAGGTTGATTCCATATCTGTGCTATTGTGATTAGTACTGCAATAAACATGTGCATGTGTCTTTATAGCAAGATGACTTATATTCCTTTGGATATATACCTAGTAATGAGATTGCTGAGTGAAATGGCAGTTCTGTTTTCAGCTCTTTGAGGAGTTGCCACACTGCTTTCCATAATGGTTGAACTAATTTCCATTCCCACCAAGAATGTGTAAGAAAGTCTGTTATTTTTTGACAGTTTAATAGTAGCCATTCTGACTGGTGTGAGATGGTATCTCATTGTGGTTTTGACTTATATTTTTCTGATGATCAGTGATGTTGAGCTTTTTTTAATATGCTTGTTGGCCTCATGTATGTCTTCTTTTGAAAAGTGTCTGTTCATGTCCATTGCCCATTTTTTAATCTGGTTGTTTGTTTTTTTTTCTTGTAAATTTGTTTACGTTTCATATAGATGCTGGATATTAGACCTTTGTCAGATGCATAGCTTGTGTTTTTTTCCCACTCTATAAATTGTTTAAGCAGGGTTAGTTCAACATATGAAAATCAATAAACATAATTCATCAAATAAACAGAACTAAAGACGAAAACCACATAATTATCTCAATAGATGCAGAAAAGGCTTTTGATAAAATTCAACATCCTTTTATGTTAAAAACTCTCAATAAACTAGGTACTGTAGGAACATACCTCAAAATAATAAGAGTCTTTTATGACAAACCCACAGCCAACATCATACTGAATCAGCAAAAGCTGGAAGAATTAGCCTTGAAATCCAGTACAAGACAAGGATGTCATCTCTCACTACTCCTATTCAGCATACTATCAGAAGTCCTGGCCAGAGCAATCAGGCAAGAGAAATAAATAAAGGGCATCCAAATAGGAAGAGAGGAAGTCAAACTATTTTTGTTTGCAGATGACATGATTTTATATCTAGAAAACCCCATAGTCTTGCCCCAACAGCTCCTTTAGGTGATAAACAACTTCAACAAAGTTTTAGGATACAAAATCGAGGTATAAAATTACTAGCATTTCTATATACCAAAAACAGCCAACCCAAGAGCCAAATTAGAAATGCAATCCCAAGCACAACTGCCACAAAAAGAATAAAATACCTAGTAATACAGCTAACCAAGGAGGTAAAAGATCTCTACAATGAGAATTACAAACCACTGCTCAAATAAATCAAAGATGATGCAAAGAAATATATTAGGTTTGTGTAAAAGTAATTGTGATTTTGCCATTACTTTTAATTGTTTTAATAGAAACATTCCATGCTTATGGATAGGAAAAATCACTATCATTAAAACAGCCATACTGCCCAAAGCAATTGACAAATTCAATGCTATTCCTATCAAACTACCAATGACATTCTTCTCAGAACTAGAAAAAGACTATTTTAAAATTTATATGGAACCAAAAAGGAGCCCAAGTAACCAAGGCAATCCTAAGCAAAAAGAACAAAGCTGGAGGTATCATGTTAACTGACTTCAACTCTACCACATGGCAACAGTAACAAAAACAGCATAGTACTGGTACAAAGACATATAGACCAATGGGACAGAATAGAGAGCCCAGAAATAAGGTGACACACTTACAACCATCTGATCTTTGATGATGCTGACAAAAACAAGCAATGGAAACAGGACCCCCTACTCAATAAATGGTGCTGGGACAACTGGCTAACCATATGCAGGAGTTGAAACTGGACCCCTTTCCTCAAATCATATATTAATATAAACATCAACTCAAGGTAGATTGAAGATTTAGATGTAAAACCCAAAAACTATAAGAACCCTGGGAGACAACCTAGGCAACACCATTCTGGACATAGGAACTGGCAAGAATTTCATGATGATGACACCAAAAGCCACTGTAACTGTTTTACTCCGGTCCATTTATCAAATGACTTGAAATGCTGCCAGTTTTGAGTGGGGTCCAGAACAGGAGAAGGCTCTGCAACAGGCCCAGCTGTGCGAGCTGCTCTGCCACTTGGGCCATATGACCCAACAGATCCAATGGTGCTTGAGGTGTCAGTGACAGATAGGGATGTTGTTTGGAGCCTTTGACAGGCCTCCATAGGTGAATCACAGTGGAGGTCTCTAGGATTTTGAATCAAGGCCCTGCCATCTTCTGCAGACAACTACTCTCCTTTTAAGAAACAACTCTTGGCCTGTTATTGGGCTCTGGTGGAAACTGAAAATTTGTCTATGGGTCATCAAGTCACCATGTGACCTGAACTGCCTATTGTGAACTGGGTGCTTTCTGACATATCTAGCCATAAAGTGTGATGTGCACACCAGCATTTCATCATCAAATGGAAGTGGTTTATATATGATTGGGCTCCAGCAGGTCCTGAGGGCACAAGTAAGTTACATGAGTAAGTGACTCAAATGCCCATGGTCCCCACTCCTGCCATCCTGCCTTCTCTTCCCCAGCCTGCACCAATGGCCTCATGAGGTGTTCCCTATGATCAGTTGACAGAGGAAAAGAAGACAAGGGCCTGGTTTACAGATGTCTTTGCATGATATGAAGGCACCACCCAAAACTGGACAGCTGCAGAAATACAGCCCCTTTCTAGGACATCCCTGAAGGACAGTGGTGAAGAATAATCTTCCCAGTGGGTAGAACTTCAAGCAGTGCACCTTGTTGTGCACTTTTCTTGGAAGGAGAAATTGCCAGATGTGCAATTATATGCTGATTCATGAGTTGTAATCAATGGTTTGGCCAAATGGTCAGGGACTTGAAAGAAGCATGATTGGAAAATTGGTGACAAAGAAATTTGGGGAAGAGATATGTGGATGGACCTCTCAGAGTGGTCAAAAACTGTGAAGATATTTGTATCCCACGTGAGTACTCAGCAGAGACTTTTAATAATTGGATAGGATGATCTGTTCTTGGACACCATTGAGCCTCTTTCCCCAGCCATCCCTGTCATTGCCCAATGGGCCAATGAACAAAGTGGCCATGGTGGCAGGGAGGGAGGTCACACATGCACTTAGCAACATGAACTTCCACTCACCAAGGCTTACCTGGCTAAGGCCACTGCTGAGTGCCCAATTTGCCAGCAGCAGAGACCAACACTGAGCCCTCAATATGGCACCATTCCTCAGGGTAATCAACCAGCTACCTGGTGACAGATTGATTATATTGGACCTCTTCCATCATGGAAAGGGCAGTGGTTTGTCCTCACTGGCATAGACACTTACTCTGGATATGTGTTTGCCTATCCTGCATGCAATGCTTCTGCCAAGACTACCAGCCATGGACTCATGGAATGCCTTATCCATTGTCATGGTATTCCACGTAGCATTGCCTCTGACCAAGGCACTCACTTTATGGCTAAAGAAGTGTAGCAATGGGCTCATGCTGACAGAATTCACTGGTCTTACCATGTTCCCCATCATCCTGAAGCAGCTGGATTGATAGAATGGTGTAATGGCCTTTTGAAGTCTCAATTACAATGCCAACTAGGTGACAATACTTTGCAGGGCTGGGGAAAAGTTCTCCAAAAGTCTGTGTATGTTCTGAATCAGCGTCCAATATTGGTACTGTTTCTCCCATAGCCAGGATTCATGGGTCCAGGAATCAAGGGGTGGAAGTGGAAGTGGCACCACTCACCATCACCCCTAATGGCCCACTAGCAAAACTTTTGCTTCCTATTCCTGTGACATTATGTTCTGCTTGCCTAGAGGTCTTAGCTCCAGAAGGAAGAACGCTGCCACCAGGAGACACAATGGTTCCATAAACTGGAAGTTAAAATTGTCATCTGGCCATTTTGGGCTCCTCTTACCTCTAAGTCAACAGGGTAAGAAGGGAGTTACAGTGTTGACTGGATAACTGACCCAGAATATCAAGATGAAATCAGTCTACTACTCCACAATGGAGGTAAGGAAGAGTATGTTTGGAATACAGGAGCTCCCTTAGGGCGTATCTTATTATTACCATGCCCTGTGACTAAGGTCAATGGGAAACTACAACAGCCCAATCCACAAACAGCCTAGACCCTTCAGGAATGAAGGTTTGGGTCACTCTACCAGGTAAAAAACCCATGACTTGCTGAGGTGCTTGCTGAAGGCAAAGGGAATACAGAATGGGTGGCTATTATCACGTGACCAGTTGAAGAACTGAGGATTGTAATTGTCATGAGTATTTCCTCCTCATTTTGTTAAGAACATGTTTGTGCATGTATACACTTGTACTAAGAAAATATCTTCATCTTACTCCCTTTATTTTTCCTTTATCATGTGACATAAGATTTATTGACTTCATATCAACATTTAAGTGTTGTTAACTTTATGTAATAGCATTGGAGTTGGGGACTCATGCATTTCTGGTTGTACAAAGGATAGCTGTATTATGTTAGGTATAATTATGTCCTTAATATTGTCTTTATTTGAAGTTTATATATGATTTCAGGAGATGTGTATGGGTTCAAGTTAACAAGGGGTGGACTTGTGATGGTTAATATTGAATGTCAACTTGATTGGATTGAAGGATGCAAAGTATTGTTCCTGGGTGTGTCTGTGAGGGTGTTGCCAAAGGAGATTAACATTTGAGTCAGTGAACTGAGAAAGGCAGACCCACCCTCAATCTGGGTGGGCACCATTTAATCAGCTGCCAGTGTGGCCAGAATAAAAGGCAGACAGAAGAACATGAAAAGACTAAACTGGCTTAGTCTTCCACCCACCTCTTTCTGCTGTGCTGGATGCTCCCTGCCCTGAACATTGGACTCCAAATTCTTCAGCTTTGGACTCTTAGATCTTCAACCACAGACTGATGGCTGCACTGTTGGCTTTCCTACTTTTGAGGTTTTGAGACTCAGACTGGCTTTCTTGCTCCTCAGCTTGCAGGTGACCTATTGTGAGACCTCAACTTGTGATCCCTTGAGTTAATACTCCTTAATAAACTCCCCTTTATATATACATCTATCCTATTAGTTATGTCCCTCTAGAGAACGCTGACTAATCCAGCAACAAAAGCAAATATTGACAAATAGGATCTAATTAAACTTAAGCCATATACTTTTAAATAACACAATAGCTTAAGAAGATAACAAAAAAGCATTAGAAAACATATTAATTGAATGATAATTGAAATGTTACATAAAAAATAGAAAAACTTTGAGCTACACAGCTAAATCAGTTGCTTAGAAATATAGAAGTTACAATGCATAAAAGAAATAAAGTGTGGAAATTAATATAAGTATCCATCTCAAAAAGTTACTCAATAACAGCAAAATTTTTTGAATTTTCAAAGAAAATTCATAAATTGAAATAGGAAAATGACTGAAGCTGTTAATAAAAAAGATAAATGTACAATTGGGAAAATAGTAACAAATGCTTGGTCTTTGAGAAGACCAATACAATTGATAAATCCACAGCAAGGCTAATAAAAAGAAGAAATCCACAGACAATGAGTATCAAGAAGTTTTTCACAAGGGAAATCCCTGCAGATTCTAAAGACATGAAAACAATAATAAAAGTAATCTTGCAGGAAATGTAGCCAATAAATTGGACTAATTCACTTTACTACAGAAAACTGGCTTAAGAAGAAAATCTAACCCTACTTTATTAAATAAATCAAAATCGCACATAAAATGTTTTTACAAATACAGCATAAGGCCCAGATGGCTGCCTTTTAAGTTCTTTTGAAGTTTTTAAAATTAAATAGTGTCAACCTTCTAAAACTTCAGAATATATATACATATAGACACATTTTAAAAAACATATTATACACACATTAAAAAAGACAACACTTTCCAACCCATTTTATGTGTCCAGCATGAATTTGATGTCAAAAGCTGACAATAACGTGAAAAGAAGCAAAAATTTCAGACTAATCTCCCATTATTAACACAAATTCTACTTCAAATAATAGTAAATTGAATTTCATAATATATATAAAATATGAACATTTGAGTTATTCCATGAGTGCTAGTTTGGTCCAACATCAAGAAATAATACTACATAATACAATTCACTATATTATCAGCAGAAAACAAATCATGAAACCATTTCAACGTATACCATAAAACTCTTCACCATTTCAGCATCTGTAATACAAACTCTTAGCAAACTGTGGAGGAAAGGAACTTGCTTATACTGATAAAGAGTTCCCACAAAATATGTTAAACTTAATGGTAAAAAACTGAATTTAATCCATCTGAGACAGTGAACCACGCAAGAATAACTTGCTATCACCACTTCTATTTAATATTATACAAGAGATAACAGCAAGTGCAGCAGGTTAAGTAATAAAAATTATAGGTAGACATGTGAAGCAGTTTTGAACCCAAATGTCATCCAGGAGATGACTGCAGCTGATCCCAGCCAAGCCTAGAAGAACTATAGCCTACTTGCACATCCATGAGAATGAATTAATGCTCATTGTGGCAAACAATTAAGTTTTGGATTATTTTTATGTAACATTATTTCAGCTGAAACCTGAACAATGCAGCTTTCAAAGATTTAATGGACAAATGGGTAATTCTTAACTTAAACCTGTAAACTCATAAGGCCTTTGAGAAATTGAGCTAGAAATCATAAAAAGACAGGAGAATAAAATAATACTGGACAATTAATGTAAAATTATAGTATTTTAAATGAATTAATATATTTCTATTGCATGTCATTGTTCTATAATTTTTCACAATTTTTTTTCTTTTTTAAAAAACATTTACTTTAAGTTCTGGATACATGTGCAAAACATGCAAGTTTGTTACAGAGGCATACACGTGTCATGGTGGTTTGCTGCACCTATTGACCAATGCTCTAAATTCTTTCCCCTCGGCCCCCAGCCCCCAACAGGCTCTGATGTGTGTTGTTCCTCTCACTGTGTCCATGTGTTCGCATTGTTCACCTCCCACTTATGAGTGAGAACATGTGGTGTATGGTTTTCTGTTCCTGTGTTACTTTGCTGAGGATGATGGCTTCCAGCTTCATCCATGTCCCTGCAAATGACCTCATTCCTTTTAATGGCTGTGTAGTATTCCATGGTGAACATGTACCACATTTTCTTTATCCAGTCTATCATTGATGGGCATTTGGGTTGGTTCCATGAATTTGCTATTGTAAATAGTGCTGCAATAAACATATGTGTGCATGTGTGTTTAGAGGAGAATGATTTACATTCCTTTGAGTATATACTCAGTAATAGGATTGCTGGGTCAAAAGATATTTCTGGTTCTAGATCCTTGAGGAATCACCATACCGTCTTTCAAAATGGTTGAACTAATTTACATTCCCACTAACAGTGTAAAAGCATTCCTGTTTCTCCACAGCCTCGCCAGCATCTGTTGTTTCCTGACTTTTTATCAAACGCCATTCTTACTGGCATGAGATGGTATATCATTGTGATTTTGATTTCTATTTCTCTAATGATCAGTGATGTTGAACTTTTTTTTCATTTGTTTGTTGGCTTTGTAAATGTCTTCTATTGAGAAGTGTCTGTTCATATCCTTTGCCCGTTTTTTTACGGGGTTGTTTTTTTCTTGTAGGTTTGTTCAAGTTCCTTGTAAATTAGACCTTTGTCAGATGGGTAGATTACAAAAATTTTCTCCCTTTCTGTAGGTTCCGTGTTCACTCTAATGATAGTTTCTTTTGCTGTTGCAGAAGCTCTTTAGTTTAATTAGATCTCATTTGTCAATTTTGGCTTTTGTTGCAATTGCTTTTGGCATTTTCCTCATGAAATCTTTGCCCATGCCTGTGTCCTGCATGGTATTTCCTAGGTTTTATTCTAGGGTTTCTGTGGTTTTGGGTTTTATATTTAGATCTTTAATCCATCTTGAGTTAATTATTGTATAAGGCGTAAGGAAGGGGTCCAGTTTCTGTTTTCTGCATATGGCTAGCCAGTTTCCCAGCACCATTTCTTGAATAGGAGATCCTTTCTCCATTGCTTGTTTTTGTCAGGTTTGTCAAATACCAGGTGGTTGTAGATGTGTGGCATCATGTCTGAGATCTCTGTTCTGTTCCATTGGTCTATATGTCTGTTTTGGTATGAGTACCATGCTGTTTTGGTTACTGTAGCCACGTAGTATAGTGTTAAGTCAGATACCGTGATGCCTCCAGCTTTGTTCTTTTTCCTTAGGAGTGTCTTGGCTATACAGAGTCTTCTTTGATTCCCTATGAAATTTAAAGTAGTTTTTTTCCAATTCTGTGAAGAATGTCAATGGTAACTTGATGGGAATAGTATTTAATCTATAAATTATTTTGGGCAGTATGGTCATTTTTATAATATTAATTGCTCCTATCCATGAGGATGGAATGTTTTTCCACTTGTGTATGTCCTCTCTTCTTTCCTTGGGCAGTGGTTCTCCTTGAAGTAGTAATCTATTCTTTCACTTGAAGTAGTTCTCCTTGAAGAGGTCCTTCATGTCCCTTATAAGTTGTATTCCTAGGTATTTTATTTTCTTTGTAGCAATTGTCAATGGAAGTTCATTTGTGATTTGCCTCTCTGCTTGTCTATTGCTGATGTAAACAAATGCTTGTGATTTTTGCACATTGATTTTGTATCCTGAGACCTTGCTGAACTTGGTTATCAGTTTAAGGAGTTTTGGGGCTGAGGTTGTGGGGTTTTATAAATAAAAAGTTATGTCATCTGCAAACAGAGACAACTTGACTTCCTCTCTTCCTATCTGAATACCATCTATTTCTTTCTCTTGTCTGATTGCCCTGGCCAGAACTTCCAATACTATGTTGAATAGGGGTGGTGAGAGAGAACATCCTTGTTTTCAAAGGGAATGCTTCCAGCTTTTGCCCATTCAATATGATATTGGCTGTGGGTTTGTCATAAATAGCTCTTATTATTTTGAGATATGTTCCATCAATACCTAGTTTATTGAGAGTTTTTAACATGAAGGAATGTTGAATTTTATCGAAGTCCTTGTCGGCATCTATTGAAATAATCATATGGTTTTTATCTTTGATTCTGTTTATGTGATGGATTTTGTTTATTGATTTTTGTATGTTGAACTAACCTTGCATCCCAGGGATGAAGCCAACTTGTTCATGATGCATAAGTTTTTTGATGTGCGGCTGGATTTGGTTTGCCAGTATTTTATTAATGATTTTCACATAAATGTTCATCAGGGATATTGGCCAAACATTTTTTTTTATTGTGTCTCTGTCAGGTTTTGGTATCTGGCTTCATAAAATGAGTGAAGGCGGAGTCCCTCCTTTTCAGTTGTTTGGAATAGTTTCAGAAGGAATGGTACCACCTCCTCTTTGTACCTCTGTTAGAATTTGGCTTGAATCTGTCTGATCCTGGGCTTTTTTTGGTTGGTAGGCTATTGATAACTGCCTCAATTTCAAAATCTGTTTCTATTCAAAAATTTGACTTCCTCCTGGTTTAGTCTTGGGAGGGTTAATGTGTCCAGGAATGTATCCATTTCTTCTAGATGTTCTAGTTTATTTGCATAGAGGTGTTTATAGTATTCTCTGATGGTAGTTTGTATTTCTGTGCAGTCAATGGTAATATCCCTTTTTGTTTTTTAATTGCATCTATTTAATTCTTCTCTCTTTTCTTCTTTATTGGTATAGCTAGCCGTCTATCTATTTTGCTAATTTTTTCAAAAAGCCAGCTGCTGGATTCATTGGTTTTTTTGGAGGTTTATTTTGTGGGTTTTTTTGTGTTTTTGGCTCTATCTTCTTCAATTCTGATCTGATCTTAGTTATTTCTTGCCTTCTGTTAGCTTTTAGATCAGTTTGCTCTTGCTTCTCTAGCCCTTTTAATTGTGATGTTAGGGTGTCAATTTGAGATCTTTCTAGCTTTCTGACATGAGCATTTAGTGCTATAAATTTCCCTCTTAACACTGTTTTAGCTGTGTCCCAGAGATTCTGGTACATTGTCTCTTTGTTCTCATTGGTTTCAAAGCACTTCATTATTTCTGCCTTAATTTTGTTTTTTACCCAGGAGTCATTCAGGAGCAGGTTGTTCAACTTGTATGCAGTTGTTTGGTTTTGAGTGAGTGTGGTTGTTTGGTTTTAATCCTGAGTTCTAATTTGATTGCACTGTGGTGTGAGAGATTGTTTGTTATGATTTCTGTTCTTTTGCATTTTCTGAGGAGTGTTTTACATCCAATTATGTGGTCAATTTTACAGTAAGTGTCATGTGGCACTAAGAAGAATGTATATTCTCTTGATTTGGGGTGGAGAGTTCTGTAGATGTCTATTAGGTCCACTTGATCCAGAGCTGAGTTCAAGTCCTGAATATTCTTGTTAATTTTCTGTCTCATTGATCTAATATTGACAGTGGGGTGTTAAAGTCTCCCACTATTATTGTGTGGGAGTCTAAGTCTCTTTGTAGGTCTCTAAGAACTTGTTTTATGAATCTGCGTGCTCCTGTATTGGGTACATATATATTTAGGATAGTTAGCTCACCTTGTTGAATTGATCCCTTTACCATTATGTAATGCCCTTCTTTATCTTTTTTGATCTTTGCTGGTTTAAAGTCTGTTTTGTCAGAGACTAGGATTGCAACCCCTGCTTTTTTCTTGTTTTCCATTTGCTTGGTTAAGTTTCCTCCATCCCTTTATTTTGAGCCTATGTGTGTCTTTGAAGGTGAGATGGGTCTCCTTAATAAAACACACTGATGGGTCTTGGCTCTATCCAATTTGCCACTCTGTGACTTTTAATTGGGGCATTTAAATGTAAATAGAGGTAGCCCATTTACATCTAAGGTTAGTATTGCTATGTGTAAATTTTATCCTGCAATCATGATGCTATCTAGTTAGTTGGCACACTAGTTGATGCAGTTTCTTCATAGTATCATTGGTCTTTATATTTTGGTGTATTTTTGCCATGGCTGGTATTGCTTTTTCCTTTCCATATTTAGCACTTCCTTCAGGAACTCTTGCAAGGCAAGCCCAGTGGTGACAAAATATCTCAGCATTTACTTGTCTGGAGAGGATTTTATTTCTCCTTGCTTATGAAGCTTAGTTTGGCTGGATATGAAATTCTGGGTTGAAACTTCTTTTCTTTAAGAATGTTGAATATTGGTTCCCAATTTCTGCTGGCTTGTAGGGTTCCTGCTGAAAGGTCTGTTGTTAGTCTGATGGGCTTCCCTTTGTAGGTTACCTGGCCCTTCTCTCTGGCTGCCCTTAACATTTTTTCCTTCATTTCAATCTTGGAGAATCTGATGATTATGTGTCTTGGGGTTGATCATCTTGTGGAGTATCTTAGTGGTTTTCTCTGTATTTTCTGAATTTGCATGTTGGCCCGTCTTGCTAGGTTGGGGGAAGTTCTCCTGGATAATATCCTGAAGTGTGTTTTCCAGCTTGTTTCCATTCTCCCCATCTTCTTCAGGTACTCCAGTGAATTGTAGGTTTGATCTTTTTACATAGTCCCATATTTCTTGGAGGCTTTGTTCATTCCTTTTTATTCATTTTTCTCTAATCTTGTCTGCATGCCTTATTTCAACAAGGTGGTCTTCAAACTCTGATATCCTTTCTTCTGCTTGGTTGATTCTGCTATTGGTATTGTATATACTTCATGAAGTCCTCGTGCCATGTTTTTCAGCTCCATCAGGTCATTTATGTTCTTCTCTAAACTGCTTATTCTAGTTTGCTGCTTCTCTAACATTTTATCAAGGTTCTTAGCTTCTTTGCATTGGGTTACAACATGCTTCTTTAGCTCAGTAGTTTTTTATTACCCATCTTCTGAAGTCTACATCTACCAATTCATCCATCTCATCCTCCATCTAGTTCTGTGCCCTTGCCGGGGAGGCATTGTGACCATTTGGAGGAGAAGAGGCACTCTGGCCTTTTGGGTTTTCAGCTTTTTTCAATTCTTTCTCATCTTCATGAGTTTGTCTAGTTTCAATCTTTGAGGCTGCTGACCCTTGGATGGGGTTTTGGTGGGGGCTTTTGTTGTTGTTGATGCTGTTGTTGTTGCTTTCTGTTTTGTTTGTTTTTCTTTCAATAGTCAGGTCCCTCTTCTGTAGGGCTGCTGCAGTTTGCTGGGGGTCCACTTCAGGCCCTATTCATCTGGTTCACTCCCATGCCTGGGTGCCTGGAGGTGTCATTCAAGGAGGCTGGAGGACAGCAAAGATGGGTGCCTGCTCCTTCTTACAGTATCTCTGACCTCAAGGGGCACCAATCTGATGCAGGTAGGATTGCTCCTGTATAAGGTGTCTAAAAACCCCTGTTGGAGGGTCTCACCAGGTTGAGTGCGTGGAGAACAGGACCCATTTAATGAAGCACTTTGTCCCTTGGTAGAGAAGGTGTGTATCAGTTGGGGAGGCCCACTCGTCTGGGCTGCCCAGATTCCTCATTACTACCAGGAGGAAAGGCTAAGTCTGCTGGTTCACAGACACTGTGGCCACCCCTCCCCCTAGGGTCTCAGGCCCACAGAGATCAGCTTTCTGTCCCTGAGCCTCTGACTGGAGTTGTTGGAGTTCCTGCAGGGAGGCCCCACCCAGTGAGGAAGGATGAGTCAGGGTCAGGCCTGAAGAGGAGCTCTGGCTGCAGTCTGCCACAGCCAGAGTTTTGGGCTGTAGGAGACACCTCTTGAGACCAAGCTGTCCAGCCTCCCTGGCTCCAGCAGGGAAAAAGCACAGTCTGGCGATATAGAGATGGATGCTGCCCTTCCCTCGCCCAGGGAGCTTAGTGTGTTAGGCAGTTATGAGTCCCAGTGCTGGCTGCTGCCCCTCCCACAAGAGCTCAAAAGGCTTAGACAGCAGGTAGCTACAGCTGTAGTGCTAGTCTCCCCTCCTCCCAGGAGCTCCGCAGGCTTCAGTAATTCTAGCTGAGGGGCTGTTGAGAATCTGCCCTGCTCCAGGGTTGGGACCCTAGGCCCTGGTGGCGTGGGTTTGCAAGTGGGATCTTCTGATCCGTGGGTTGCATAGTTCCATGGAAAAAGCAGTTTCCCGTGCTGGGTAGCATGCTCACTCACCACCTCCCTTGGGTGGGGGTTTGGGGGTCCCCTGCCCCATGTAGTTCTCAGGTGGGCCGCCACACCACACTGCTCTTCCTTCCTCTCTGTGGATCATGCCAGCCAAGTAGTCAGTTCTGATGAGAGAACCTGGATACCTTGGTAGCTGGTGCAGGATTCACAGGGTATTATGATTCTTTTTAATGGAAGCCTCTGTTTACCACTGCTTCTAGTCAGCCATCTTGGCCCTGTCCCCCTTTTCGCAGTATTTCAGTGCATTGACACATAGAAATATATGTGTGATTGGGGAATGGAGTATTTTCCTTCAGTAGAATGAATGCAAAACTTCCCTTTTCCCCTAGTGGATGATGAAAACATTGACACGGTTCTTTTGCTTCCGGTGACATTTTGACTCCAACCCTCTCTTGTTCTAAGCATACACAGAGATTGCAAGAAAGTGCATGAAGAGCCTGAGAACAGATATAAGAACTGAGATCTTTGCTTTTCTTTGGAAATGTATGGAGCAACACAAGCTACATTTTCAGCACGCACACATATGCACACATATCTATGACTCTGCCATAGCCTTCAGTCTAATTGCGTGATTTTCACAATGTTTCTTTTCACATGTAGTCCAAGATACAAAGTGCCAGTTTTTTCCAGCTGGGAGATCCCCAGAATTATATCCACCAGAACTGCTGTACAGATATATTTTTATTACCTCTTCCTCTCAGTGCTGCCAGTAGCAAATGATGTAGTAAATCCATTCCAGGCTTTCACAAAAAATGTCCCTTAGCATTTTGCAAGGCCGAAACACAGATAAGCACTATTTTTAATTTAAAAGTACAGTCAGATGTTGAAAAGAAAAAGGGCTATTCTTATAAAAGGATCAAATAAATATATTCTTTTAAAAACTTATTTTTCTTTGTCCCAACTTATAAAAACCATTCTTTTTTTTTTTTTTTTTTTTTTATTATACTCTAAGTTTTAGGGTACATGTGCACATTGTGCAAGTTAGTTACATATGTATACATGTGCCATGCTGGTGCGCTGCACCCACTAACGTGTCATCTAGCATTAGGTATATCTCCCAGTGCTATCCCTCCCCCCTCCCCCCACCCCACCACAGTCCCCAGAGTGTGATATTCCCCTTCCTGTGTCCATGTGATCTCATTGTTCAATTCCCACCTATGAGTGAGAATATGCGGTGTTTGGTTTTTTGTTCTTGCGATAGTTTACTGAGAATGATGGTTTCCAATTTCATCCATGTCCCTACAAAGGACATGAACTCATCATTTTTTATGGCTGCATAGTATTCCATGGTGTATATGTGCCACATTTTCTTAATCCAGTCTATCATTGTTGGACATTTGGGTTGGTTCCAAGTCTTTGCTATTGTGAATAGTGCCGCAATAAACATACGTGTGCATGTGTCTTTATAGCAGCATGATTTATAGTCCTTTGGGTATATACCCAGTAATGGGATGGCTGGGTCAAATGGTATTTCTAGTTCTAGATCCCTGAGGAATCGCCACACTGACTTCCACAATGGTTGAACTAGTTTACAGTCCCACCAACAGTGTAAAAGTGTTCCTATTTCTCCACATCCTCTCCAGCACCTGTTGTTTCCTGACTTTTTAATGATTGCCATTCTAACTGGTGTGAGATGATATCTCACAGTGGTTTTGATTTGCATTTCTCTGATGGCCAGTGATGATGAGCATTTCTTCATGTGTTTTTTGGCTGCATAAATGTCTTCTTTTGAGAAGTGTCTGTTCATGTCCTTCGCCCACTTTTTGATGGGGTTGTTTGTTTTTTTTCTTGTAAATTTGTTTGAGTTCATTGTAGATTCTGGATATTAGCCCTTTGTCAGATGAGTAGGTTGCGAAAATTTTCTCCCATGTTGTAGGTTGCCTGTTCACTCTGATGGTAGTTTCTTTTGCTGTGCAGAAGCTCTTTAGTTTAATTAGATCCCATTTGTCAATTTTGGCTTTGGTTGCCATTGCTTTTGGTGTTTTGGACATGAAGTCCTTGCCCACGCCTATGTCCTGAATGGTAATGCCTAGGTTTTCTTCTAGGGTTTTTTTGGTTTTAGGTCTAACGTTTAAATCTTTAATCCATCTTGAATTGATTTTTGTATAAGGTGTAAGGAAGGGATCCAGTTTCAGCTTTCTACATATGGCTAGCCAGTTTATTTACAGATTCAATGCCATCCCCATCAAGCTACCAATGACTTTCTTCACAGAATTGGAAAAAACTACTTTAAAGTTCATATGGAACCAAAAAAGAGCCCGCATCGCCAAGTCAATCCTAAGCCAAAAGAACAAAGCTGGAGGCATCACACTACCTGACTTCAAACTATACTACAAGGCTACAGTAACCAAAACAGCATGGTACTGGTACCAAAACAGAGATATAGATCAATGGAACAGAACAGAGCCCTCAGAAATAATGCCGCATATCTACAACTATCTGATCTTTGACAAACCTGAGAAAAACAAGCAATGGGGAAAGGATTCCCTATTTAATAAATGGTGCTGGGAAAACTGGCTAGCCATACGTAGAAAGCTGAAACTGGATCCCTTCCTTATAAAAACCATTCTTATTTGTAATATTGTCTTAATCATGATTATCTACATTCTTGTTTTATGCATTTTTTTTTTGACAGAGTCTTACTCTGTCACCTTGCTCTGCACCTGGAGTGCAGTAGCATGACGTCGGCTCACTGCAACCTCCACCTCCTGGGTTCAAGCAATCCTCCTGCCTCAGCCTCCTGAGTAGCTGGGATTACAGGAACCCACCACCTCGCCCAGCTAATTTTTGTATCTTTAGTAGGGACAGGGTTTCACCATATTGATCAGGCTGGTCTCAAACTCCTGACCTCAGATGATCCACCCGCCTTGGCCTCCCAAAGTGCTGGGATTACAGGCATGAACCACTGTGCCCAGGCTATGCAGATTTTTACACTTATTTTGTTATACAAATATGGGCACCACCACACGTTCCTGCTATAGAGCTTCCTAATAAGATGTCAACTGAAAGAAAAACAGACTTCTGCTAATATCGATGCCAGATACTTAAGGGGTCTACAGAAACAAAGAAAACCTTTTATAACATTTAATATCTGTAAGTATATAAATGTTTTTAACATCTTTAAACATAGGAAATCCTGCATATCCAAATGTATCTCTTGTAGTTGTAAATAATTATGGCATTCATTCACATAATCAATACCCAATCACAGTATATCCTTGGTAATCTCTTGGCTCTGTATTTTATTCTGTTGAGAAGATGAAATTAGGGATACTTTGAGGTTTTTTTTAATAAAAAAATCCAACAGATGTAAGTAGGACATGCTTTTTTTCAAATTAAACCTTTTATTTTAAGATACTCATAGCTGCACATGCTATTGTAAAAAATAATAGAGAGAAATCCCATGTACACTTTACCATTTCCCCAAAAAAGAATCTTGCAAAACCATAGTATACTTTCACAACCTGGATCCTGGCACTGATACACTCAAGATAGAGAATACTACACTATCACAACCCGGATCCTGGCACTGATACACTCAAGATAGAGAATACTACACTATCACAACCCGGATCCTGGCATTGGTACACTCAAGATAGAGAATACTACACTATCACAACCCGGATCCTGGCATTGATACAATCAAGATAGAGAATACTACACTATCACAACCCAGATCCTGGCATTGATACAATCAAGATAGAGAATACTACACTATCACATCCCGGATCCTGGCATTGATACACTCAAGATAGAGAATACTACACTATCACAACCCGGATCCTCACACTGATACAATCAAGATACAGAACACCTCTATCACCACAATCTTTCCTCATGCATTTTTTTTTTTAAGAGATGGGGTTTCTGTTGCCCAAGCTGGAATGCAGTGGCACAATCATAGCTCACTGCAGCCTCAAACTCCTGGGCTCAAGTGATCCTCTACCTCAGCTTCCCAAGTAACTGGGACTACAGGAGCGCACCGCTACCCTGGCTAATTTTATTTTTTTAGAGACGAGGCCTCGCTATGTTGTTCAGGCTGGTTTTGAACTGTTAGCCTCAACCAATCTTCACACTTCAGCTTCCCAAGTAGCTGGGATTACAGGCATGACCCTCTTGCATTGTGTAACCACACCCACTTTCATCCACATCCACCTTTTCTTCAACCCCAGGAAAAATCATTAATGTGTTCTTTATTTCTATAATGTTGCCATTTAAAAAATGTTATTATAAATAGAATTACACAACATGGAACTCTTCAGGATTGGCTTTCTTTCCCCCTTTTAATTCTCTGGAGATGCATCCAGGTTATTGCATGTGACCAGTTTGTTCCTTTTTGCTGCAGAGTGGTATTTCATAGTGTGGATATACCATACTGTGTTTAACCATTTACATTCTGAAAAACATCTCATTCTTTCTCCAGTTTAAGCTATTATAAATGAAACTGTTAAAAAGATTCTTGTACAGCTTTTTGTGTAAACATGTAAGTCTTTATTTCCCTGGGGTAAATGCCTAGGAATACAATGCTGGGTAATAATGTAATCACATATTTCATTTTTTTTATTATACTTTAAGTGTTATGGTACATGTGCACAACGTGCAGGTTAGTTACATATGTATACACGTGCCATGTTGGTGTGCTGCACCCATTAACTCGTCATTTAACACTAGTTATATCTCCTAATGCTATTCTTCTCCCCTCCCCCCACCCCACAACAGGCCCCGGTGTGTGATGTTTCCCTTCCTGTGTCCATGTGTTCTCATTGTTCAATTCCCACCTATGAGTGAGAACATGCGGTGTTTGGTTTTTTGTCCTTGCGATAGTTTGCTGAGAATGATGGTTTCTAGCTTCATCCATGTCCCTACAAAGGACATGAACTCATCATTTTTTATGGCTGCAGAGTATTCCATGGTGTATATGTGCCACACTTTCTTAATCCAGTCTATCATTGTTGGACATTTCGGTTGGTTCCAAGTCTTTGCTATTATGAATAGTGCCGCAATAAACATACATGTGCATGTGTCTTTATGGCAGCATGATTTATAATCCTTTGGGTATATACCCGGTAATGGGATGGCTGGGTCAAATGGTATTTCTAGTTCTAGATCCCTGAGGAATCACCACACTGACTTCCACAGTGGTTGAACTAGTTTACAGTCCCACCCACAGTGTAAAAGTGTTCCTATTTCTCCTCATCCTCTCCAGCACCTGCTGTTTCCTGACTTTTTAATGATTGCCATTCTAACTGGTGTGAGATGGTATCTCATTGTGGTTTTGATTTGCATTTCTCTGATGGCCAGTTATGGTGAGCATTTTTTCATGTGTCTTTTGGCTGCATAAATGTCTTCTTTTGAGAAGTGTCTGTTCATATCCTTCACCCACTTTTTGATGGGGTTGTTTGTTTTTTTCTTGTAAATTTGTTTGAGTTATTTGTGGATTCTGGATATTAGCCCTTTGTCAGATGAGTAGATTGCAAAAATTTTCTCCCATTCTGTAGGTTGCCTGTTCACTGTGATGTTAGTTTCTTTTGCTGTGCAGAAGCTCTTTAGTTTAATTAGATCCCATTTGTCAATTTTGGCTTTTGTTGCCACTGCTTTTGGTGTTTTAGACATGAAGTCCTTGCCCATGCCTATATCCTGGATGGTATTGCCTAGGTTTTCTTCTAGGGTTTTCATGGTTTTAGGTCTAACATTTAAGTCTTTAATCCATCTTGAATTAATTTTTGTATAAGGTGTAAGGAAGGGATCCAGTTTCAGCTTTCTATGTATAGCTAGCCAGTTTTCCCAGCATCATTTATTAAATAGGGAATCGTTTCCCCATTTCTTGTTTTTGTCAGGTTTGTCAAAGATCAGATGGTTGTAGATGTGTGGTATTATTTCTGAGGGCTCTGTTCTGTTCCATTGGTCTATATCTCTGTTTTGGTACCAGTACCATGCTATTACAGATTGTCAAATGATTTTCCAGAATGAAATCAGCTTTTCATCCCTGGAATAAACCTAACATGTTCATAGTGTACAATCTTTTTTATATATTATTAGATTTCATTTGCTAAAATTTTAAGGAGTTTTGTTTCTATATTTATGAGGGATATTAGTCTGTAATTTTCTTTTTGGCATTGGTTCTGTCTGGATTTGAAATCAAGGTAATACTAGCTTCTAAAAGTGAGTTGAGAAATCTTCTTTACTATTTTTTGAAAGACACAATGTAAAATTTGTTTTACTTATTTTTAACATTTGGTATATATCTTTCGTAAAAACAGTGAAACTCACTGTGGTCCCAGAACCAAGCTGGGTCTGGCTGTGTTTTCTTGAGGCCCAATAACAAGAAGCAGAAAAACTAGGAAAGAAGGGAATTCACTGCTGTAACTGGATACAGGGAGAAGGCTGGAGATAATTCCACCAGACCAACTCAAAGTTGTACAATTTTCTTAGTGCTTATATTGGTTAGGGTTATATGCCTATGTACAGTATAGCATTTGCCTAAGTCTATTGGCAACTAATTCGTTTCAACTAGAAGGTTAGAGGCTTGCTAAGTTTGATTAAGCTGTGATAACCCCAGTACCTTTAAGGCCTGTCTATTATGTTACTGGGGTGACTATTTCTATTTTATCTCTTTTACAGCTTGGTCTGGAGAGCTGCCTTTGACTCTCCAGCGAATTTATTCAAACAGTTGCCTTTGTGCTGCTGTGTTTTGCTTATCTAGGAGAGAGAGTTTCTGTGTCTGTTCCCAGACATCTTCTTGCAGCTGCAGGCATTCCAGCCCCCCAGTACCCCCACCCCCATGTCCACTTCTAGCTTCCTTATACTGTTAGTCTGTGCTGCTCTGTGGAAATTTGTCTGTGTAACTGAAGTGCTATGCAGGCCTGTCTGTGTGATTGTCATGCAGGCCTGTTTGTGTGATTATTAGGGAGAATTGGCCTGCCACAACTGAGCTTGTAGATTGTTTTTTCCGTTGGTATTTTTTAAATTATAAATTTTTTAATAGTGATAAGGCAAATAAAATTATCTATTTCAAAATAACGAGTTTTGTAGTTTGTATTTTTAAAGGATTTTTAGTATCTAAGTTGTAAAATTTTATATGTGGAGAGTCATTTGTAGTATTCCCTTATTATCCTTTTGCTGTTTACAGACTCTAGTGATATTTCCTTCCATTCCTGATATTGGCAATGGTGCTTTCTTGTTTTCTGTGTAATTCTTGTTAGAGGTTTGTCAATTTTATTATTGTTTTTGAAGAACTAGTTCTCTGTTTCATTGCCCTTCTCTATTTATTTCTTTTCAATAGCATTGCTTTATGGTATTTTCTTATTTCTGTTAATTATTATTATTGTTATTAATTTCCTTATGTTAGCTTTGGATTTGGTTTGTCCATGTTTGTTTTGGTTGTCTGTGCTTATGGAGTATTACTCAAGATACCTTTGCCCAGACCAATGTCCTGGAGAGTTTCCCCAATGTATTATTTTAGTAGTTTCATAGATTGAGGTCTTAGATTTAAATCTTTAATCTATTTTGATTTAAATTTTGTATATGATGAGAGGTAGGGGTCTAGTTTCATTCTTCTGCATGCAGATATACAGTTTTCCCAGCACAGTTTATTGAAGAGGTTGTTATTCCATTGCATGTTCTTGGCTTCTTTTTCAAAAGTGACTTCATTGTAGATGTGTGGATTTCTTACTGGGTTCTGTATTCTGTTCCATTGGTCTATGTGTGTTTTTATGCCAATACCATGCTGTTTTGGTTACTATGCCTTTGTAGTATAATTTGAAGTCTAGCAATGTGGTTCCTCCAGTTTTGTTCTTTTGGCTCAGTATCGATTTGGCAATTGTGGTCTTTATAGTGGTTTGATATAAATTGTAGAATTATTTCTACTATTTTTATGAAGATTAAAATGGTATTTTGATAAGATTGCATAGAATATGTAGATTGCTTTCAGCAGTATAAATATTTTAACGATGTCAATTCTTCCAATTCATGAAGATGGAATATCTTTCCATTTTTTGTGTCCTCATCAATTTCTTGCATCAATGTTTTATAGTTATCATTATAGAGATCTTTCACATATTTGGTAAAGTTTATTCCTAGTTATATTATTTATCTGTATCTATTGTAAACGGGGTTACATTTAAAATTTCTTTTTTCAGATTGTTTACTCTTGGCATATAAAAATGCTACTGATTCCTGCATGTTGAATTTGTACCCTTTAACTTTACTGAATTTGTTTATCAGTTCTAACAGTTTTGGGTGGACTCTTAAGATTTTCTAAATATTAAGATCATATCATCTGAAAACAAGGATAATTTGACTTATTTTATTCCAATTTAGATGTCTATTTATTTCTCTTATCTGGTTCCTCTAGCTATGACTTGTAGTACTGTGTCAAATAATAGTGGTGGAAGTGGGCATCATAATTTTCCATGTCTTAGAGAAAAGGCTTTCAGTTTTTTCCCCATTCATTATGATACTAGCTTTGGGTTTGTCACATATGGCTTTTATTGTGTTCAGGAATGTTTCTTGTATCCCCAGGTTTTTAGAGTTTTTATCATGAAGGGATATTGAAATTTAACAAATGCTTTTTCAGTATCAATTGAAATTATCATATGTTTTTGTCATTCATTCTGTTGATATAAATCACATTGATTAATTTGCATATGTTGAACCATCCTTGCATCACTGGGAAAATCCTACTTGGTCATAATAAATGATCATATTAATGTGTTGTGGAATTTGGTTTGCTTGTATTTTATTGAGGATTTTTACATCAATGTTCATCAGGGATATTGGCCTTCAGTTTTGTTTTTTGTTTTGTTTTGTTTACTTTAAGTTCTGTGATACATTGTGCTGAATGTACAGGTTTGTTACACAGGTATACATGTGCCATGGTGGTTTGCTGCATCTATCAACACATCATCTAGGTTTCAAGCCCTGCATTAGATATTTGTCCTGATGTCTTTCCTTCCCTTGCCTCTGCCCCCTGACAGGCTCTGGTGTGTGATGTTCCCTTCCTCGTGTCCATGTGTTCTCATTATTCAAGTCTCACTTATGAGTAAAAACATGCAGTGTTTGGTTTTCTCTTCCTATGTTAGTTTGCTGAGGATGATGATTTCTGGCTTCATTCATGTCCCTGCAAAGGATATGAACTCATTCTTTTTTATAGCTGCATAGTATTCCATGGTGTATATGTGCCACATTTTCTTTATGCAGTCTATCATTGATGGGCATTTGGGTTGGTTCCAAGTCTTTGTTATTGTAAATAGTGCTGCAATAAATATACATGCACATGTTTCTTTACAGTAAATGACGTATAATCCTTTGCATAATGGGATCGCTGGGTCAAATGGTATTTCTGGTTCTAGATCCTTGAGGAATCGCCACACTGCCTTCCACAATGGTTGAACTAATTTACACTCCCACCAACAGTGTAAAAGCATTCCTATTTTTCCATATACTCGCCAGCATCTGTTGTTTCCTGACTTTTTAATGATCGCCATTCTAACTGGCGCGAGATGGTATCTCATTGTGATTTTGATTTGCATTTCTCTAGTGACCAGAGATGACGAGCTTTTTTTTTCATATGTTTGTTGGCCGCATAAATGTCTTCTTTTGAGAAGTATCTGTTCATATCCTTTGCCCACTTTTTGATGGGGTTTTTTTTTTCTTGTAAATTGGTTTAAGTTCCCTGTAAGTGCTGGATGTTAGACCTTTGTCAGATGGATAGATTGCAAAAATTGTCTCCCATTCTGTAGGTTGCCTGTTCACTCTGATGATAGTTTCTTTTGCTGAGCAGAAGCTCTTTCATTTAATCAGATCCCATTTGTCAATTTTGGCTTTTGTTGCAATTGCTTTTGGTATTTTAGTCATGAAGTCTTTGCTCATGCTTATATTCTCCATGGTATTGCCTAGGTTTTCTTCTAGGGTTTTTATGGTTTTAGGTTTTACGTTTAAGTTTTTAATCCATCCTCAGTTAATTTTTGTATAAGGTGTAAGGAAGGGGTCCAGTTTCTGTTTTCTGCATATGGCTAGCCAGTTTTTCCAGCACCATTTATTAAATAGGTAATCCTTTCTCCATTGCTTGTTTTTGTCAGGTTTGTCAAAGAACAGATGGTTGTGGATGTGAGGTGTTATTTCTGAGACCTCTGTTCTGTTCCTTTGGTCTATATATCGGTTTTGGTACCAGTACCATGCTGTTTCATTACTGTAGCCTTGTAGTATAGTTTGAAGTCAGGTAGCATGATGCCTCCAGCATTGTTCTTTTTGTTTAGGATTGTCTTGGCTATATGGGCTCTTTTTTGGGTCCGTATGAAGTTTAAAGTTTTTTCTAGTTCTGTGAAGAAAGTCAATGGTAGTTTGATGGAATAGCATTGAATCTATAAATTACTTTGGGCAATATGGCCATTTTCATGATCTTGATTCTTCCTATCCATGAGGATGGAATGTTTTTCCATTTGTTTGTGTCCTCTCTTATTTCCTTGAGCAGTGGTTTGTAGTTCTCCTTGAAGAGGTCTTTCACATCCCTTGTAAGTTGTATTCCTCTATATTTTATTCTCAATGTAGCAATTGTGAATGGGAGTTGACTCATGATTTGGCTCTCTGCTGCTTGTCTGTTATTGGTGTATAGGAATGCTTGTGATTTTTGCACATCAATTTTGTATCCTGAGACTTTGTTGAAGTTGTTTATCAGTTTGAGGAGTTTTCGGGTTGAGACAATGGGGTTGAGACAATGGGGTTTTCTTGAAACCTGTTTTCTGTGATGTAAGTCAAGCTACTCTTGATTTTTGTTATTCCTATTTGAGTGGAATATCTTTTTCCACCCTTCAGTTCTGCTCTGATATTAGTTATTTCCTGTCTTCTACTAACTTTTGAATTTGTTTGCTCTTGATTCACTAGTAGTTCTTTTAATTGTGATGTTAGTGTATTGATTTGAGATCTTTCCCACTTTCTAATGTGGGCATTTAGTGCTATAAATTTCCCTCTTAACACTGCTTTAGTTGTGTTCCAGAGATTCTGGTACATTGTCTCTTTGTTCTCATTGGTTTCAAAGTACTTCGTTATTTCTGCCTTAATTTTGATTTTTAACCCAGTAGTCATTTAGGAGCAGGTTCTTCAGTTTTCATGTAGTTGTGCAGTTTTGAGTGTCTTAATCCTGAGTTCTAATTTGATTGCACCGTGGTCTGAGAGACTGTTACGGTTTCTGTTCTTTTCCATTTGCTGAGGAGTGTTTTGCTTCCGATTATGTGGTTGATTTTAGAATAAGTGCTATGTGTTGCTGAGAAGAATGTATATTCTCTTGATTTGGGGCTGAGAGTTCTATAGATCTTGTTTTGTGCCTGGAAGGCTTTCCAGGTATTCAAAGGGACTTGAGTATTGTGACCTAAGTCTTTTGTCTCTGCAGCAATATCTGCATTAGGGGGTACCCGAAGCCTAGTAACTCTGTGACTTTTGCAGTCTCATAAAGCTATTGCCTTGGCGTTTAGGGGTAAGATCCAGAATTCCCACGGATGACCAGGCAGAGACTCTTGTTCTCTTCCCTACTTTCCCCCAAACAGAGTCTCACTCTACTGAGCTTCCTGGAGCTGGGGGAAGGGTGACGCAAGCACCCCTTTGGCCACCACTTCTAGGACTGCACTGGGTCAGACCCAGTACAAGCACAGCACTGGGTCTCACCCAAGGCCCACAGTGACTACTGCCTGGCTACCACCTATGTTCACTCAAGGCCCAAGGGCTACATAGTCAGCAGACAGTGAATCCAGCTAGGCTTGTGTCCTTCCATTCAGAGAAGCAAGTTCTCCCTGGCCTCAGGCAGTTCCAAAGATGCTTTCCAGAAGTCATAGTCTGGAATCAGAAACCTTAGGAATCTACCTAGTGGTCTATTCTATTGCACCTGAGCTGGCAACCAAGTCACAAGACAAAGTTATTCCCACTCTTCATTCCCCTTTTCTCAAGCAGAGAAGTTTCTCCCCATGGCCACCACCACCCCAGTTTCATAGCAAGTACTGCCTGGCTACCACCAATGTTCATTCAAGTCCCAAGGGCTCTGTAGTCAGCTAGTGGTGAATGCTGCTAGTCTCAAGTCTCTCCCTTCAGGGCAGTAGAATACTATCTGGTCAAGGGCAGGTCCAGAAATGCTGTCCAGGAGCCAAATCCTGGAATCAGGGACCCCAGGAACCTTCTCTACCCCACAGTGACCAAGCTGGTACCTAAACTTGAAGACAAAGTCACGTTTACTCTTTCCTCCACTTTTCTCAAGAAGAAGGAGACTCTCCCCACAGCCACTATAGCTGGGAATGTGCTGGATCACACTTGAAGCCAACATGGCTCTGAGTCTAACCCAAGGTCCATGACAAGGACTGCATGACTACCACTGCTGATTTTTTTAGGGTCCAAGGGCTCTTTAGTAAACAGACAATAAATCCTTACAGGACTGGGTCCTTGCCTTCAAGGTAATGGGTTTCCTTCTGGCCTAGAGTGTGTCTAGACATATCATCATGGAGCTAGGGCCTGGAATGGGGGCCTCAGAACTTTGCCTGATGCCCTATTCTACTGTGGCTTAGCTGGTATCCAAGTTACAGGAACAAAGTCCTTTTAATCTCCCCATCTCCTCTTCTCAAGCAGAAGGAAGAAGTCTTTCCTGGAGCTGCAAGCTGCATGTCCTGGGGTTGGAAGAGGAGTGATGCAAGTACTACATTGGCTGCTCCAGCTGGCTGGTATCTTAGTAGGTTACATGTACCCCAAGTCCACTGGTTCCAAGCCCAGCACAGCATCAGGACTTTCCCAAGCGTTGCAGTCTTGGTGGCTTAGATTGCCTTTTAGGATTATTTAGGATCCCAGAGCTCTTTAGTCCATGGTGGTGGAGCTTGCCAGAACTCAGATTCTAACCACTGGGATGTAGGATTCACCTCTGGCTAGGGGTGGTCTAAGTGTTCCTCATTGGTCGCCAGCTGAAGTCTGCCTTGTGTTACATTATACTGTGACAGGGCAGCACTGTGTTCCAATGCAAAATTCTACAATCACTGTGCTCTCCCTCCCACACATGCACTAGATTATCTCTTCATGCCATACGTCCACTGTCAATATTGTTGCAGACAAAGTGAGCTCACAACAGAATTGGAAAATACTACAATTTCCCTTTTGTTTCTTAATACTTTTAGACAATTTACTTACCTTTTATGGGCCTACTGACTACAGTGATGATACATACTACACAATCTTTTGTCCTTGGGTTTCATACATAACATAAAAATATATATTTCTCTATTTTGCAGACTCCTCAAATTCACCTGTAAAATGTGAAAGCTTATCATAATAAATAAATCCTAAAATAGGGAAGGGAGGTTTTAGCCCACGAACTCCCACAACTAGTAGCATGAATTATGAAAGATGAGAAGTTGCAAAAGAAAATATAGATTGGTAATATGGTTTACATATTTCTTGCTTTGCTTTTATAATCAATAATATAAAAATAAAATAAGAAGATATCTCAGTGAGAAAATGTCCTTTTTGTATGTTTATTATCTTCTTTTAATAATTGTCTATTCATGTCTTTAGCCCATTTTTTGATGGATTTATTTTTTTTTCTTGCTGATTTGTTTGAGTTCCTTGGAGTGTCTGGATATTAGTTCTTTGTCAGATGGAGAGTTTGCAAAAGATTTTCTCCCACTATGTGGGTTGCTTGTTTACTCTGCTGATTATTTCTTTTGCTGTGCAGACATTTGTAGTTTAATTAGATCCCCTATATTTATCTTTGTTTTTGTTGCAGTTGCCATAATTAAGAAATCAAAAAACAATTGATGTTGGCATAGATTTGGTGAAAAGGGAACACTTTTACACTGCTGGTGAAAATGTAAATTAGTACAACCACTATGGAAAACAGTATGGAGTTTCCTTAAAGAACTAAAAGTAGAACTACCATTTGATCCAGTAATCCCACTACTGGGTATTTATCCAGGAGAAAAGCAGTTACTATAAGAAAAAGATACTTGCATATACATATTTATAAAAGTACAAGTCACAACTGCAAAAATATGGAATAGCCTAAATTCCCACCAACAAGAAAAGAAAACGTAGTATACATATACCATGAAATACTACTCCGCCATAAAAAAGAATGAAATAATGGCATTCACAGCAACCTGGATGGAGTTGGAGACCATTATTCTAAAAGTAACACAGGAATGGATAATCAAACTTCATATGTGCTCACTTATAAGTGGAAGCTAAGCTACAAGGACTCAAAGACATAAGAATTATACAATGGACTTTGGAGACTTGGGGAAGAGGGTGGGAGAAGGGTGGGTGATAAGAGACAACACATTGGGTACTGTGTACACTGCTTGGCTGACAAGTGCACCAAAATCTCAGAAATCACTACTAAAAAACTTATCAAAAAAGAAAGAAAGAAAGCTGGTCATATATATATATATATATATATATATATATATACACACACACACACACACACAGAAACATACATATGTATATGTGTGTGTGTGTATGTGTGTGTGTGTGTATATATATATATATATAACTTTACAGGATTTCATTGGGACAACTTTCCCTATTATTAGTGAGTACATTTTTTATGACTTATTTATCCATATATTCTGTGAGGTTTTTTTGTGTGTCTGTACGTGTATTTCTGTGTACATCTGCTGTTTCCTCTTCTGTTTTTATCATGGGAAGATGAGAGATAGTAGCTGCACATAGATACGATTTTTTTTTTTAGGGACGTCATTTGAAGAATTCTTTTTAGTGTGATGGGGATATAACTGTGCAAAGCAAATATTCACAAGTCTTATTTATTAGGCCATTTGGACATGTTGAATTCCTAAAGATTTGTAAAGAAATCCTCACTTTCTTCCATTGAGTTTTAATAATCTTAGCTAATAAGAGGAGGGACAGAAATAGTGCCCATGATCTCATCTTACCAAGATATCTGCTAAGAAATAATCATACGATCATCTGTTTGGCTATCTAACAAAATGAGATTTTGTTTGAATTTATAAATTTAAAGAAGATAAGTGTTAGTGAATGGAAAGTATGTGAGGTTGGGGGAGGCTAAAGGAGGGAACTGGCATTTATATCTCCCGACTTCTAGGCACTGTGTTAGAAATTAATGACTTACTCACTTTTTTATTATTTACATTTTAAAGGTAAGTTGAAGAAGAAGGAAGTAAACAAACTGGTCCAATATTGCACAGCTAGTAAAAGAGCCTTGCCTGAAAAGCTCATGATTATTCCTTCTTTTTAATATACATATACGCCATTTGGGACCTGTGATGTTTAATTTTATGTTTCAGCTTGAATGGATCATGGGGTCTCAATATTTGACTAAACATTATTTCTGGTTGTGTCTGTGAGGGTGTTTCTAGATGAGACAAGCATTTGAATCAGTTTACTCTCTAAAGCAGAGTGCCCTTTCTAGTGTGGTTGGGTATCACCCAAGCTGCTGCATAGAACAAAAGGCCATGGGAGACAGCTCAAGGCAATAGGCAGAAGGGGTACAGAAGGCTGTTTACGGAACTACGCAAAGCTCAGGCCAATAAAAAATATAAACATTGCTATGCATCCCAAAAGGTTGAAAAAGGAAAGATAAAATCTCAGAAGGAAAAAGGAAAGAGACATTGCTTCAGAGGGCCTCCAAAGTCAGGGCCAACGAATCTTTGTTCAAGACACTTTACTAGCTATGTGACTATGGGAAAATTGCTTAACTTTTCTGAGTCTGCCTTCTCATCTACAAAATTGACTATCCTAACAACTGAATGAGATGTTAAAATATCGTAATGTGGTATGCAGTGAGCACTCAGTAAATATTTATTATTGATCAAGAACAGGTTGTTGAAGACTATAAATGTGTGACCTGGACAGCAATGTGATTCTGTTGAGTGCATCCCTGCTTCCTTTGTCTCTTCATATACTGCAGTCAGTGCTATGAGCAATGGCCAAAGCTTCTGTAAAAACAGGGTTGCGATGCTGCTGGCAATATAGTCAGCCCTGTGTCTACTTGGGTTCTTCATCCACAGATTCAACCAACCATGGATCAAAAATATTTGAGAAAAAAACAATAAAAAATAACCTACAACAATAAAAATGTAATACAGGTGAAAACCAATACAGTATAACAACTTTTTACATAGCCTTCACATTGTATTAGGTACCATAAGTAACCTAGAGATGATTTAAGCTATAACGGAGGATGTGGGTAGGTTATGTGCAAATACTATGCCATTTACACAAGGAACATGAGCATCCTCAGATTTTGGTACTAGGGAAGGTCTTGGAACCAATTCTCTGAGGTATCTTAGGGACAACTGTACCTAGAGGCAAAATATGTCTGGCAAGAATAGGAATTTCCAGGGCTGATCACATTTCTTCAGGCTTTCTCCCCGGTAATGACATATCCTATCGCTGGGCCTCCAAAACATGGTAATTGAAGCCAAAACATGGTAATTGAAGCTATCACATCCTCCCACACCTGCAAATTAGATTTTCACTTGAGGAAAGAGTGTTTACATGTGAAAAAGTTGGAAAATAAGTGATCATCAGGGACAACTTTTGATGTTGCTGCTACTCTGACTTGTGACTGTTGGTCAAATTTTGAAATTTATGTCTTCCATCAAATTTGCAAAAATGCAAACTTGGCAAAAACATATATCTCTAAAATAACATTCTGAAAAAATGTATGATAGAAATGATAACCAAAGAAAATATCTTGGAAAGGGAAGAATGAAAGTAATATAGCCATGTGTTACATAGCAATGTTTTGGTCAATGAGGGACCACATATATGAAAGTGTTCCACAGAATTATAATACTGCATTTTTACTGTACCTTTTATATGTTTAGCTGTATGTAGATATAAAAATACCATTGTATTACAACTGTCTACAGTATTCAGTGCAGTAATATGCTGTCAAGGTTTGTAGCCTAGGAGTAATAGGCTTTACCCATATAGCCTAGATGTGCAGTAGGCTATTAGTATGTAGGTGTATGTATGTACACTCTATGATGCTCAAGCAAAGGCAAAATTGCCTAATAACTCATTTCTCAGAATGTATCCCCATTGTTAAGTGATGTATGACCGTACCTGTTGATATTTCTAATAGTATATGATACTCAAAACAACATACAATGAGTATTTCTATTCTGTTTTAAAGATGTGGAAAGTGAAGTTGAAAAGTAAGACACTATCCAAAGCACACAATGGCATAAATGAATAATAAATGGCATAAAGTGAATCAAACTAAGTTTATTGTTTTAGAAAACCTCAAAAGTGCACAAGAAGTTATTTACTACAGAAAAACTTTAAAAATAAGTAAATAGAAGAAAATAATCACTCCCAAGTAAAATAACCATTTAAACATCTTCACGTATAGTTTCTGTTTTACTACATCTCTCTCTCTCTCTCTCTGTATATATATATATATATACATATATATATGTATATATATATATATGTATATATATATGTATATATGGAAATAAAAATTGAATATTCAATTTTTCAATTTATATATTCTATTTTTATTTCCATAGATTTTTGGGGAATAGGTGGTATTTCGTTACATGAGTCAGTTCTTTAGGGGTGATTTGTGAGATTTTGGTGCATCCATCACCCGATTTGTAGTCATTTATCCCTCACCCTCCTGCCACCCTTTTCCCCAAGTCCCGAAAATTCGTTGTATCATTCTTATGTCTTTGCATCCTCATAGCTTAGCTCCACATACGAGTGAGAATACTTGATGTTTGATTTTCTATTTCTGAGTTACTTCAGTTAGAATAGTAGTCTCCACTTCCATCCAGGTTGCTGCGAATGCTGCTAATTCATTCTTTTTTATGGCTGGGTAGTATTCTATCGTGTATACATACACCACAATTTCTTTATTCACTCATTGATTGATGGAAATTTGGGCTGGTTCCATATTTTTGCAATTGAGAATTGTGCTGCTATAAACATGTATGTGCAAGTATTTTTTTCGTGTAATGACTTCTTTTCCTCTGAGTAGATACCCAGTAGTGGGATTGCTAGATCGCATGGTAATTCTACTTTTCATTTTTTAAGCAATCTCCACACTGTTTTCCATAGTGGTTGTACCAGTTTACATTCCCACCAGCAGTGTAAAAGTGTTCCCTTTTCATCGCATCCACATCAACATCTTTTTTTTAATTGTTTTTATTTTGGCCCTTGTTGCAAAAGTAAGTTGGTATCGCATTGTGGTTTTGATTTGCATTTCCCTGATTATTAGTGATGTTGAGCATTTTTTCATGCTTGTTGATTATTTGTATATCTGCTTTTGATAATTGTCTTCATGTCCTAAACCCACTTTTTGATGGGATTGTTTGTTTTTTTTTTCTTGCTAATTTATCTGAGTTCCCTGTAGATTTTGGATATCAGTCCTTTGTCAGATGTATAGACTGTGAAGACTTTCTCCCACTCTGTGTGTTGTCTACTTACTCACTCTGCTGACTGTTATATTTGCTGTGCAAAAGCTCTTTAGTTTAATTAAGTCCAACCTATTTATCTTTGTTTTTGTTTTTAATAAAATATATACTCTAAGTAGGTTTTTAAAATATATTTCTTCACTTAATATTTTAAGGCAAGACAAGTATATCATACCACCAAATGCATTTTAAAGCACCACTTTAAATATCTATATAGAATTATCTTGTTTCATTTTACTGATTCCCCATTTTTCTACTGTAGATAACACTCTGATGAACATCTTTATAGACAAATACTTGGTAAAATTTCACTTCTGTTCCAGAAATGTATTATGTTGAAATACGTGAAGACATAAGGCAAAGCAATAGGCAACTGTATATATAATATTTTTAATTATTGGTACCAAATTATCTTCTTTATTATATTAATTTTATATTAATATTATATGCTATTATGCCAGTACAATACCAATTTTTATCAGTACATAAAAGTATATTTTTTACAAATGGTAAGAAGGGAATTGTTTTTAAATAAGTTTTAGCAATTTGACCATGAAAGATATAAATATACATTTTAGCTGGTATTTTCATTCTCAGAAACAATATGATTTTAAAATATGTTTTCTGGCCAATTACATTTTTCCTTGATGAATTTCTTACTTATATCATACGTAGATTTTCTATTAGGTTGATTTTTATTTTCCTAATTATTATTTATATTTATTTATAATTTTAATATTTTTTCTTATGTAGTCAAATAATCTTTATTTTGCATGACTTCTCTACCTGATCCCTTTCTTTTAGGATTCCTCTTCATACTCAAATGACACAAATAGTTATCCTTATGCTCATTTCTCTGTGTTTTCCATGCTTAAACCTTTCATACATTTTGAATTTATTTCATCGTAAGATGTAAGATAACACGATAATCCTAAATTTAAGCCATCTAGCTGTCACATTTTAAATAATCCACCCATTTGTCATTAATTTATAATTTCAATTTAATCATATATTTAATTCCTGTCATTTAAGCTTATATGTCTATTTTAATTATTATAGCTTTATAATGAGTGATGCCCGGATAATTTAGTTTTTTACAACCTTTGAGACCAGCTGATAGAGATGCTACTCTTTACCCCAACTATGCCAGCAAGAATTCATTTCACTTGGGTACCTGATGACTGTTGAAACAGTTCTATCCCTCTTCCTTCCCTTTGTCTCTTCTATTAGATGTGTTTAAAGTGATGGAACACCCTAACCATTAACTTCCATCAATGACTAGATATCTTCCTCCTCCTTCACCCACCATTTTATAAAGACCAGTGACAGTACTAAAATATACTCATGCTTTATCAAAACTTTTCATGTCTCCATTCTCTATGAAAGTATTCAAGTTAAGAAATAAAGTTAACATCTGAAACAAAAAAGTTGGTTCTTACGCAAATGCTCACCTTCATTATCATTTTTATAGGAAGAATTTCCAGACAATTTGATAAAACTGATCCTCATGTAATTTCTTATTCAGTGTAAGACTCTTCCTTTAGATTGTAATTTCTCTGTGGGCAGGGTCTTGTCTATCTTGTTATTCACTGTCCCTAGTACCTCACATAAGAACTGTAATAAAAAGATACTCAGTAACTATTTTCATTCATTATGCTTTACTATTTGATTAGGGTTTTTTTTTTTTGCCTTCATGAGAGGTTATTTAATCAAGTTCCCCTAAAAATTATGTAGTTTTAATTGAAAATACTATAAATTTATTCATGTGCTTTGTTGAAAGAATCAAAATCTTTAAAATCTTGACTCTTTCCATTTGGGGAAATGGAATATGACTGTCTATCCACTGAGGTCTCATTTAATAAATATTTATCTTTACTTTCATGTAGTTTGTTCACAGTTGTTACATTTAAATCTAAGTAGTTTATAATTTGTGCTGCTATTGTGAATGAGATTTTTTCTTACATTATCTTAGCATTTGTAATCGATGTAACTTATAAAACATTATTATTATAAAATAATAATTGTATGTATTTATATGGTAACTGACCATATAACTGAAATCTCTTTTTAGTTCTAGTATTTATACAACTTTTTCCCTTCAAGTTCCTAGAAATAGTTACATAATCTGCAAATGATATTATTTTTATATGTCTAAAAACTAGTATGGTAGTAAGTACTTAGGAAATATTGCTGAAAAATGTGTAATACTTATATGTTGGTTAAATATTTGTTAAATGAATTAATAAATGATTGAACACATATTAAAGTATAATCAAAAGGAGAATATTAAAATTATACTAAGAGAAGTACATTGTTATTTTACGTTATATTTTGTATTTGTTTTATTCCTCTGATTTGCCAGGTTATATGTACAAACACGAGTTAAAAGTAACTGGAGGCGATCAAGTAACAAGCGAAGTTCCGCTTCCACATAGAATGCAAATTCTTGAAGAAAACATCATACTAACAGTGAGAATGTTCCAAATAATAGACAAAATAATTTATTCATTGCATCAGAGTATTGAGATGATTGAGATTCTAGAGTGAGAAACTATTCTAGTGAGAGGTAGATCACTCAACTCTTTTCCATTTGACATAGCATAAAAAGAAGTAGCTGTCAAAAATAAGGTAAAAGCATAATACCTGAATTTTTGACAAATTCTTGAGTCCGTTATGGCCTAGCATGAAAATTTAAAATCACTGAAAGCCTCAGATATATAGTTCACAAAAATTCATCAGATTTTTTTCCAAGAGCCTTCCCATCAGAAGCTCATAAAGAATTGATGTCAAGGCAGGAGGACTGATAGAACCTTCCTCAAGGTCATAGTCACCCATTCATATCCTCCCACATCAACAAGAATTCTATACCCATCCACAGACAAAAATCTCTTTGTGGGAACCCTTTAGATTCAAGTAGGAGATTGGGATATCTCAGTGAGCCCAAGACCTAGAAGGGTTATTTTGAGACCCACACCCAGGTGGCTGACTCACTGATTGTGGTCTCAGCTTCAGACCTAGAAACAACCCTGCTCCCCAAAAGACATGGCTACAGCCTGTTTGGCCTTGAGCCTGCTACCAATATCATCCTTCATGGAGTCTGGGAGGAATAACACATTCTAGTACCTTGGCAGACAGGCTCATCTACCTGCCAACATCAATTTCAGCAGTGGACCTGAAAGTTAGTCTATGACTTGGTAGTCTGGGAACTATGCTTCCTGCATAGAGATCTGTTTGGAGTCTCACCCTTGGTACCATTGGGTTGAGCTTGCCAACACAAGTCTCGTAGAAGACTTTTAAATAACCATGAAACTCAGTTTCAGCCCCTCCAAGAAGTAGACTGGGAGTGGTTATACCCACCTGGAGACTTGGAGGGAGGTATACCCAGGAGTGCCCCTGAAGGCTGATGCCCTGACCTCAGTCACATTATGCATTTTAAAATAACCTCATAGCCTTTCTCAGCTGCAGTCTGAAAGCATAACTGCTCACCCAGGAAACTCCTGGAAAACACACCTATCTGTGACACTAAAGACAGTCCTGAAGACCTTGGTGTCAGCTGTGGATGCTGAAATGACCTCGTGTTTCAGCTCCAGTCTGTCTCAGCAACAGACTGGGGCAGTACAGTGCCAGCCCAGGGACCCATCCAGTGATCCAATGGGATCTCTCCCAGAGACCTAGAGGAAGCCACACCCATCAGAACACCTGGTAACAGGCCTGTCATATGTAAGCCCTGAAAAAGATCCTCATCCCAGTGCCAGCACCACAGACCAAGGTCCTGTAGACAGTCCAGTACACCTAGGGACCAAATAGTACCCACACCCACTAAAGTCTCTGGTACCAGCCCTGCAAAACTTTCTCTCCAGTATGGACCTAGCATCAACCACAAGACCCTTATCCAGCCCTAATTTATCGTGATCCCACAGGCAACTTCATCAGCCCAGAGATCTAACAGGAGAAGAATTTAACATGCCAAAAAACTCATCTGTGAAGACTGAAAGACGGGTTTTCCCCTTAAAATGCAGAGATCCAATGTAAGGTTATACAAACTACAATAAATCAGACAAACATGACACCACCAAAGCAAATTAGTAAACTCCAATAACTGACCCTAAGTTAGTGGAGATATGTAAATTGCCTGAAAAAGAATTCAAAATAATCATCTACAAGGAGCTAATGAGATGTAAGAAAATACAGGTAAACAACTAAATAAAATTAGAAAGACATAAACAGAATGCTGAACAAAATGCATAAACAAAATGTGAAGTATAGGAGAAAATTAAAACCATAAAAAACTAAAGAAGAATCCTAGATCTGAAGAATACAATGACAGAACTGAAAAACTCAATGGTTTCAACAGCAGACTTAATCATGTAAAAGAAAGAATCAGCAAATTTAAAGACAGGCCATTTGAAGCCGACCAATTAAAGAAACAAACCAAAAAAAAAGAGAGAGAAAGAGTAAACAAAGCTGCCAGGTGCGGTGGCTCATGCCTGTAATCCCAGCACTTTGGGAGGCTGAGGCTGGTGGATCACCTGAGGTCTGGAGTATGAGACCAGCCTGGCCAACATGGTGAAACCCCATCCCTACTAAAAATACAGAAAATTAGCTGGGCATGGTTATGGGCACCTGTAATCCCAGCTACTCGGCAGACTGGGGCAGGAGAATCACTTGAATCCAGGAGGCAGTGGTTGCAGTGAGCCAAGATTGTGCCATTGCACTCCAGCCTGGGCGACAAGAGCGGAACTCCATCTCAAAAAGAAAAAAAAAATGAATAAAGCATAAGAGACCTGTGAAACACTATCAAATATGTAAACATATGAATTATGAGAAGTCAGATGGAGAAAAAAAGAAAAGGGCAGAAAGCTTATTTATAGAAATATCTGAAAACTTCCCAAATCTTAGGAGAAATAAGGAAAAAGAAATTCAGAAAACTCAAAGAATCTCCAGCAAGATCAACTCAAAAAAGAATACTCTGAGACATGTTACAATCGAGTTTTCAAAAACTGAAGACAAAGAAGTAATTTTAACGGCAGCAAGAGAGAAAAACTTACATAAAATAACTCCCATAGGCTATCAGCAGACTTCTCAACAGAAAATGCAAACAAGATGGGAATGGAATGACATACTCAAAATGCTAAAAGAAAAACAAAAATGCCAAGCAAAAATACTATACCTAGCAAATTCGCGCTTCAAAAACATAAAAAGAGGTAAAGATGTTCCAAGACAAACAAAAGCTGAGGAAGTTCATCACCACGAGACTAACCTTATAAGACATGCTAAAGAGAGTTCTTCAAGTTAAAATGAAAGAAAGGGCCGGGCGTGGTGGCTCACGCCTGTAATCCCAGCACTTTGGGAAGCCGAGGTGGGCAAATCAGGAGGTCAGGAGATCGAGACCATCCTGGCTAACATGGTGAAACCCCATCTCTACTAAAAATACAAAAAATAAATAAAATAAATAAAATTAGCTGGGTGTGGTGGCTGGCACCTGTAGTCCCAGCTATTCAGGTGGCTGAGGCAGGAGAATGGCGTGAACCTGGGAGGCGGAGCTTACAGTGAGCTGCGATCATGCCACTGCACTCCGGCCTGGGCGACAGAGTGAGACTCCGTCTCAAAAAAAATAAAAAAGAAAAAAAAAGAAAGATAAGTAACAATATAAAAACACAAAAGTGTAAAACTCACTGGTAAGGGAAATATATAGTCAAAACCAGAATACTGTTGTACTGTAGAAGCACTGTGTAATTCACTTTTAGTATCAGAGTTAGACAAATATATAAAAAACAACTATAATTGTAAACAATGAACAGATACAAAATGTAAATAGATGTAAAGTGTGACATCAAAAGCATAAAATGTGGGATTGAAATATAAGTTTAGAATCTCTGTATATGATTGAAGATAAGGTACTTTAAACTGAAATTAGAAAATTTAAGCTATAAAAGCTATTTTATATAAGCCTCTTGGTAACCACAAAGAAAAAAAACCTCTAGTAGTCATACAAAAGATAGAGAAAAAGAAAGCGTACCACTAAAAAGTACAACATATCATAAAGAAAGACACTAGGATTATAAGGAACAAAATAACTACAAAACAATCGGTAAAAAATCATCAAAATGCCAGTAGTAAGTCCTTACCTATTAATTATTCCTTTAAATGTAAATTAATTATCCAATCAAAATACCTGAGTAGTTAAATGGATATAAAAACAAACAAGATCCAGCAATATACTGCCTAAAGACACTCACTTTAGCCTTAAGAGCTCACAAACACCGAGTGAAGAGATGGTAAAATATATTCCACACACATAGAAACCAGAAGAGACCCAGGTGACTATACTTTTAACAAATAAAATAGACTTTAAGTCAAAAATGGTTTTTAAAATGTTTTAAAAGGTTATTTTATAATAATAAAGGGGTCAATTCATCAAAAATATAAAACATTTTTAACATATATGTACCTAACATTGGAACATCTAAATATGCAAAACAAATATTAATAGATCCAGGGGTGAGATAGACTGCAATACATAATAGTAGAGGACTTTTGATAATGGATGGACCAACCAAACAGAAAATCAATAGGGAAACAGTGGACTTTAATAACATTTTAGAACTAAAAGACCTAACTGACATATACAAAACATTCCATCCAACAGCAGCAGAACACACATTCTTCTCAAGCACACATAGTCCTTTCTCTAGGATAGATGATATATTAAGACAAAAAACAACTCTTAACAAATTTAAAAAGATTGAAATTATATCATGTCTTTTCAGCATACTAGAATTAAACTAGGAAACAATAATGGGAGTTATTTTGGAAAATTAACAAATACGTGGGAAATTAATCAACATGATCCTGAACAACCAATGGGTCAAGAAAAATTTTAAAGAAAAATTAAAAAAAAATTGAGACAAATTAAAACTAAAACATAAAATTCCAAAACATGATATGCAACAATAGCGATTCCCAGGTGGTAGTCGCTGTGGTTTGTTTGTTCCCACCAAATATCATTTTGAAATTTGATCCCCAGTATGTCTGTGTTACAAGGTAGGATCTAGTGGTAGATATTTTGGTCATGGTAGAAGATCCTTTATGAATGACTTGGGGTCAGTTTCATTGTAGTGAATGAGTTCTCATTCTTTTGAGGCTACATTGGTTCTCGAGGAAACAGATTAGTTCCCAAGAAAGTGGGTTGTTATAAAGAAGGAAACCTCTGGGTTTGGTCCCTCCTCACACATGCCCACTTCCCCGTTGACTTTCTTCACCATATTTTGATGCAGCACAAAAGCCCCTACCAGAAGCCATGCAGATACTGGTACCATGTTTCTTTTACAGCCTGCAGAACCATAAGATAAATAAAGCTCCTTTCTTTATAATAAATTACCCAGCCTCAGGTATTCCTATATAACAACAATAACAGACGAAGGCAGAAGTTTGTAGAAATAATTGCCTACATCAAAAAAGAAGAAAGATTTCAAACAAACAACTAAACATTCCACCTCAAGGAATTAAACAATAAAGAGCAAACTAAGACCAAAGTCAGAAAAAGGAAGAAAGTAATAAAAATCAGAACATAAATAACTGAAATAAATACTAAAAAGATAATATAAAAGATCAACAAAATGAAGAGCTCATTTTTAAATAGAAAAATAAAATCAATAAACTTTTAGTCAAAGAAAAAAGAGACTAAGACTTAAATAAAATTAGAAAAGAAAGAGGAGACATTATAATTGATAAGACAGATATACAAAGGAGTATAAGAAACCACTATGAACAATTCTATGCCTACAAATTGGATAACCTAGAAGAAATGGATAAATTTGTAGACACATAAACCTCAAAGTCTGATTAAAGAAGAAATAGAAGATCTGAACAGTCAAAGAGTAAGGAGGGTGACTCAATAGTATAACAATCTCCCATCAAAGACAAAAGTCCTGGATCAGATGGCTTCACAGCAGAATTCCACAAACGTTTAAAGAATAACTAATACAAATGTTTCTCAAACCTCTTCCAAAAAATCAAAGACTATGAAATACTTCCAGACTCATATTTTGAGGCCAACATTGTCCTAATACCAAAGTCAGAGAAAGATACTACAAGAAAATAAAAATTATAGGCCAATATCACTGATGAACATAGATGCAAAAATCCTGAACAAAGTAATAGCAAAACAAATTCAACAACACTTTAAAAGGATCATTCACTGTGATCAAGGGTTGTTTATCCCTGGGATACAAGGATGGTTCAACGTCTGCAAATAAATAAATTTGATACCCACATTAATGGAATGAAGGACAAAAACATTACAGTCATCAAAATAGAAAGAAAAAAGCATTTGACAAAATTCAAAATGCTTTTATGTTAAAAACTCTAAAGAAATTAGACATAGAAGGAATCTATATACAATAAGGGCTATAAATGAAAAGTCCATAGCTAACCTCCCACTCAGTAACAGATAATTAAAAGCTTTTCTTTTAAGATCAGAAAAAAAACAAGGATGCCTACTTAACTATTCAACATATTAATGGAAGTTCTAGCCAGAGCAATAAACAAGAAAAAGAAATAAAAATATTCAAATAGGAATGAAAGAAATAAAATTCTGTTTGTTAATGACATGATCTTCTATATAGAAAATTCTAATGATTCCACCAAAAAACTATTAGAACTGACAAATTAATTCAGTAAATTTGAAAAATACAATATAAACACACACAAATTAGAAGATTTATTTACATTTTCTTAATCCAGTCTATCATTGTTGGACATTTGGGTTGGTTCCAGGTCTTTGCTATTGTGAATAGTGCCACAATAAACATACGTGTGCATGTGTCTTTATAGCAGCATGATTTATAATCCTTTGGGTATATACCCAGTAATGGGATGGCTGGGTCAAATGGTATTTCTAGTTCTAGATCCCTGAGGAATCCCCACACTGTCTTCCACGATGGTTGAACCAGTTTACAGTCCCACCAACAGTGTAAAAGTGTTCCTATTTCTCCACATCCTCTCCAGCACCTGTTGTTTCTTGACTTTTTAATGATCGCCATTCTAACTGGTGTGAGATGGTATCTCATTGTGGTTTTGATTTGCATTTCTCTGATGGCCATATAATAAAAAAAAAGAAAAAAAGATTTATTTACACTAACAACAAACCATTTTTAAAAAAAGAAATCAATACAATTCACAATAGCATTTAAACATGAAATACTTTGGAGTAAACCGAAACAAAGAAATGAAAAATCTGTATATGAAAAGGTATAAAACATTTATGAAAAAAATAGTAGACACAAATAAATGGAAAAACATCTCACATTTATGGATTGGAAGAATTAATATTGCTAAAAAGCCCATACCACTCAAAAAGAACCACAGATTTAATGTAGTCCCTATCAAAAATTCGAAAACAATTCTAAAATTCATCTGGCACCATGAAGAGTAAATAGCCAAAACATCTTAAGCAAAAAGAACAAATTTGGAGGCATTATACTTGCTGCCTTCAAGCTCTATGTCAATCATTTAGTTATCAAAACAGAAATGGTACTGGCATAAAAACAGACACATTGGCCAATCAAACAGGATAATGAGCCCAGAAATGAACCCAGGCATTTATGGTCAATTGATTTTCAACAAAAATGCCAAGAACATGTAATGGAGAAAGGAAAGTGTTTGTAATAAATGGTGTTGGGAAACCTAGATATCCACAGGCAGAAGAATGAAATTCAATTCTCATTTTATACTGTATACCAAAATCAACTTAAAATGGATCAAAGACTTAAATGTAATATTAAGGCCAGGCATGGTGGTTCACACCTGTAATCCGAGCAACTTGGGAGGCAGTGGTGGGTGGATCACTTGAGGCCAGGAGTTTGAGACCACCCTGGCCAACATGATGAAACCCCATCTCTACCAAAAATACAAAAATTGGCCATGAGTGGTGGCATGTGCCTGTAATCCCAGCTACTTGGGAGGCTGAGGCAGGAGAATCGCTTGAACTCAGGAGGCAGAGGTTGCAGTGAGCCGAGATTGCACTACTGCACTCCAGCCTGGGTGACAGAGTAAGACTCCATCTCAAAAAAAAAAAAAAAAAAAGTAATACTATACTAGAATAAATCATAGTGAAAATCCTCCACAACACTGGTTGAGGCAGAAATTTCTTTGGTATGATACAAAAAGCATAAGCAGCAAAAACAAAAATAAACAAATGAGACTGCAGCAAACTAAAAAGCTTTTGCACAGCAAAGTAAGCAATTTATAGAGTGAAGAGACAACCCTCAGATAGGAAAAAATAATTTTCACATTGTAGATCTGGTAAGTAGTGAATATCCAAAATACATAAAGAATTTGAACTTAATAGCAAGAAGAAAAAAAAATTGCAAAATGGGCAAAAGATCCAAATAGATATTTCTCAAAATAAGACATACAAATGACCAACAAATATATATTTTAAAATACTCAACATCACTCATCATTAGGGAAATAAAAATTCAAAGTACAATGATATATCACCTAACACCTATTAGAGTGGCTATTATTTAAAAAACAAAACAAAACAAAACACGGCCAGGTGTGGTGCCTCACGCTTGTAGTTCCAGCACTTTAGCAGGCCGAGGTGGGTGGATCACCTGAGGTCAGGAGTTCAAGACCAGCCTGGGCAATATGGTGAAACCCTGTCTGTACTAAAAATACAAAAATTAGCTTGGCACAGTGGCAAGTGCCTGTAATCCCAGCTATTCTGGAGGATGAGGCAGGAGAATCATTTGAGCCTGGGAGGCGGAGGTTGCAGTGAGCTGAAATTGTGCCATTGCACTCCAGCCTGGGCGACAGAGCAAGACTCCATCTCAAACAAACAAACAAACAAACAAAAACAAACCACACACACAAAAATTTACAAATGTTGTTGAGGATGTGAAGAAAAAGAAAACCTTATGTACTGCAGATGAGAATATAAATTAATACAGCCATTATGGAAGTAGTATGCAGGTTCCTTAGAAAACATAATAAAATTACCATATAATTCAGCAATCTCAAGGCTGGGTGTATATCCAAAAAAAAAAAAAGTGGAATCAGTATGCTGAAGAGATATTTCCACTTCTATGTTCATTGCAGCATTATTCACAATTACCAAGTTGTGGATTCAACCTAAGTGCCATCAGCAAAAGAAAGAAGGACACACAATTTCAAGATGGCTGACTAGAAGTGGCTGGTGTGCACTGCTTTCATGGATAGGAAACAAAGTGGTGAGTAAATACTGACTCTTCAGGTGGATCACCTAAGAAACCATGTCAGGATGTATCAAGGGAGTGAGGGGACACACAGAGAACAAAGAAGAGCAGAGCTGGGCAGCCATGTACCTGGGGCCAGCATGGAGCCAGGGGAAGCTACCTGACACAAAGAAAGGGTGAGAGAGTAAGAGCCAA